>NC_000016.10:20304667-20607698 GCF_000001405.40 Homo sapiens
GTCCCTACAAAGGACCTGAACTCATCTTTTTTATGGCTGCATAGTATTCCATGGTGTATATGTGCCACATTTTCTTAATCCAGTCTATCATTGATGGACATTTGGGTTAGTTCCAAGTCTTTGCTATTGTGAATAGTGCCACAATAAACATACGTGTGCATGTGTCTTTATAGCAGCATGATTTATAATCCTTTGGGTATATACCCAGTAATGGGATGGCTGGGTCAAATGGTATTTCTAGTTCTAGATCCTTGAGGAATCACCACACTGTCTTCCACAATGGTTGAACTAGCTTTTATGCATTGCAAAGTGACTACACAAAGTGACCTATCCCTTGTCTCCTTTATCTCTCTAGCAACCCTCCAGTTATTAGGGCAGCTACTACTCTCATCTTCCATATAAGAAGTGGGAACACTTTCATGGATGTTCTGGGACTCACAGTCCAAGTCCTGGTTCTTAGAGAGTTGGATCCAGATCCTGTGTCTTGTAGGTATATAGGTATATGTTTATGCATTGAAATGAAATATGTACAACTAGGTCCTTCCCCGTCTCCCCTATAAAGCCTATAAAGTCTTCTATGAAACAAAGTTAATTCCATTCTCAGACAGAGGCTCCCAGAATCCAGTGTTTTGGTTGGTCTCCGCTACAAATGCTTTTTCTGATATTTGTGTGTTTGCAAGTCCCTCTCTGAGACTTTCTAAAATTTGATTGTTAATTGGCTGTTATATGCATGAAGTTCTGGACTTGGTGTCCCAAGCTCTTTATAGATTTACTTTTTTTCTCCCCCTCCTGCCATTAAATAATCACCCTTGAGCTTCTCTCAACTTACTCTCCATCAATAACCATTGTATTCGTTCCATTACAGCCCTCCTAAATACAAAACAATGACGACAACAACAAACCATTCAAACTTCCAACCAACTTCCCCTGAAGGCACAGAAGGTGAGACCTAAGGGAAAAGAAATCCACCCTCTTTAACATCAGCTAACAGCATAGGAGTAAATGCCTGGTACAGAGCCCAGAATTCCTATTTCACATTCTGATTTGGCACTTTCACCATAATGGGAAAATCTCCTCTACTTTTCCTGTGAAGCTGTTTCTTCTCCTTCTGGAAGATAACAGCAGGATGATAGAGGAGGTCAAAGGATAAAGAGAAAGGATGCAGCCTATTTCTTCATTTATTTGACCAATAATGTTTGAAAATGATGAAGTCCTTGTCCTCAAGAAACTAACAGCCTGGGGTGAAGGGTGCAGGTGGGACAGATGTAAAAACAATTTCAGATGCAGACGCTACATGTGATTATCAAAGTCTGTAGAGTGGCTCATGCCTGTAATCCCAGCACTTTAGGAGGCTAAGGCAGGCAGATCACCTGAGGTCAGGAGTTCGAGACCAGCCTGGCCAACATGGTAAAACCCCATCTTTACTAAAAATACAAAAAAATAGCCAGGCGTGGTGGCAGTCACCTGTAATCCCAGCTACTCGGGAGGCTGAGGCAGGAGAATCACTTGAACCGGAGAGGCAGAGGTTGTGGTGAGCTGAGATCGCGCCACTGCACTCCAGCCTGGGCAACAAGAGTGAGACTTCATCTCAAAAAAAAAAAAAAAAAAAAAAAAGTCTGTAAAGAAGAGGTCATAAAGTAGGGTAGTAGTTTTTTAAAATATATATCTTCCTTTTCTCTACTTATCATGCTCATGCTTTTCTCTACTTTCTTGAAAAAAATGGAATGTATTTTTTAAACTGTGTTGACTTTCTGGTCTGCTGATTATATTATTTGTCGTTTGTGGGTCTATTTTCTATTGATTGATTTGCCTACTCTACACTGGACAGGGGGATCCAGGAAGCCTTCATAGGAGAAATAACCCCAATAAGGGGAAGTGTCCTCCAGGCAGCAAAACAGCACACGAGAGTAGGGTAGAGTGCAATAGAACAGCTCAGGGAGCCTGAGAAATTCCGTGGCACTGGAAGCTGGGTTATGAAGGGGATATGTTTAAGGGCTAAGTCTGGAGAGGCAGGCAATGGCTCAGATGGTGAAGAATGTGATCTGTCAGGTAAGCAGGCAGAACTCATCCTATAGAAGGTAAAGAGCCTCTGGAGCGATCTAAAGGAGAAAGTGTCTTTTGTTTTAAATGCTCACTAGCTGCAGAGTAGAGAATGGATTGAGAGAGGTGAGCCTGAAGAAAGGCCACTTAAGAAGCTATTATGGTGGTTAAGGTGAGAGATGAAAGTAGCCCGGAAAAGATCAGATTCAATGGGGTTGAAGAAAAGTGGATGAATTTGATAGACTTTTAGAAGGGAGAATCTAATATGATAGAAAATATGAGGGTGATTTCTGGCCCTTCACAGGAGAAAGAGGCTGAAAGAGAGGAACGGAGTGAGGAGAGATTATGAAATGAGTTAGGATGGGTGGGGTGTATCCTCTGGGGTTCCCATGCCAAATTTCCTTCAGGTGACCAGTTTTACCTTTCTCCCTGCCACCTTCATCCCTGCCTGGTCATTAAGGATGGACATGCCACTTGTCTTTGCTGGACCTTAATTTCCATCCATGAAATGAAGGGACTGGGATTGAGCCCTTCCCTCTTCTCCCAGGCTGGGCTGAGCTCTCCCTTCTCTGAGTCTTGCAGTATCTGTCTCAGTCTTACACTACTAAGCTTTTGCTGCCCAGTATCTGCATTCTGTTTCCCCAAGAAGAGTTGAAGTTCTTGGAGGGGAGGGCACCTTAAGCCACTCGGTATCCTCTACCAGCTGCTTGCAAAGGCTTCTTCAAACCTGAGAGGCCAGTCTTCCTGGGTATGGAAGACTAGTCTTCAGGTTGCTTCTGGCTATCCCCAACATCCTTACTCTCCAGAACTTTCAGATGCTGGGTCCAGGGCCCATTTCACTGAGCCCTCTGCAGCTGGAATTTATCTTGCCCCAGAGCCCAGCTGAACAGCACTGGGGGTGGGAGATGTAAGCTGATGGGAGAGAAACATGGCAGGAATCCTGGTTCTAGGAGAGTTGGATCCAGATCCTGTGTCTCGTAGGGATGTATGTGTGTGTTTATGTGTATATGTATGCGTGCATGTGCAGACATATGTGTGTGCACGTATGACACATTGGAGTGTCTCTGTGGGTTTTTTTTCTGTATTAAGTTATATGTGAAGTTCCATTGGTGTGTCTGCACTAAATCATGATGCATAAGTCAGCGCACACATCTCAACATCTATACGCCCATGACTATTAATGCCTGTGTATGTGTGAGGGCCTTTGCTGGAAAATGCATGTGTCTGTCCACATACCTGTTTGCAAGTGGGTGCATATATGTTATACACATATACGTTTGTGTGTATATGGGTGCCGCACTGTGTGTGTGTGTGTTTATGTGTGTGTGTGTGTTAAGTGTTATATATAAATGGAGGCAGGATACAGAGTCTAGTTTAGAGCATTTGCTTCAACGTCTGGCTACCTGGGTTCAAGCCCTGAAATCAGCATTTAAAAGCTATAGGCCTTTGAGTAATTATCTTTTTAAAGCACCGGTTTACTCGTCACTAAATTGAAGGTAATAATAGTGGCTACCTTCAATGTCTAATGTGAGGGTGGAATGATATAATGCCCAAAATGCACTTAAAATAATGCCTTATACGTAGGGGGTGTTAAAAAATATTGGTTGTTACAAAGTAATTCATGACAATAAATATGTAAGTGGCTGACTTGAGGGTCTCTGAGGCTTTCTGCATGTGCATCTGTGCCTTTGGGCACGTGAGGTTGATATGTGTGTCTGTTAGAATGTGTGTGTTGGTGTGGATAGACGCCTCTGGGTATACAGGCCTGTGTGGGGGGCTAAGTGGGCATGTGTGTTTGTGGTTTGCCTGTGAGTGCCTCTATGTGAGTTTGTGTTCTGCCAGGATTGGGAACATTCCTAGGGAAGGGATTGTGTCTAATTAATTATTGTACCCAGGCCCTTGGACCCGGGACATAAAAACTGCTAAGCAAATTTGTGTTGACTGAATGAATGAATGAAGTGGACTGGACATTCAGAGATTGTTATTCAGACAACATGCCCATTTGTAGAAAACAAAAAGGTGTAAATAGCTAGCTAGCTAGATGATAATTGAGTAGGGAGGTATGTAGACGATAGGTAGATAGGAGGTAGATGATGATAGATAGATAGATACATACATACATAGATAGATACATAGATAGATACATGGATAGATAGATGACAGGTAGCTAGACAGATAGACAGCTGAGATTGGCTCTAAGTGGAATCCTATGTACTTTCTCCTGGAAGTTATATTAGAGTTCATATGTCTCAGGGTGCTCCAAAACATCGGCTCTGGCAGCTCTGTGAGTTATTATGGAGTTGCTTTGAGGGCCTTCAGAGGAAGGAATCACAGAATGGGAGAGCTAAGCTCCCCACCTGACATCAACAAGAATCTATTTGCTTTTAATCTCTGGTTGTCCAAGTCGAATTGTAAAGTTTCACTACTATAAATTTTTGAAAATCTTGTTACAGACCAACCCCTTTTATTCTACAGAAGGGAGCAGCTGAGCCTCAGAGAGGGGAGAAGGTTAGAACCTGACCTCTCTTTCAGGCCTGTTTCTACCATGCCACCTGCCTTGGGATGTAGTAAGTATGACTCCGCTAACTCACTGGGAAACAGAATGCAATTCTTCTCAGGAACCCGTCTTTTAGAGAAGCCACTATCATAGTGGCCCTTGGGATGTCTGTCCAAGAAATGACCCCATTTGTGTCAGACCTGCCCCATTAGGTCAGCCCCTTTGGCTATGTGCTAGATGGTCCCAGTCCCCTGGCCCAGACTACTGGACCCTGACCCAAGCAGCAAAATCAAATTCCCTGATGCAATTTGGAGGTGGGATAGCAACATGCTAACCAGTCTCTGTTGGTCCCTGAATTAGGAAGTGATGTGAAGCTAGAATGTCCATATTTAATCAAGGGATGAGTGAACAGGAAAAGCTGGCTTCAGAGACATAAAAAGAAAACAAAAGCGATGCAAAAATACACAGTCATAAAAGGCTATGTGGCTTCAGAAAGAGGAACAGAAGGCAAGACAAACTTTGGTTTCTTTTGGCTTGCCAGGCCCCACTCCCGGAGCTTGTGCAGCCTGGATGTATCTCTTGCACTGGAACTTTGTGCTCTTATGTCCTTATAATTAACTCCCTTTTTGCCTGAGAAATTGTGGTGGGTTTCTGTTTCTTGCAACTACACCATCTCTGAACAAGGCAGCACATTGGAACGTCTCCTCCAAGCAGATACACAGGCTCGGCACCTGCTGGTCCACCTTGGTTCCTGATGTGTCTCTGAGGCCAACTTTGCGAGGCCTTATCTGTAGCTGTGGGAAGGGCGTAAGTCAGTGTACACATGTCAGCATCTATATGCCCGTGAGTATTAATGCCTGTGTATGTGTGATGCCCTATTTGCTGCATCTGTGTCGGGTGCTTTGAAGTACTCATTAAAGGTCTCCAGAAAGGGACTTCACCCATCTCCTAGGCTTTGCAGTTTCATTCCCATAGCAGGACTGGTGCATTGCTTCTGTTGGGACTTCTTGCTTAATCCTTCAGAGCAAGCACAGCACTGTTTACAGTGAGAGGTACTCCCTTGGGTGATGGAGTTTCTGCATCAAATTAAGTCATTCCTCCAGCATCTAGGTCCCAAGGATGTTTGTGTAGTTCTCTAAGTCACAGCATGTCTGTGGTATGGTGGGGGATAGGGGAGCTATGGGGACTAGTTCTTCCTGGAGCAGAGTCTCCAAAAGTGGCCCTTTGACATGTTCCCATGGCAATTTTTGGAAACCATGATAGAAACAATCAGAGGAAGCAGAGTGAACACAAGGGTCAGTTTCTTCAATTCATGAGCAGTCAGAACAGGAGATGCTTAGGAAGGAATCGTGGCTGGTGCCTCTTCTCCATGCTCATCCCATACCCCAGTGACAGGATACCGCTTCCCTGAAGTTAAAAACATGCACCACACTTCCGGTAAAGGCTGGAGCCACAGAGGGCACCTAGCAAGCTTGCTTTCAAGGTCCCATCAACAAATGAGAAGGGCAGCCGAGGACAGATTGACAGAAACCCCACTATGTTGCTTTTCTTTTTTTTTTTTTTTTTTCCTGAGACAGAGTCTTGCTCTGTTGCCCAGGCTGGAGTGCAATGGCACAATCTCAACTCACTGCAACCTCCACCCCCTGAGTTCGAGCAATTCTCCTGCCTTGGCCTCCCGAGTAGCTGGGATTACAGGCGCCTGCCACCATGCCTGGCTAATTTTTGTATTTTTAGTAGAGACGGAGTTTCAGCATTTTGGCCAGGCTGATTTTGAACTGCTGACCTCAGGTGATCCACCTGCCTCAGCCTCCCAAAATGCTGGGATTACAGGCATGAGCCACTGCGCCCAGCCGAGAGTTTTAAAGAAGGTGAAAGCTCTTCCCTTTTCCTAACCTAGCTTGGCCTTGATTCTATTAATACCAAGCCTGTGTGAATTGGAGTGGAAAGCAGAAGTGCTGAAGGGAGCCATTGCCAGAGGGAAGAACACAAACTTCAAGGCCAGATGCTCAGCGGAGCTCTCAGAACAGCCAAGCCAGGAGGACAGTCAGGAGGACCATAGGCCAGGCCACCAGGAACCCTGAAATACAAGAAATATGACTGTCAAGTGTTGGGCTTTGGGAGTCAGGAGCAAACATAAGTTGGCCTCTTTGTCTTTCACAACACAAGGATGAGAAAGGCAAAGCATCTTTGATATCTGGCCTAGTTATAGTCTCTGGGACTCACATGGTAGAGGCAATCTAATCACCAACCATTTTTTTCATTTTCCTCTGGACACACAGGAATGCAATTTTTCCCAGTGTCCTTTGCAACTAGGTGGGGCCATGTGACCGAATCTGGTCAATAAAATGTGCATAGAAGTCATCTGTGCCATTTCTAGGTCTGATCCTTAAAGCCTCCTATATATCCTGTTGCTCTCTCATCAACCATCTAGGGAGCAGATGCAGAGGATCCAAGATAGGACTTGCAGGGGATAGTGGAGTTACCAGAAGTTACCAGAAGGTAGTAGAAGCCTGAGCTCCTAACGACTACATGGAGCAGAACTGCATCCCCTCCCCCAGTGATTTAGTGGGAAACAATACTGTCGTCTAAAGACACAGAAGACTGGGGACTGTTTGTTACAGCAGCTAGCATTATTTATGCTGACTAATACTGAAGGGGCAGAAAGACACAGAGGTTAAAAAGCACTGCCTCTGATGCCTGATTACTTAGCTTAGAATCTCAGCTCTACACCTAGCTGGGCAGTCCCAGAAAAGTTATTAAACCTCTCTGCCTGTATTTTCCTGTATGCCAAAGAGAAATATTAATAGCAGCTGTGACTTCACTGGATTTTTGTAAGGCTTAAATGAGTGAGTTCATATTAAGCATTGAGACCATTGCCTGGCACATGGTAAACACTATATAAATGTTGGTTTTAAAAGCTAGACTCTAAGATCTAGTTCTGCTGGGATTGTATCTCTTTGGCACATCACTGTGTACTCAGTTTCAGTGAAGGACGTGGATCCCAGATGATAATGGTCTTGTATCAGAGGGCCTAGGAGAAATATGTGAGCCTTCCTGCCATACTACCAAATTGTAAAATCTCCCCATTACCCCAATTTCAAAGTAACTGGCTGATGTCCTAGAAGTGAGGAGAGAAATATCATAAATTTCAGAACAGTACATGACAAAAAGTTATAATTATAAAAACAGGTTGATGTTCAATTAATTCTAAAACATCAAAGATGATTGTGATAGCAGACAATGAAAACCACAAGTGCCCTCTTGTAGTGGGTAGGCTGTCTCAACATCAGACTGATCCCCTCCTTGTCCAGAAGCGTCCAAAATCTACCACCCATTCTAGAAATTAGTCAATTTGGCAAACTCTACTGGGAAACCACACTGTTCCAGGCACTGGGCTAACCAGAAGGACTGGCAGAAAGGAATGAGACTTGAGGTTCTTGACTTCAAGCTGCTTTTTTTTTTTTTGATGGAGTTTTGCTTTTGTTGCCCAGGCTGGAATGCAATGGTGCAATCTCAGCTCACCGAAACCTCCTCCTCCCGGGTTCAAGTGATTCTCCTGCTTCAGCCTCCCAAGTAGCTGGGATTACAGGCATGCACCACCATGCCCATCTAATTTTGTATTTTTAGTAGAGTCAGGGTTTCTCCATGTTGGTCAGGCTGGTCTCGAACTCCTGACGTCAGGTGGTCTGCCTGTCTTGGCCTCCCAAAGTGCTGGGATTACAAGCATGAGCCACCGCACCTGGCCTAAGCTGCTTTTAGAATGAGCTCTAACCACTCCTCTCAATGAGCGTGACTTTTCTTAGCATTTTCTGAATGCTAGCACGGAACATAGAGAGTCCATCTTGGACTTATTTGGGAAATTTAAAAACTGCCATCTAAGTTTGGGCTTTGAGGATGGAAAGAACCTTTTCATGTTTGGGTTCACCAATATAAGTCATTTTGTGGGAAAGCAAATCTTAATAGTATGTGCTTTCCATTTTGTCCAAGACATATTTCTAGTACCCTATAAATATGTAAAAAAATGTAAAAATGTTCTCTCTCTCTCTCTGTCTCTCTGTCTCTCTCTCTCTCTCTGCGTGTGTGTGTGTGAGTGTGATATTTCTTTTATTAGTTAGCTTGTTTAGCTCCAAGTCATTCATCAAAACCCCATTCAGATGTTACTACCTGGTGAAATTCTTTCCAGACCTTATCCAATACAGTTATTTAGCCTTTTATGTACTCTTTCTGTACTATCTACTTGCTTGTCATTTATTTGCTCAAGTGTCTGTCTCACTTGTGCAATGAATTATTGATGTTCCCATGCATATGGGGCTCATTCCCCTAACATTTGCACCTCCGACTCATTTTTCTCAATTGGCTTCAACATCACTTACTCTGAAAGTTTTTCTGACCACTTATCCATTCTGATAGTCATTCTTCCTTCCTACCTTGCTAATAAAGCCATCAAACATTGGTTAGGCACATGGCCCACCCAGAGTAAAGATTACATTTCCTAGCTTTCTTCACAGCAATGTGTGGCATGTGACCAAGCACTGGCCAATGAGATGTAAGTGGAGATATAAGGTGCCAGCTTTCGGGAATGTCTTTTAACACTCATTGGCTTCTTCCTTGTTCCCTCCATCCTGCTGCCTGGATACAAAGGTTGGAGCTCTGGCTGCCATCTTGGAACATGAAGATGATGGCCACACCTCAAAGATGGTGGAGGCATGAGTTGGAAGGAGCCTGGGTCTTTGACAGCTTTATGGTGCTGCCCCGCTAGCCTTGGACAGCTTGCCTCTAAGCTTCATTTATGTGTGACAGAAATGAATGTCTATACAATGAGAACACATGGACACAGGGAGGGGAACATCACACACCAGGGCCTTCCAGGGGATGGGGGGCAAGGGGAGGGAGAGCATTAGGACAAATACCTAATGCATGCGGGACTTAAAACCTAGATGACAGGTTGGTGGGTGCAGCAAACCACCATGGCACATATATACCTATGTAACAAACCTGCACGTTCTGCTCATGTATCCCAGAACTTAAAGTAAAATGAATTAAAAAAAAAAAAAAGTTCTTGAGTTTGAAAAAAAAAGAAATGAATTTCTTTTTTTTTTAAGGCATTATCTATCACATCACTTTCTTTTATTTCTAAAGTACCATGTTTACTTTTTTATTTTCTACTTTCCACACTGGTGCATAAGCTCTATGAGGGTAGGCACCTGGGCTGTTTTGTTTGCCATCACATCTTCAGTGCCTAGAAGAAGGCCTGGCACACAGTGGGCACTCAGTATATATTTCTTGTTAAAGGACTACCTCCTCCACTATACTGTGGGCATCTCAAAGGCCAATCTTAGGTCTGATTAATGTCAGTGTCCCTAGCATAGGGTCTGGGCCATAAAAGGGGCAGAATTGAAAAGAGAAAGGAGAGTTGGGAAAGCTGTGGGAAAGGCATGAGAAAATGATGTACCTGCAGTGCTAGGGGTTCCATTCATGACACCGGGAGACTGTGCACCTGTGAACAAGAACAGAAGGGGTGGGTTTCCTCAGTCATGCTCCAGTGACTGCAACACTGTGGCCATAACTGCTTCACATCCTCCTAGACCTGGCCATCGCAACCACCAGCAAGTTTGTGGCCACATTGTGGGGGCATCTAGAATCTGGCACAGGCACCTTTCTAGACACTTTGCGTGCATCTTAGACTTAATCCTCCTAACAGATTTGTGAGGAAAGTATTCTCATCCCCATTTGACAGATGAGAAGACTGGAGCTCAGTGATGTTAAGGGACTTGCCAAGTTGACCTTGCCAGTCAGTAGCAGAGCTGGGATTCAAACCCCAGTATGTCTGATTCAAAAGTGGAAGTTCCTAACCTCCACCAAGTTACCCTGTGATGCCACCTGAGGCTTCAAGTTGAGAGCTCAGTGAAATGGTAGGAAAACTCAGGGCAGAGCCTACTTCATGAGACAGCCTCCATTTGCTCTGGAGAATGGAAATGGTGATAATGCTTACCTCCCTCACCTGCTGTGAGCCTTCAAAGTGATCATGCATATAAAGGCATTTGACAAAGTGCCAGGCACAAAGAAAGTATTATTATTACCAACATTACTGCATCTTAATTCCTTTAGGGGAAAAAAAAGGCTTTCATTCTTTCACTTCTCCATCCTGGTGGAAATAAAAACACTAACTAAACACTACTGTAAACCCATGAGTAGGATGGATGAAAATATGAGGAGTCATTGGAAAGCCTCCCCTATATTATACTCCAGAATACTGTAAATGAATTTTGGAAAACAGTCATTCACCAGAAAACAAAGTTGCATTTAGACGGGATTTAGGACTTACGCCTCACCCATAAGGAACTGAATTATGGGGACCTGGAAGCAGGTGGAATAAGGAAAAGGCCACATGTTTTGGAATCAGACTGAGCTGGGTTCAATCCTAACTCTAGCCACTCATGAGTAGGGGGATCTTGGGCGAGTCACTTAATCTCTCTGAGTCTTAGTTTCTCACCTGTAAAATGGACATAGGCATGGGAGGATTAAGTGAATTGATGGATGCAAGAGCTTAGCCTGGTCTCTAAGCACACAGGAGGTCCAAATGACAATATTGTCATTATTACCCAAAGCATCTCAAAGAATAGGTTTTTCAGTAAGGGTCAGACTGAGGTGGTACAAGAGCCCTGAGAAGTTGAGTTGGTGACCCCAGGCATCTGTGGTTAACTGTCAACACTCAGCCAGCTGGTCTTGTCACTGGGATTTGGCCACTTACCTCTCCGAGTGATGGGCCCCAAATCTAGAACCCGGGCTAGGTCGATGGCCGGTACTTCACTGCGGACTTGACTTCTTGAGCAAGACTGTAGGGATGATGAACTTTTATTATATCAAAATTTAAATGCCTGGATTCTATCTAGACTGCTCCTACAATGGGCAGCTCTGGACCAAGAACTGTGTCCAGAACTGGTTCACGCTATGGCCCTAATTCCGATGCTGTGGTTATCTCAATCTAGAAAATTATCACTGTCATGCCAAACAAATCTGGGTTTGAATCTCATCAAGTAGAGACTTTCTTTTAGCTATATAATTTGGGGCCAATGACTTTGCCTTTCTACAATAACTAAATAATACCTACCTGGTTGTGAAGATGAAAATGAGATGTGTCTGCAACACATGGGCACAAAGTAAGCACTCGGAAAATGCCAACTATTCACAGGCAGTTCCAAATGCAGGCAAGAGCAGGGGCACTGGAGCCACCTCTCGGCTGGGGCACACCCTGGCTCTGATATTTTCTAATTGTGTGTGGCCCTGTGGGCAAGGACTTCTCTGAACCTCACAGTGGAGTAGGCAAAATAATCTACTTACAGGGTTGTTCTGAGACTTACATTAAAAAATGTATGCAGAAGTTTTAGCATAGTGCTTGACAAAGTGCAAGCACTAAAAAAGTCATCTATGATTATAATCATTTAAAAGATGCCAATGGAATCTAGTAGACAGATTTCTTTATCAAATCTGCCTCCTGGGGACACAAAAATTGCTTAGATATGGGCCTTTAGGAGATCTAGAGTCTATCTATTTATTGTTCGTTTTTCCCTCCCTCCCATCCATACACCTACCTATCTCGTTCCGTCTCTTCATCCTGCTTCCTTCCTTCTCTCCTTCCCTGTCCCTCCTTTCCTCCTCCATCACTCCTGTATTCCTTTCTCCATCCCTCCTGTATTCCTTTCTCCCTCTCTCTTCCCTTTCCCCTCCCTTCCCTTCCCTCCCTCCTTCTCCTTCCTCGTCCCCTTCCCTAATCTTCCCTTTCCCTTTCCTCTTCCCCTTCACCTTCCCATTCCCTTCCCTTCTGTCCATCCTTCCCTTCCCTTCCCGTTCTCTTTCCCCTTCCCCTTTCCCTTCTCTTCCTGTCCCTCCCTTTCCCCTCCCTCCCACCCTCCCTGCGTTTATAATTCCAATAAATATATATGGAAAGCCTATCAGGTACCAGGCTCCATGCCAGGCTCTGAAGAGTTCAGTTCAAAGAGACACTCACAGGCTGGCACTGTTCATTAAGAGAATCACAGAGATGAATCTCACAATGCAGGAAAACTAGGTCATAATGTCCAGCAAACATGAACATCTGAACTGAGAACCGGCTTTCCGAGGACTGCCCATTCTCCTCCACGTGGATGGTGGAATCACGTTGATTTGAGCAGCTGGGAGGGTGACAGGGGCAAAGGTGTAACTTCTAAAAACAGCAGTGGAGAAAATTAAAGAGTCCCTCGGGTTCCCTCCATCATGATAACGTGGACTTTTTCTGTTCCTCTGTTTCCTCCAAGATGTTATCCATAAGCGCACATGGCTTAAATTATTTGAGGGCACAGTCTCTGGAGTGAAACAGACTGGTTTTATACTGTAGCCTGACCCACGTTCTAGCTAAGTGATTATGGGCAGGTTACTCATCCTTACTGAACCTTACTTTTCTTATCTGTAAAGTGGAGACAGTAATATACACTTTATGAGACTGATGTGAGCATTTAATCAGATAATCCACATATTGCTTGGCACATAGCTAATGTGCCATAGCTCAATGACAAATATTAGCTAGGATTATTACTATAATTTAAATCATGATCTATAGAAATGCATTTTTCCCTTGTTTTTGTCAGCCGGGCATGTTTAATGATATTTCACCCCACAACATTTATCATATTGTTTTCATATTGACCAGTGTTCACTTCTGTGTAATAATCCATCACTACCAAATTGATTCCCTATTTTTGAACAATCAGCCTGTTGCCAAAGTTATCAACGATATTGAAATGGAAAATATTGACATTTATTTACCCTGCCCACCTGTTTAGTATTAATATTTTAGGCTAAAATCTCAGGAGTGATATTTCTGGGTCAAAGATTGTGGTTATGATATGTAGTACAACTTACACGTCTGCTGGGGATGGATGAGATGAACACTTTCCTGTAAACGTTAGTAAGGCCAAATGATAATTCCAGAATTGCTCGTTACCTGTTTCTGATGATGAAATACTTCACAAGGTCAGCCTTGTCTTCAGTGGGGGTGGCATAGCAGTTCCTCAACACCAGGTTAAACCGGGAGGTGTCCCCTTGTTCCAAGATGGCACCCACATACAGCACGGACTCAACAGACAGTTCAACTGCATCCCCTTCGTAAGGATTCGTGTAGTTCTGGTCTTGGAAGAGGGCCATCCTGACAATGAACTCTCCATTCCCGTCCACACTGACGTTCAGGGAACTGAGAAAAAGAAAGCCACAAGAGTGGAAACCTCAGAGAACAACATAAATCAAGCCCTGCACTTACTTAACACACTTACGAAGGCAAGGACACACATCTTGGATCCTTAAGTGAACTAGTCAATCAGTCGTTTAAACTGAGCATTTATTAGCTTCTAGGCACTAAACTTGACAGACAAGTCTGTCTCTGGGATTTCCACCGATCCTCCCTGCAGGACAGGTTACACATATCTCCCTTGCTGAAGGAATAACTGAGTGTATACCTCCATCTTCTCACCTGCAGAGTGGGGCTGAGAACCAGTTCTGTGTGTTCACATTTTTTAGCAACAGATCTCTTCCCTGCATTCCACAGTCTTCAGTGAAACACCAATTTTAACAAGATAAATGGCTTTCATTTTGATTTTTTATGAACCAGGAGCCCCAGCACCAAACCATCTGGAAACCACTGAATTAGAAAATGTCTAATCCTTCTGATCCTGTTGCTTTGTGATCCCAGGGAGCAATAGGGAATGAGACGGGCACTCTGGATTTTTGACATCTCAGAAAGTCCCCTAGCAAGTCTAGGGATGCTAAGGAACTGATTCAACAGGGCCCCATTTCAGCACAGAAACACAACAAAACAGAGAAAAGCCCCTGCCCAAATTGCTATCTGATGCTATTTCTGCTGGGGACGGGGGTGCCTGTTTATCCGATAAAAGCTGGTCTCTGCTTAAATCTCACGTCTGCAGGGAAGCTGTTCTGTCCCCATCAAACCCACCACCAACAGGGGTCTGGAACCCCTGTTCCCTGCTCCCAAAGCACCCCACATTTCTTTTACATTGTACTCATCTTGCTTATAAGTAATTATTGGTTTAATTAGTTGTTTAATACCTTTGTTCCTCAAGGTGAATGAACTTTGAACTTGTCCTGTGTTTTTGTTTTCTAGCACATTTAGTAAGCACTGTTTCATGTTGCTGCATTGCCTAGTTATAACAATCTTTAATAGCCACGGAATAGTCTATGTCTGCCTTGTTCATGCTGAACATCTTTAATATACAATCAATGAATACTTGTGGAATGAATGACTGAATGACTGGAGGCTCCTGGAGGAGGCTGGCAGTATGGTGTGGACATCATAGTCTGCACTTGAAGTAAGTGTGATGTGACTATTGCCAGGGTTATGGGTCAAAGGGCAAGGGTCAATGCCATACCTTACAATGGGCTGCAAGGCAGCTTGGAGGCTGACTTTCATGTCCAGTGGGTAGGCACATTGGAAGTTGATGTTGAGGATGGTGTCTCTGATGATGAAATCATTGACCAAGGAGAGGGTGTTTTTGTAGATGGCATGGGTTTGATTTCTCTTTGGCAAAAAAACAAAACCATACAGATGTTTATGTGTATGTGTATGTAGGTGTATCTCAAATCCAGATCTGATTTCCAGAGTCAATTTGCTTAACCATGCAGCCACCCTACCTTCTGAGCTCATGGAGGTCAAGGGACCTCTTCCTTCAGTGTTACTGACACTTTATGGGAAGGCGAATGAGGAAACCAGGCAAAAAACTAGAACGATAAATTATTGACCCTTGGGAAGAGTCAGGAACCAACAAGCTTGCTTCTCTGTGCATCCCTCCCCCACCATCCCTAATTGAAATTATCGTAATTGTAGCTTACGTTTATGAAACTCACATGTCAGACTTATACTAAGCTCTTTATGTAAACCAACTTGTGCACTCTCACACAACCCTGGGGGCTCAGGGAAGCTAAGTGGCTTGTCCAAGATCTCAGAGCTACTATGATAGGTCCCATCAGCCCAACACATACCTTCTGGCAGCAGTGGTGTGAAAGCCACTTACCTCCAGAATGTTCCTGCAGGCACTAGCCTGGACGGGGCTGGTCACAGATACCCAGTTCCTCTCCTCTGTCTGCAAGATGCTGCTGCAGTTTGGGTCTCGCAGGTAGGCAATGACCTCCTCCCCCAAACCCAGGCCTCCCAGCAAACATTTGTCCACCTTCACCTTGATCTCCCTGGGCCCACAGTCTAGCTGAGGCTGCAAACTGTGGACATCTGCAAAGCAGAGATGAAGGCAAGTAGAATGGACATGAGTCTGGAAGCCCACTTTCCCTACTCTTTGGTAACATCTCCATGACCCAGAAGATTATGTAGACTAGAAGGTCCCTGGGATCCAGATGGAATTCATGCCTAGGCTGGCAGTAGGTGGGACTGGCAAAGGGGGCCCCTCATTCAAGATTTCCAAGTGTCCTATGTGCAGGCTTGCTAAGGTTTTTTAGTCTAGTTCCTCTTGGGGATTGTGTTATTTGGGGAGGCAGGATGGACTTGCATTCCATACTAGAATCAAAGTTAGATATATGCTACCTTGTTGAGTCAGCACATCTGACCAAGTTCAGAGCTATCATATTTTAACTCAACATTTATTCAACACACAACTTCTTGAGAATCTACTATCTGCCAGGCACTGGGGCTACAACACTTATCAAAACTGAAAAAATTCCCACTCTTATAGAGCTAACAGTTGAATAGGGGAGACAAATAGTAAACTAATAGGAAGACAGTTTCTATTGCATTCATTAATGCATTGATTCAATATATATTTACCAACCACATTATCTCTCTCTCTGTCTCTCTTTTTTTTTTTTTTTTTTAGACAGAGTTTTGCTGTGTTGCCCAGGCTGGAGTGCAGTGGTCCAATCTCAGTTCACTGCAACCTCTGCCTCCTGGATTCAAGTGATTCTCCTGCCTCAGCCTCCCAAGGCTGGGATTACAGGCATGGGATTACAGGCATGAGCCACCACACCTGGCTAATTTCTGTATTTTTATAAAGATGGGGTTTTGCCATATTGGCCAGGCTGGTTTCAAACTCCTGACCTCAAGCGATCTGCCGGCCTCAGCCTCCCAAACTGTTGGGATTACAGGCATGAGCCACTTTACCAACCACCTTCTCAAATGCTAGGTGCATTCAACATGAAGTAAATAAGGCATGGACTTGGCCCATGAGGATTTCTTGGTCTTGTGTAAACACCAACATATCAACAGTTTATTATACTTCAATATGATAAAGATACAGACAGAAGTATGTACAGATGCAGGGGGAGCAGAGAAGAAGGTCTATCTGAGTCTCTTGGTGAAGTCAGGGAAGGATTCACAGTGGTATGAAATTTGAAACGTGGGTAGGAGTTTTGCAAGTCAGTAAAGCAAGTGAACGCATCCCAGGCTAAGGGAACAGGAGAGGCAAAAGCATGGAGATGGGATAGAGGGAATGGTGCATTTGTGGAATTTCAGAGTTCAGAGGCGCAGGAACCTAAAATGAGAGCAGGGTGTGGGAGAAGGAGATGGAAGTGAAAGTCAGAGCACAGAGGGATGTGTCTGCAAGCAATGGGGCCCACTGGACACTCATCATTGTGCTGGCCACTGATGAAGACTTGAGGCAGGCCACCTGCTCACTCAGTCAGCTGAGACTGTCCTTGGAGCCCATCCAGGTACAGGGAGGGCCTCCTTAAAGCCCAAAATCTGACTCTGTGATGGGCCCAAACCCCAGAAAACCACACTGAATCTCTGGGGCCTTATCCACTCAATGAGCAGAAAGAGTCTTCAAGGAGATCAAGGTTGTTGGTTGTTCCCTACCCCTCATTTCCCAGGGTGCTTCTGCTGGGCACATCTAAGCATCGCCCTGTTCACACTGTGGCTCCGTTTTCCAAATGTGTCATGCTCCTTCTTGTCCTGCTGCCTAGAACACTCTCTCTTCCATAGGGACTTGTAGTGTGCTCAGAGGAAGGCATGCTTGTGCCAAAGGCAAGATCAAAGGCCCTTGTTAGAGTTCAGTGATGGAGGGAAATAATCTCAGTGGGAGGCTCATCCATCCCCTGTCCAGGGCTTAGTGCTTGTTTGTCTATGACATCCCTACCCATGGGACATCTCACTCTGCTTGCTTACCTCCTGGGACGAGAAATTCATCACCTCCTGAGCCTGCCCAATTGGACTGCTCTGATTTAGTTCTCACAATAGCCCTGTATGGTGGGTATTATTATTACCTTATCCTCATTTTACAGATGAGGATATTCAGGCTCAGAGACAGTAGTGACTTGTCCCCAGAAGTCTGCCCATGTCCCTGACATGAAGACCCTGTGGCTATGAAAACATAGCTCCTACATTAGCAGAATTATCATCTTCAGTGTCTTCATCCCTCAGGGGTCAAGCCTGCCCATGTCAGAACCATTTCCTGAGGCCACGGCCCAGCAGCTGACCTGGAAATTTGCTCCAACCCTGCCCTCCTATCCTTGCAAACCCACTGGCTTTACAGCAAATGGATTGGAGAGCCCACATTCCCTTGACCTCAGGTCCATGCCCCTGACTCTGCTTTATACCTTATCTTGACCCTCTAAAGCTCCCTCCCTCCTGCCCTGCCCCCTCAGGATGGTAGTTACTTGCCCAGTGAGCAGCTCACCAGAACTATTGAGGTCCTGTCTGCAGAAACAGCCCCAGGTGCTGTTGAGGGCAAGGCACTCCTCCTCGGGGCGGCAGGCCTTCTCACACTTGTCCTCCACAGTGGATGGGTCTAGGTGATGGGGCATGGAGAGAGAAGATCAGGATGCAGTGCGGGCTGGACTTGAGGCCCCCAAGTCCAACCCTTTCATTTCACCGGGGCACAAGAATCTTGCCAAGGTTGTGTGATACTTAGTGGAAGCATCAAGCCTGACTCCCAGTCCAATGGGATAAGTGAGAGCCCTAAAGCTGCCACCTGAACACTTACTACAGGCAAGACTCTATTCTAAGGACAAGGAATGTATTAGCCTATTCAATCAAAATGAGAAAGGACAGCATGGTGGTTAAGGCCATGGATGCTGGAGCTAGAATGCCAAGTTCAAATCCCAGCTGTACCATGCTCCAGCTCTGTGATACTAGGAGAGCCCCTTAATCTCTCTGTGCCCCTAACTGGGGTAATTAGGTAGCACTTACCTCGTGGAACTGGGGAGAGGATCAAATGAGTTAATACATTTGAAGTACTTAGGATAGCAACAAGGACATTGTGAGCATTATGTATTAGCTGTTATTTTTGCTGTACCCCCCCCCCCTTTTTTTCAGATCAGAACACTGAGGCTCAGGGAGGCAAATTAAACTTCTCAAATGGAGCCAAAATCGGAACGAGCATGAGTTCTGGATTTTATGCTACACACATTTATAAACTGGGAAATTTCACCCTTGAATGGGAATTTCTGGCTTGAAATGTTGGAAGGTCTCAACCCCTGTGTTGAGTTCTCACTGGGCAGGAGCTGAGTCGAGGCTGCTCTGCATCCTCTCCTGTCTCCTCTTGACTTGCTCCACTCACTCTACTGAGCCTGGGAGGCATCTCATTGGCTGTGTAGCTGCCTCCTCCAGGGCTCTGCTGCTCACCTGTGCAGTATCTCAGATTACACCAGGGAGTGCCTTCCAACCGGTACACATGGTACCCGCCTGGGCAGGCCTTCACCAGCACCTCTGTTTTCCAGAAACAGCAGTTGCCACTCCAATGGGCACAGGCAGTGTGGTTGGTGATGCCATCCCCAAGGGCAGGGTGGGTCCCATTCAGCCACATGGGAGCGTCTGTCTGGCATCGGTGCACCTGGACACAGGTCTCCGACATCCTTACTCCTCCTTCCCCTACAAAGCGGTACCAGCCGCTCATGTTTTTATCGCACCCCTGGGACCCTGCTGAGTTCTCTGTGCTTCGGAAGGGTTCATCCAGGAGGGTGTAATTCTGACAGGGGTCAAAACAGACATGAGCCTCTGGGGTGCCAGGAGCTCCGCAGTCCAGGTCCAGCCCATACGAACTGGCTTCAATGGGGTTTCCATAACCTGGGAAAGTGACAGAGTGCAGTTGGGTTTACTGAGCAATGCCAGAACCTACAGGATTTTTTCCCCTCCATGCTCTATTTTGGCTGTGCTAAGGACTCCAATGAGGACAATACACACACGGTCCATTAATTAAACATCAACTTCATCACCTTGGGGGCAGAATAATCAGTGAGGACCTTCTGTGGTATTTTACAGGCATTGAGGACATCAGGGCTACCGTCCTGCACAGCCTCCCTCCCTGCCTCAGAGTAACAAAGTTCTTTCCTGTGCATCATGCAAACAGCAGCCTTGTTTGACCAATATTTGTTTTTCTCATTATAAATGTAATACAGGCTCACTGAAAAAGAACCTCAAACATCATTAAAATTAATAAAGCAGAAATGAAAGTTGTCATAAGCCCATCTCATCCCCAGAAGTAACAATAAATTTGTAATATAGCCTTCTTCTTAGGCAAGTTTAAAATATATTGCTTTCTTAAAAATAAAAATAAGTTTAATTCTGTGCAACATCTTTTTTTCCACTTGCATTTTTTACTTAATATAACATAGACATTTTTCCATACCAGTAGCACAGTCTATTGCAAGAACTCCCAACCTTGGCACTATTGACATTTTGGCTAGGTCATTCTTCACTGGAGGAGCCATCCTGTGCATTATAGAATGTTTAGGAGTATCCTTGACCTCTACCTACCAGATCCCACCAGCATGCCCCAAAGTGGTCTCCAGGCATTGCCAAATGTCTTCTTGGGGGGCATCGCCCCCAGTTGAGAACCACTGATCTAACAAGACCATTTCTGATTGTTGATCTACCATTTTTAAAAACAGTTTTAGAAACTGTGATGTATGAAGAGGCAGAGAAGTGAAGGAGGAAGACCACAGGCTGGTCAGGCTGAGTTTAAATCCAATTCTACACCTGCTGGCTGGGTGACCTTGGCAGGTGACTTAAGTCCCCTGAGACTCATTGGCAAAACCACACCTGTGAACCAGTGGTTCTCAAACTTTATCCGTTCCTACGCTTTGGGTCATGACCTTTGTCATACATGTGTTTGCCTGTCCTATTATTGACTTAAAATGTTTCTTTCAATGATTATCTTTTAAGAATTAGTTTCATCTTAAAGAATAATATCTGTGATAACATAGATATCATGTGCTAGTTATATTTTTTAGATGTGCATAAAAAATAAACATACAGCCATTAAAAACTTGTTAAGAGTTTGCCAGGCACCCCCAGAACCATCTTGGAATATATACACCTCATTTGGGGAAAGAAAGCCTTAAACGATTGTTAGAGGATTAAATGTGATAATATGTGTAAAATGCCAAGCACAGCACCAGGGTCAAGCTAATTGTCTTCTCTAGTTCTATTTTGTTGAATGCTGTAGATGCCTGAAGAAGGAGCTAAGTGCACACACAGGATCATGTGCTTACAATACACATTAAAGGGGCTTTCTAAAAAAAAGAGATTTTCAAGCTTTGCACATGCTTATAATACACATTAGAAGGGCCTTTCAGAAAAAAAGATTTTCAAACTTTGCTCATGCATGTACTTATTTTAAGACAAGGAATCACTGCATTTGTTATTCTTAGATTGTATTTTTCCACTGGAGGCCTCCAATGAGCTCAGTACCCTCTCCCACCCTCCTCCAGGGGCTGAAATTTGCACTCTAATTCTAAGCCTGAGACTCCTTTCTGCAAGTATCTGAATTGCCCACTTCATAAAGAGATCACTTAATCTAGCCCTTTCAGGAAAAGGAGAAGGCACTTGCCAGCACAAGGTGACTGAGTTATGTATTTCTTGATCTTCTTTAATCTGGGGTCTCTAATCTCCCAAAGATATGGGCATGGGAAATTATGTTAACTGGCTCCCACTGCCCTTTCAGAGGAATTTCTGATTAGGCTCTTTGAGAGATTGTGACTTGATTTCCATTGTTTCTCATTATGTTTCCCTTGACTTCTAGCTCTGAGTTTTTGCTTTAGAACTGCCAATTCCTCTTCCTTACCTGAGCCACCTTCTCTGCACTTCTATCCTCACTTGCTAGGTCTTCCTTGACATCTGAGATGCCAGGTGAGCAGAATACTTACCTCGCTGCACTGCAGATGCCTGGGTCAGAATGCAGGAGACCAAGGCCAGCCACAGGAGGCCAGAGCCCACCATCCTTTCCATAAGGTGAGGCATGCAGGTCACTTTGCTGTATGCAGACTTCCCATGCAGCTATGGGAAAGAAAAGACCAAGATAAGATTAGGGCATAGGTCTATGTTCTTAGAAACAGATCCGTTGACTTCCTTCATAAAGAGCTGCATTGTTTCAAAGTAGGTGTGACTTATGGACAGATAGAGCGAGATAATGGGTGATAAAATTGACAGTAAGCAAACCAAAGGCAAGCTTAGAGCTGGCTAGTACTGCAGAATGTCCTAGAAAGGTCTCAGGATGGTCCCTGCTCAGGTGGAAGTAGAGGCTCTTTGGAGATTGGATAGAGAAAAAGGGATATGGTACCTGTGAATACCTGCACACAAAAGTAATGGCTGCCCTTTCTTAGTTTTATGCATTGGGTGCTGCTAAGAGCCCCCTGAAATGTCCTCTATGGATGTAGATTTCTGTGACTGTGGAACCATGCCAAACCGAGCCTCATGTTCCTTGCTCCTAGTACAGAATCTGGCACACAAGGAGTACTCAGTAGAGGATTAAGGATGAATAAATAAATCAATGGGGGTTGGGGGCGGTGGCGAGGCAGAAAGAAAGAGCTGCAAAAAAGCCTGCCAGCATTTGGATGGCATTTACTTTTCTGGGAAATACTTTCCCTAAATGGCCAAATCTTTGGATAACTTCCTACAACCTCTGGAAGACTTCAGTGGAAAATAGAGATCGGTTTCGGGCAGGGATACCATGAGTATGCTATGAGACAGCAGGGATAGGGAAGCACCCAGGATTGGTGATTCTTAGAGATGAGATCCCAATAGAGACCTAGTTCCCTGGTGGGAATATCTGGGACAAGGAAGAGGGTGGCGTCCGTAGGCCTGGAGCATCGCAGATGACTGGAAGCATGACTGAGTTGGACATAGAGTGGTACCTGGAGCACTTGACAATGGCCAGGGTCCAAACTACTTGCTGGGTTCTAAAAATTTCCAGAAACAAAGAATCCTAGCATGTCCAGTGGATCAAGATTTCCCAGGATTAGGAGGAAGCCTCCTGGGGCTTAAAGCAGGACTTACCTCCGATGAGAACACAAAGCGTTCCTCCTCTGGCCAGCCATGGGAATGCAGCCTGCTGTGGGCCGTCTTTTTATTGCAATTTCCCACCCATGTGTCTCTCCTCAATTGGTGCACAGGTATGATGGGAGTTCTAGGCCATACACTGGGCTTGTTGAGTGGAGGTGAGATAAGCCATTTACGCAAAGGATGGTGAAAGAAGGGCCCTCCCCTCACAATGTCAACCCTTCCAGCTGTCTCAGCATTGTGCGAATGCTTCCTACAAACAATAGTGCTGTGTGCTGAATGCTGAACATGCTGGGCACTGCTTTGCGTTCTTGACTTCTCACATTTAATCTTCATAATTAATCAATGAAACTGGTGCCATATTTATTACCAGAAACCAAACACGAATTGAAAGGAAGCTTAATACCCAAAGGGAAGTGAAGAGAAAATCAAACAGGCACTTGTTTGCACAATGGATTTTCAGTTGTACCTTGTGTTCCTAGCTAATCATCTTGGAACATTTCTGCTTCTGTCTGAAGGCCACTGAGCTTGGGGCCAGTTAGACTAAGAGGACACATAGGAAAGGAAAGAAGGGAGTGTGGATGTTTCGAAAAATTCCATTTATTGGTCCATAGAATCTACCCAACTCCGGATTTCTAATGCTGAGCAGTTTTGGAATGGCTAATTTGGTGATGATGGATTTTGGAATGGCAAAGGACAGACAAAGGTTCTTGGACAAAAGAAGCACCAGAGTAGCCCCTGTAAATCCCTTTTGATATGTAGGCTGCCCTAGAGATTGGAAGGCATGAGACTGAGAAGAGGCTGTAGAGGATCTTGGACTTATTAACTCCAGGCTTGGACCTGGCTTTCATGACATGGTAGAAATCATGGACTTCATAAAAGAGCCAAAGCTTTTGCAGAAAAAATGGCCACTGCTTCTTCTCTGTCACTCTGGGACTCCTTAAGGAGCCAAGGCAACTGGAGTCAAGGGAGCAGGAGGGTCTTGGCATTGGTAACACCTTCTACAAAACCTCAACCTGGAAAAAGAAAAGGTGCTACAAGCCACCTTCTCTACTCCCAGAGCAACTGGAGAATAAATAGTCTCTAAAATGTGGAACTTGTGACAACTGGGCCCACTAAATCACCTACTGATCCATTCAGTCTGGCCAGGTGCCCATCCCAGTCTCCCCAGTGGCCACTCTTAACCTTCCCATTCCTCTTAAATGGTCTCTGCAGCTATTATCACCCACTCACACCACCTTTCTCAGCAGATATCTGGTACCCTACTTCAAAAACAATTTAGGCCACAACACCTGACCTTGCTCCTTCCCCTGTAAACATATAAATACTGGTCTCCATCCTCCACCCCTTCCCCCTCCAACTTCTGATAAGGCGATGTTCCTCCTTTTCAAAGTCAGTTCCTCCATCCCTCTTCTGGCTTCTCCATTCCAATCTGAACCATGTAGCTACAACTTTATAGCCAAATCCACTGGGTAGTTTGTTTCTGCTCCTTTGTGATTGGATTTGCCTACTGCTTGTTCCGGGTACCTTGCATTTCCTTGACTCCGCATGTTCATATTTTCTTGATTCTCCTGTTTCTACCTGGAGATTTCTGCTCTGTTGCTACAAGATCCTGTCTCTAAGAATGCTGGTTAGGTCCCATTTTTCTTTTCACGTCATAAACTCTCCCTGGGAGGTATCAAGTTATCTCATGGTTTCACATACCATCTCCAGGCTGGTGAGTTCTGAATCCGTATCCCCAGCTTTCGCTACTCCCTTGAACTTCAGTTCCATCTACCTATTGATTGCTGGACCTCTCACTGCCGCTGAGATGCTTGAGACACCTCAAACTCAGCAAGTGCAACTCTGAGCTCATCAAGTCACCTAAATCTTCTCCTCCTCATTGTATGATCTATTTTAATCAAAGGTGCCACTTGCCTCCCAGTCATCCAAGCTGGAAACTTGGCCTCTTCCTTTCTAAGCTCCTTCCTTTCTCCCTCTGCTCCCATTTCCAATAATCCTTTCTTCTCCATCTCCACCTCACCAATCCAAATTCGGGCCACCATTCCTTATGAAGGTAATTTTTTTTTTTTAGCAAGAGTCTTGCTCTGTTGCCCAGGCTACAGTGCAGTCACGTGATCATAGGCTCACTGCAGCCTTGATCTCCTGGGCTCAAATAATCCTCCCACCTCAGCCTCCTGAATAGCTGGGACTACAGTTGTAGGCCACCACATCTGGCTAATTTTTAAACTGTTTTGTAGAGGCAGCATCTTGCTATGTTGCCCAGGCTGGTCTTAAACATTTTGGCTTAAATTATCTTCCTGCCTTGCCCCCACAAAGTGCCAGGATTACAGACCTGAGCCTCTGCGCCCTGTCCAGAGTCATTTTAATAGCTGCCCAACAGGTCTCCCTGCTTTCATTCTTATTTTTGTTTGTTTTCTCCCCTGCAGCCAGAGGCCAGTGTACCATCTGTCAGCATTATCTCCCATTCCCAGCACTTTATGCTCCCTGGGATCTGACCCCTCTTTACAGTTCCAACCTCACCTATGACTTCTCCACCACACATTGCATGCTCCAGCCAATCTGTGGTTGTCTGGCCTCTTCCTCATCTTCAAGCCTTTGCATACGCTATTCCCTCAGCCTGCATCACTCTTCACCCAGCCTCCTCCTACGTTATCACCTCTTCCAGGAAGCTTTTCCTTTTTCTTTTTTTTGAGGTGGAGTTTTGCTCTTGTCACCCAGGCTGGGTGCAATGGCATGATCTTGGCTCACTGCAACCTCTGCCTCCTGGGTTCAAGTGTTTCTCCTGCCTCAGCCTCCCGAGTAGCTGAGATTACAGGCACCCGCCACCACGCCCAGCTAATTTTTGTATTTTAGTAGAGACAGCGTTTCACCATGTTGGCCAGGATGGTCTCAAACCCCTGATCTCAGGTAATCCACCTGCCTCAGCCTCCCAAAGTGCTGGGGTTACAGGCGTGAGCCACTGTGCCCGGCCCAGGAAGCCTTTCCTAACTCCACAGGTACTCCTCTTCTCTGCTCCTAGGCCTCTCAGGGCTGCTTCCAATTACACTCACCTGCCAACTTATCTGTCTCCCTCTGAAGGCTGTTAAGACCTTTGTGGACAGAGGCCAGGTGTGGTGGCTCATGCCTGTAATTCCAGCACTTTGGGAGGCACTTTGGGAGGCCAAGGTGGGCGGATGACTTGAGGTCAGGAGTTTGAGGCCAGCCTCGGCAACATGGCGAAACACCATCTCTACTAAAAATACAAAAATTATCCGGGCATAGTGGTGCATGCCTACAGTCCCAGCTACTCGGGAGGCTGAGGCAGAAGAATCGCTTGAACACAGGAGGTGGAGGTTGTAGTGAGCCGAGATCACACCATTGCACTCTAGCCTGGGCAACAGAGCGAGACTCTGTCCCCGCCCAAAAAAAAAAAGATGTTTGTGGACAGGAAGCCTGTCTCTGCAGTCCTCATCAGTACCTAGTAAGTACTTCTTGAGTAAACACATGGACAAATTCATAAAATGCATCCCTAGACCCTCTGCAGTGAGCAATTCTTCAAACTTTTGGCTGTCCAAGTGTAGGCAGTCAGCCTTGCAGGAAAGACACAAGATCCTACCTCAGGACTTTGCACCTGCTATTCTGACTGCCTGCAATGCTATTCTTCAGATATGCCCCTGGTTCACTCTTTTACTTCTTTTAGCCTCTGCTTAGCAGAGGGACTTTCTCTGATCATTTTATGTCAAATAACACCCACATTTCTCTATCCCTCATCCTTGTTTTTTCATCCCCCTCAGAACTTGTCGCCATCTATCACATTGCACATAGTTGTTGTTTAAATGTATCTGCCTTTTAAATGTAAGCTCTCTACCAGCAAGGGCTCTCTTTTGGTTATTTGCTGTTTCCATGGTACATGTAAAATTGCCTGGTATTGAATTTATGCCCCAAATATCTGTTGAAAATACTGAGCTGAATAATCGATAGAAAACAAGAAAGGCAAAGAAAAAGAACCGAGGGACTGCAGGAGTAATTCTGTTGTGCTTTTTTTTTTTATCCCAGCTCTTGTCTTTGGTCCTTATCTTTACTGATCTTGGCCCAGATTTTTCCTTTATGTTCTATTGTATTGGAGTGCAAGCACAGATGGATGTGTACGCCATCAGCCACAGACTGACCATGGCCTGACAGTGGACAGGGGCTGGGATCAGCCCATAGTCTTCCTCCACAAAGCTCTTATGTCAATGTTTTCTGTGCATGTCTGTGTGATAAGAGGCCCTTGACTTAAGACACACTGTCCTAGCAGCCCCCATTTGCTGATACACATGTGTGGATTTCCCTGGGATCAGAAAGTTCTAATAATGTACTAAGGAGGGCCTTGGCCTCTCCTGAAAAGCCACAGATGGAGTCCAGGGAAGCAGCTGGTAGCAGAGCAGACAGTTCCCATCGAAATTGGCTTTCTTCTAACCACTTGGCGCAGACGTCCAGAGACCCGTGGGGCATCGGGGTCTCCTGGAACCAGCTGCCCCATGCTGGAGACCCCCATACCCCACAAAGCATCCCCTACCAATGGGGATCATTGATCTCTTCTCCACTGTTGATGTATCCCTGGAAGTTGGTTTTCCAGGGAATCTTCTGGATTGTGAGGGAGATGTTCAATGATTGGAGGGAGTCCTGCGGACATTGCAGGCACCTGACCTTGAGTTGCTTACTCCTTATTACCCCTAAGGACTGGGAGACTCCTGGAAGCAAGGACTTACTCATCAGTATTTAATTGTCTGTCTTATTCATCAGTGTTTCCCAGCACCTAGAACAGTGCCTGGCACATATGACATGCTCAGATAAATGTTTCTGGAACACTGAAGGAACCCTCTGAGGACGTCACTATTGTCTCCATGATACAGAACCAGCAGGCTCTGGTACCCCATTATTTATTTTTCCTTTTTTTTTCTGATGACAGAGTTTTGCTCTGTCACTCAGACTAGGGTGCATTGGCACAATCTCAGCTCACTGCAGCCTCGACCTCCCAGGGTCAAGAGATTCTCTCTCCTCAGCCTCCTGAGTAGCTGGGACTACAGGCACGTGACACCATGCCCAGCTAATTTTTAAAATTTTTTTTGTAGGGGCGGGGTCTTGCTATGCTGCCCAGGCTGATCCAAACTCCTGGGCTCAAGCGATCCCCACCGCCTACTCGGCCTTCCAAAGTGCTAGGATTACAGGTGCGAGCCACTGCACCTGGCCTATGCTCTCATTTCTGAAATGCCTGACCTACTTAGAATTACTTGTTCAAGTTCCCTCTCTCCTACCAGACAAGAAACTCCAAGGAGGGCAGGGATTGTGTCTGGCTTGTTCACTGCTATATCCCCGGCAGCTAGCACATAGTAGATGCTCAGCAAATACGAATGAATAAATAGATGAAGCTCAGAGACATTGTGTATCCTATCTAAGGTCACACAGCAGAACCCAGTCTCACTGAGCAGACTGTGAACTCCATGAGGACAGTGTGGGGGGTTATTTTTTCCCACCGTAGGATCCTTAGCACCATACATAGTGCCTACATGGTAGAGTTCAGTAAATACTTGTTGAATGAATGGATGACTTCAAAGACTGAGATTTAAAAATCATTATTTTGCCACACTCTTTAAGGAGATGGGGGCCTCAGGTACACCGTCACAAGTCCCATTTTGAGAAAAAGCAGCATTTAAAGACACAGGCTGTTTCTCGACAGCCAGGATTAAAAGGGAGAAAAGAAGGCAGGCTGAACAAAGCATGAACTTTCTTTTCTGTGGCTGGAGCACTGGCCCGCATCATGCCCCCTGCCCAGCAGGAGGTGAGATGGCAGCCATGGAGCACAGGGCTTTCCGCTGTCAGTCACTGAAAAGTCAGGGTCAAGGTGGCCGAGAGAAGCAGAGGCAGCCAGACTTTCAGGAGCCCTGAAAAGAAAACAGTGACAGGGCAACTGCTAGTACTGCTGTACTTTTGTGCAAATTAACATAAGCTGCCTCGTCTAGGCTGACCAATCAGAAGAGGACACCCTCTCTGGGCTGCTCTCCTAGAAAAAGGAAGCTTCCTCCTTATCTGCCCTGAAAAAGGTGGACCGATTTGAAAAAGATAATCTTTCCTCCGGCACTAGGCTTGGTACCTCCTCAAAAGGGCAAAGGGCATTCTTGTGAAGTGCCCAATCTATCCAACCATCCTTAGAGACCTTGGGGGATAGTCACAGAGAGCAAGCCTCTTAGGAGTGCTGTGACTCTCCATCTCTGAGCTCACCAGCACTGGGCTGAACTAGTTCAGGTCAAATGCCCGGTTAGCCGGGTGGGGTGGCTCACATCTTTAACCCCAGAATTTTGGGAGGCCAAGGCAGGCAGATCTCCTGAGGTCAAGAGTTCAAGACCAGCCTGGCCACACGGAGAAACCCCATCTCTACTGGAAAATACAAAAATTAGCCGGGCGTGGTGGTGCACGCCTGTAGTTCCAGCTACTGGGCAGGCTGAGGCAGAAGAATCGCTTGAACCCAGGAGGCAGAGGTTACAGTGAGCTGAGATTTCACCACTGCACTCCAGCCTGGGTGACAGAGCAGATTCCATCTCAAAAAAAAAAAAAAAAAAAAAAGCCAAGTTAGTGTAAGAACCTCCTTGGATCCAGGTACCAGTAGCTGTTGCATAGATTTGCTTTTCACCTAGATTTTTAGACAATTCAGTGCCATGAAAACCATGGGCCATAAAAATGCCACCTGTCCCTGGCCTTTGTGGTCAGAAAAAGCAAAGAAGCAGAGAAGTGGGGGTTCTTGTTTGGCCGTTGTGTTTGCCCCAGCACTAAGCATGGTTCTTGGCATATAGTATTACTCAACGAATATTCATCACCTATTGAATGAATCTAGAAAAAGGTGTTAGAGAGGAGCCTTGGAGCTTCAGGAAGTGCCCAATATACAGATCTGGGGTATGTTCATATCCTTTGGGTACAGGTTTCCAATAAGTGTGTGTACATCTGCACACACAAATATGCATGCAGACAATTGCAGCTTTCTGTGCATCTGTACATGCAAATATAAATGCATGTACGTGACCTTGTGTGTGTGGGTAAACATGTCTGGATGACCTACATTCTCATGTGATTATCTGGGCATGCCTGTGTCTGTGTGCACATATGTACTATTGGGACACAGCATAGGTATGTGTGCATGTGTACAGCCCTAAGTCCAGGCACTCCAGGCATTTCCATAGATACAGTTGCCTCTTCAGAGCTCAAGCCCAGCCCTCCAGCACACCCTGGGACCTCAGGGAGTTAGAGGAGCAAAGAAGCAGAGAAGTGGGGTTTCTTATTTGTTGTGTTTACCCCAGAACTAAACATGGCTCTTGGCACATGGTAGCACTCAAGGAATATTTGTCACCTATTTTTTTTTTTTTTTTGAGATGGATCTTGCTTTGTTGCCAGGCTGGAGTGCAGTGGCGTGATCTTGGCTCACTGCAACCTCTGCCCCCCGTGGTTCAAGCCATTCTCCTGCCTCAGCCTCCCAAGTAGCTGGGAGGCGCGCGCCACCACACCCAGCTAACTTTTGTATTTTTAGTAGAGATGGGGTTTCACCATGTTGGCCACGATGGTCTCAATCTCTTGACCTTGTGATCCGCCCGCCTCAGCCTCCCCAAGTGCTGGGATTATAGGCGTGAGCCACTGCGCCTGGCCTATTTGTCACCTATTGAATGAATCTAGAAAAAAGTGTTAGAGAGGAGGCTTGGAGCTTCAGTAAGTGCCCAAGATGCAGATCTGGAGTGTGTGCATATCCTTTGGGTTTGTAATAAGTTTGTGTATAAAATAAGTGATCTGTATACTGGGGCACATGTCCCAGCTCTTACAATTAATAGAGAGATGCATGATCTCAGTAGGACCACTCAGGTTCTCTGAGCCACTCTCCTTATTTAGAAAACGGAACTAGTAACACCTCCCTTATAGAGTTGCTATGAAGCATTACAAGTTAACAGATAGAAGCCCCCCAGGAGAGTTCTGGAACAGGTCCCACTGCAGAAAGGACCTGAACTTACCCAAGCTGCTAAAAGCCCTTGAGACTGTGGCCTGGACACCTTTGGAGGAAAACAGAAGGATCAGTGAATAAAGAATGCATGAGATTTGGCAAGCATCCTGACAGAAACCCCTTCAATCTACTTTTCACTTCGCAGCCAGACTGATCTCTTCAAAACCCAAATCTGATCATGTTACTCCCCTACTTCAGACCCATCAGGGGCTCTCACTGCTTTCAGGAGAAAGGTCCCAACCCTTAGCAAGAACTGCAAGGCTCCACAAGGTCTGCAGCAGCTCATCCCACACAACTCCCCTGGCCTTCTCTGGGTTCCTTTAACAGGCCAGGCTCCCTCCTGCCACAGGCCCTTTGCCCAAGCTGTACTCTTGAAATGACCTTTGCAAAATTATGACTGAGACAGTGAAAGAGAGCCAACCTAGCCAACCCCATCTTGGTTCTAACTTTTAAGCTGTGCTTGTTCCTTCCTGGGTGTAGGCTGAACTAATTTGGAAGGAACTTAGTTTATAGTTTAAAACAAAGACGATAACAGCCCTTTCCAAAAACAAACCTCCTTCTTGCCTTGGGGGCTAGACTGCCTTTGTAGAACTAAGAAATTAGCTACAAGATTAGAAATTAAGGTTTAGGAGTCATGCAGCTGGAAGCCACAAGATTCTGACCCTTCCTAAACCACTCCTAAGATCAGTGCTTGAGATATTTTGTAGACCCTGCACTTAATGGATCACCCAGATCCTACACATCTACAGGGGATTATTCAAATGGCACCTTCTTCACTGATTCACAAGCTCCATGGGAGCAGGGCCATCTACTTCTGCTCATCACAAGACCTCCAGACACAGAGTAGGCACACATCTACTACAAATATGAATGTATGTTTGTGGCCTCATGTGTGTGCAAACTTGTCTGGATGATCTACATTCCTACCTGCCTGTCTGGCCTCCCCCGTGTCCTGTGTTACATTCATCTACAAATCATATTTGTCCAATGAATGGGTGTATGAATGGGAATAGTGAAAGGAAGGCAGTCTGTATTCCACCTTGCCCCAGAGGATCCACTTGCTCCCAGTTCTTCAGAGCTCAGTAAGGTGCCAAGGTGCCAGGCTCTGTTATCCCTCTTCCTCTCCAGAAATCTTTCCCAGCCAGGAATGTTGAGGAGCGAGTGGCTCTCTTACCTTTCCGTGTGATGGGACCCAAGTTCAGGACACGGGATTGATCTATGACACTCCCACTTCGGAATCTGGTCCCAGAGCAGGTCTACAGGGAGAGGGCAATAGAAAAACACCCTCCATGAAGGAGCCTGAATGTGGTTCTGCCACGTGGAGTGGACTGCCCACCTCACAGGTGCCTTCCCTTGCCCCAGGCAGAAGTTGTTAGGAGACCTGTATACCGGGGCTCGTGCAGGTCCCAGCTCTGCCATTTGTTAGATAGATGCATGATCTCAGGCAAGCCACTGAAGTTCTCTGAGCCCCTCTCCTCATGAGGAAAGGGAACCAGTAATACCTCCCTTATAGAGTTGCTGTGAAGCATTAAAAGCTAACACAAATAAAGTGGGCACAGTGCTTAAAAATGTCAGCTCCTGTTATTTGAACACAAGCTTGCAGATAAGCCAGAGCTCTTACCAGCCTGCCGCACTTTACTGATCCCACCTGATTTCCCCTGCAGCTTAGGTTTCCTGCCTAGCCACGCCCACCTCATCTTATTGCTCATTCTATCCCTCTGGTAAAAGAGGGAAACAGGGAAGAAATATTGATTTGTTTTCTTTGTGGCCAAATGTCTTTGGTTACAAGAGATGGGCTGGGGGAGGGGAGTCAACTCACAGGCTTGCACTTTTCATTCATGGTGTCACAGAGATAGACTTCACAGTGCAGGTAGACTAGGTCATAGTTTCCAGCAAACCGGAACATCTGGACGGAAAATCGGCCCTGGGAGGACTCCCCATTCTCCACCACTTGGATAGTTGAGTCTCTAGTGTGTGGGCATCTGGGAGGGTTACACATCATTTAATGTGGTTGGTTAAATAAAGATTCTGGAGTCAGACTTCCTGGATTCAAATATTGCTCTGTCACCTTTCAGCTGTGTGACTTTGGGCAACTTATTTAATCTCTGTGTACCTCAATTTCTCCATCTGTACATAAGAAATGATCGCAGCCCATGTGATAAGATAGCTGTAAGGATTAAATTCGTTAATTTCTCAAAGTGCGTAGAACTGTGTGTAGCATGCCATAGGTGCTTTATATATTTGATACTAAAGTGAAACTGTCATCAGTGCAGAGCTGAAACTATCCAAAAGTCAGCACTTCCTGATTTCCCAGCAATGACATTCAAAAATTATTAGCTGCTATGTGCTATCTACAATATGCCTGGTATAATTATAACAATGGAAACCTCTGGGTACCGAGAGCCACTGATGAAATTGGAGTGTGTGCACCCATCTGCACGTATACACAATTGCACCCAAACACAGTTAGAAGGAGAAACCCGAAATAGAGCATGCAGAGACTCCCACATGTGCTGGGCTGGGTCAGGATACCCATAGGCTTTCTGGGGAGGCAAACTGGGCACCCCCTCTGCCATTCCGCACTCTTTCCTCAAAGTTGATTTCGGAGGGAGGCTGAACACTGACTGCAAAACTGAGACGGGAGCTTCTGGGAGTGTTTTTCACTCTTAGCTCTGTGTCTCCCATAATTCAGATCTGGCTCCAAAAGTGCAGACTCTGCCTGGCAAGAGAAAAGCCCTGAGGTTAAGTGGACTCAACTCCTGAAAGGCAGACAGTATGGCCTGTGAGGGCTCCACGTGCTCAAGCCAACCTGGACATCCATGTGTCCCCTCCAGTCACTTTCACTGTCTCCCCGACTTGTCTCCTCTTTTCATGCCTTGTGATGTTCTGACACCTATCCTACACTGGTAGTTCTCACCCCAGCTCCCACACTCACCCAGATGGCAACTTATAGACACACCCTACATTTTTTCCTGCTTCTTTTTCAAAACTTTCCAAGTTTTCCGCAATGTCCCTGCTGTACTTTTATTTTATTTTATTTTTAGATGGGGTCTTGCTCTGCCACCCAGGCTGGAGTGCAGTGGTGTGATCTTGGCTCACTGCAACCTCTGCCTCCCAGTTCAAGCAATTCTCCTGTCTCAGCCTCTTGAGTAGCTAGGATTACAGGTGTGTGCCATCATGCCTGGCTAATTCTTGTATTTTTAGTACAGACAGGGTTTCACCATGTTGACCAGGCTGGTCTCGAACTCCTGACCTCGTGATCCACCTGCCTCGGCCTCCCTGCTATGCTTTATTTTTATTTTCTTGAGGTAGAGTTTCACTCTTGTTGCCCAAGCTGGAGTGCAATGGTGTGATCTTGGCTCACTGCAACCTCTGCCTCCTGGGTTCAAGCAATTCTCCTGCCTCAGCCTCCCAAGTAGCTGGGATGACAGGCGCCCACCACCATGCCTGTCTAATTTTTTTGTATTTTTAGTAGAGATGGGCTTTGCTGTATTGGCCAGGCCAGTCTTGACCTCCTGACCTCAGGTGATCTGCCTGCCTCAGCCTCCCAAAGTGCTGGGATTACAGGCGTGAGCCATCGTGCCCGTTATACTCATGAAAAACAAGTTTTAAAATCCCAGCATAGCAGGTATTATTTATCCCCATTTACGTCTGAGAATAGAAAAACCCAGAGAGATGAGCTAACCTGTTTCTTAAAGCTAAGAAATGGCAAAGCCAAGATTTGAACCCAAATCTCTGTGATACTCCAATCAAGGTCATGCCAACAGTTTCCAACTTTCAGTTCTTTTTTTCTTTATTGAGATACCACCTTTATGAGCGTTTTCCTGTGTGTCCCAACATCTGTATTATTATTTACTTACTATTTTTCTTTAAATCCACTTGTATTTTTTACTGAAATACATTTACTTACTAGAAGAATCTTTAGGTCATGAATTCAAATGGCAGACAAGTATCACTTGCATAAATAGAACAGGACCATACAATGAGGACAAGATCAACAAAAGAGTTGTATTAAGTTTGAGTTAGACTCTGCTAATTGCAAAATGCTCTGAAACAGACTTCTGCTTTATTTTTATTGCAAAGGGAGATTCCAAAGACGTGTGAACATCACATTGGCACTCACCTGAAAATATTCCCTTGGTGTAACCAGGCAGAAACAGACCACTGTCTCTCAGGAATGCTTTTTCTGACAATGCAATTAAAATTGCAAATGTCTTTCTTCTCCTGCTTTGTTTCTTCTACAACCTCTTTGTCATTAACATACTATATATTTCACTTTCATTTAATAGTTGGCCCTCCCCCTTTAGAATATAAGCTGTGTGAGGGCAGAGGTTTTTGTTTCTTCTATTTACTGTGAAATCCACAGAGCCCGACACACAGCAAGCTTCCAAAATATCTTTTCAACTTATGAACGAGAAAGTGAATCACCGTCTCATGGTAAGGTTCATAGTCATCTAGTGCCTCTTGAGTAAAAGGTAGCACACTTGTGTCCTAGTTTCAATTGGCCCTTGGCTAACCATGCCCATGTCTTACTCCTCCCCCAGGTGCTGGGCTGCCTGCTGCCCTGGGCAAGCCTTTCCATCAAGTTTCTTACCATTTTTTGAATTATAAACCCTACTCAGCTCTCTGGTGAAGCTTGTACATCCCTCCTCAGAAATAATACTTTTAAATGCCTAAAATAAAATATTTAAAAGATTATAAAGGAAATCAATTAAATTGAAGCACCATTCTCAAAATATTAAAAACATTTGCTAGCTGTGTATGGTGGTGTGTGCCTGTAGTCCCAGCTACTCATGAGGCTAAAGCTGGAGGATCGCTTGAGCCTGGGTGGTTGAGGCTGCCGTGAGCTATGATCAAGTCACTGTATTCCGGCCTGGGTGACAGAATGAGACCCTGTCTCAAAAAAACCAAACCAAATCAAACGACCAAAAAAAAAGACATTTGAAATACAAAATGCATTATATCTTTGTGTGTGTGTGTGTATATATATGTGTGTGTGTGTATATATATATATATATATATAATACATAAATATATATTTGCCAATACATATGTATTGATAATTCATTAAATAATAAGGTCTAGTGAAAATTCTAATGCTATAGTAACTAAAAAGTACTGATGACTATAAATGGCTTCACACGACCTGCTAATATTTCTGTAGTTTGTTGCCTGTATTTATAATGGATGGGAATGCTAAGGTTCAGCTAAAGGGTAATGAATATAAAGATGCAATTTTTCAGCCAGGCGTGGTGGCTCACACCTGTAATCCCAGCACTTTGGGAGGCCAAGGGGGTGGATCACTTGAGGTCAGGAGTTCAAGACCAGCCTGGTCAACATGGTGAAACCCCATCTCTACTAAAAATACAAAAATTAGCCAGGCCTGCTGGCCTCTGCCTGTAATCCCAGCTACTTGGGAGGCTGAGGCAGAAGAATCACTTGAACCCAGGAGGCGGAGGTTGCAGTGAGCCGAGGTCACACCATTGCACTCCAACCTTGGCGACAGAGCAAGACTCTGTCAAAAAAAAAAAAAAAAAAGATGCAATTTTCCTCCATCCAAGTCCAAAGACCCCCTCTGAATTCTACCCATGAGTTCCCATGTAGGAACCTTTGCCTTACCTGTCCTGGATGATGAAGTACTTCAGGGGGTCCGTGGCATTGCTACTGGGTGTGGCATAGCAGTTGGTCATGAGCAGTGCAAATCGGGACAGGTCGCCCCCATCCAACATGGTGCCCACGTAGAGAAAAGCCTCAGTGGACAGTGTCACGGAGGAGCCTTGGTAGGGCTGCGTGTAGGAAGGGGTCTGGAAGAGCGCCATCCGCACGGTGAACATGCCGGTCCCGCCCACTCTGATGTTTAGAGCACTGCCAGGGGAGAAGGGTTGGTGAGAGGACCGGGCTGAGAACATCTGCAGATAGGCCACCTTCTCTGATTTGCATTCCTAGGCAGTCCCTTGCAGTTATTTGCATTTTTATCCAGCAATAAGAGTGGAACCCACCAACTGTTGCTTTGCAAACCGCAATAAGTACACGCAGGTCAACTTGGGATCTAGATAAAATGCAGGCTCTGATTTGGTGAGTATTGGGGTGGGGCTCAAGGTCCTGCATTTCTGACAAGTGCCTGGATGCTGCTGATGCTGCTGGTCTATGGATCAATCACATCTCAAGTAACACATCCAGTCCCTCACTTGCTACTGCTATAGGCTTTGCTACCCCTGTAGCTTTCAAGATGGCAAAAAAACAAATTATTGACAGGAACACCTGGATTCCTTCTTTGGTCTCAATCTAGAACAGGTTAAAAGGTATTGAGCTATGATGAGGCCTACAACTTGCGTCCTGGCCTCCATCGTGATGTACTAACATCTATATCAGAAGATTGAGGTTTATAAATGAGTTATTTTTAACCACACTGAAAACAGCCACACTGATGTGAACTTCACTGGATGATCCAACAAAGGACATTGTAAGGCTGATGCCTCATGAAATAAGGCACATGAGAAATACTCCGAAATGTGGAAGTCCATTTTACAGATGAGAACTGAGTTATCAGTGAAGACTGGGGTGAGATGTCTAACTCGAGACAGAGAGAGGGACCAGGTGCTGTGGCTCACGCCTGTAATCCCAATACTTTAGGAGGCATACGCAGGAGGATCATTTGAGGCCAGGAGTTTAAGACTAGCCTGGTCCATGTAACAAGACCCTGTCTCTATAAAAATATTTTTAAAAATAGCCCAGGGTGGTGTGGTGGCATGTGTCTGTAGTCCTAGCCACCTGGGAGACTGAGGTGGGAGGATTGCTTGAGACCAGGAATTTGAGGCTGCATTGAGCTATGATTGTGCCACTGCACTCCAGCCTGGGTGACAGAGTGAGACCTGGATTCGTAACAAAACAAAACCATAAAACAGAGAGATGTGGGCACACTTGTTGTTCCCCAGAGCCTACCAGGCCGAGGACGGGGCCACATTGCTCCAGGACACTGCTAGGCCAGGTGAGGTTCCAGCCAACAGCTTGCAATGAGCACTCTTCTTCCTCCAAGTCAGCTGTGCACCCTCATCAGTGCCCAGCATCCTTTCCTGAGTCTGGCTGGCCAAGAGAGCAGAAAACCATGGGCAAGCTTCGAAGGGAAGGTCATGGTCAAGTGGAGGCTCTGGACCTGATGTCTGAATCCCAGCTCTATCACTTGCTAGACTTTACAGCTTTGGGTAAGTCACTCAAACTTCTGTGAGCCTCAATTTCCACATCAGTATAATGGGAATAGTAATAATAATGATACCTTTATCTCCTAGGGCTGCTGTAAGAGTTTGATGAGATGTTCCAGGCAGAACACTGGCTATAATGCCTGAGATATAGTAAGCTCTCAATAAATCTTAGTTCTTGGCAGGGCACGGTGGCTCACACCTATAATCCCAGCACTTTGGGAGGCCGAGGTGGGTGGATTGCCTGAGGTCAGGAGTTTGAGACCAGCCTGGCCAACATGGTGAAACCCCGTCTCTACTAAAAATACAAAACTTAGCTGGGTGTGGTGGTGGGCACCTATAATCCTAGCTGCTTGGGAGGCTGAGGCAGGAGAATCACTGGAACCTGGGAGGCGGAGGTTGAAGTGAGCCAAGATCATGCCATTGAACTCCAGCCTGGGCGACAGTACGAGACTCCGTCTCAATAAATAAATAAATAAATAAATAAATAATCAATAAATCTTATTTCTTATTACAACTATAATTTTCCATCATTGGCCTGTGATTCATCCTATTTGAAGATTTTCAATTTTATTTAGCAACAGATTCCTTTTAAAAAAAATAAAATAAAATACTACGTGGCACCCAGTATGAATAGTTTACCCCTGTAGGCACTCTGCCAGGGCACCTCCCTTGGCCCCTACCAAGACACTTGCAAGGAGCGTAATTTTTAAAATCCTCTTTAATCAAATTCCTTTCATTCACAGAGAAGGAAAGAAGTTGAGGTCCAAATATGAAATATGATTTGCCCAGCATTCCATAGCAGTCTGGACTGAGACCATTCCTGCTCTCTGGCACAACCACCCTGCCTCTTTGAAAAGTAGAGACTTTAATATTTGATTCACATCTGAATCATCTACATCAGTTTAATGGTTGAATCTGATTCACATCACAATCATAGCTCTAAGCAGCCTCAAATTCCTGGGCTCAAGCGATCCTCCCATATCATTTAATTCTTAGAGTACTATTAAACCCATTTCACAGATGAAAATATTGACACCTAGAGAGGGACTATCAATTTCCCAAAGCCAGGCTTAATAACTCACTCAAGCTCATACAACTAGTAAGTGACAGAGCTGGGGCTTGAACCAGGCAGTGCTTTGACTCTGTCCCCCACTGGCCAGGGCATAACCATCATTTATGACAAAGTCTAGATTTGAACCTGGGCTCCAGAATTCCTGGCTCTTCCATTGGGCAACCCTGATTCCCAGCCCTCACTCCCAGCTCCCTGTGGGTGGCAGTTGACAGGGAAGCTCATGGTTAAGGGGTTTGGGGTTAGAACCATCTAGGGGCCCTAGGGACCCTCTCTGGCCACACCTGACCATTGGCTGTAGGGCGGTCTTCAGGCTGACTTTCATGTCCAGGGGGTAGGAGCATGCAAAGTTGATTTTGATGTTGAGGTCACGGATGATGATCTCATCTGCCAGGTAGAGGGTGTTGCTGTAAGTGGCATGGGTTTCATTCCTCTGTTGCAGGGAATGGGGGTGGAGGGGGGGTGGGGATGAGAGAAAGGGGCATGAGAATCTGAGTAGGACTTCAAAGCTAAATCTGCTGGTCTCATGTCTGGCTACTTGTGAGCCGCTCTCCTAGTCTCCTTGATAAAAAGCTGCCTGTGGCCGGGCGCATTAGCTCACGCTTGTAATCCCAGCACTTTGGGAGGCCGAGGCAGGCGGATCACCTGAGGTCAGGAGTTCGAGACCAGCCTGTCCAATATGGTGAAACCCTGTCTCTACTAAAAATACAAAAAGTAGCCGGGCGTGGTGGTGGGTGCCTGTAATCCCAACTACTCGGGAGGCTGAGACAGGAGAATCGCTTGAACCCGGGAGGCAGAGCTTGCAATGAGCCAAGATCGTGCCACTGCACTTTAGCCTCGGCGACAGGGAGATTCCATCTCAAAAAAAAAAAAAAAAATCCCACAACAGTTAAAAACTCCCTGTGCAGCCTGAACAACGAGCCAATTAATCATCTTTTCTTTATAAATTAGAAAAAAAAAGTTACAACAGCAATGACCATTCATGCGCATATGTCATGTGCCAGACCCCGAGTGGAATACCCCTCCTGAGTCATAGCATTAGTTCCTTCAGTGACCCTAACAAGTGGCGCTGCCACATCCCTGCTTCCCAGACAAGAAGACAGAGATTCATAGTAACAGAGTCACTGAGGGATTGCCCACAATATGTGACATCTCACAAGACTAGACTGTTTTCAGCACCCCGTGCTTCCTCTCTTGAAAACTGAAAACCATATGCCAAGTCACCATCAATGGAATTTCAAATGCCATCCTTGGAAAATGACATGAATTATTTCTTTTTGTTTGTTTGTTTTGGGACAGAGTCTCACTCTGTCACCCAGGCTGGAGTGCAGTGGTGCAATCTCGGCTCACTGCAACCTCTGCTTCCTGGGTTCAAGTGATTCTCCTGCCTCAGCCTCCCGAGTAGCTGGGATTACAGGTGCCCACCAACAGGTCCAGCAAATTTTTGTATTTTTAGTAGAGAAGGGGTTTCTCTGTGTTGGCCAGGCTGGTCTCAAACTCCTGACCTCAAGTTATCCACCCGCCTCGGCCCCCCAAAGTGCTGGGATTACAGGCGTGAGCCACCATGCCCGGCCAACATTAAATCTTTCTTTTTCTTTCTTTCTTTCTTTCTTCTTTCCTTCTTTCTTCCTTTCTTCCTTCCTTCCTTTCTTTTCTTTTTTTTTCTTTCTTTCTTTCTTTCTTTCTTTCTCTTTCTTTCTTTCTTCCTTTCTTCCTTTCTTTCCTTCCTTCCTTCCTTCCTTCCCTCCCTCCCTCCCTCCCTCCCTTCCTTCCTTCCTTCCTTCCTTCCTTCCTTCCCTCTCTCTCTTTTTCTCTTTCTTTCTTTCTTTCCTTCCTTCTCTTTCTTTCTTCCTCTCTTTCTCTTTCTTTCTTCCTCTGGTAATGAGGGAGGTGGCAGGAGATAATGCTCTGCTCACACAAACATTTACCTCTGGGTTTCATTTGAGGAGGCCTCTGTAGGTGAGGTCCTGATTCTCTGTACATTAAGGATACAGACCTTGCCTTCCAGGACCACTGGAGACAAATAGACTAGTTTCTGAACCCAATGCTGATGCCTACTGGCTGAGACAATCCCTACTATGGCCCTACTTTTCCCATCTGTAAAATGGAGAACTATCACCATGAATTGCTTTCTTTATTTGAAGCTGATGTTTATTGAGCACTTACTGTGTGCAGTCACTGTCCTAATCACTTCAACACATTAACTCATTCAATCCTCTCAATACACCTGTGGAGTAGGTACTATTATTTCTCCACTTTACAGTTGATGAAACTGAGGCACAGCCAGGCTAAATAACTCCCCAAAGCTTCTATAACTAGGAAGTGATAGAGCTGAAGCTTGAACCAGGCAGTGCTCTGGTTCTGTCCCCCACTGGCCAGGACGTACCGTCAACACTGTCCCACAGGGGCCATCCCGGGCTGGGGTCACTACAGACACCCAGTCCCGGTTGTCTCTGTCATTGAAGCCCGAGCACCGGCTGTCACTCAGGTACATGAAGACCTTGTCGAAGCCCAGACTCTTCAGCTGGCACTTGCCCAGCGACACCTTCATGTCATTGGCCCCACATTCCAGCCTGTGCTCCAGGAGGGAGATATCTGAAACAGGTTAGGTGGGATTGAGGACGTGTGTCTATAGCTTGGGGGCCCAGCACATCCCCAGGGGCCAGGTCCAGCTGGCTGGGCTGACCACCATCTGGAAGTGCTCAGCATAGCCTTGAGCTGATCTGTCCCCTCCCAATGTGATGGGGACTCAAGATTGGACCTCTGACATCAATGGATACATCCACTGACCAACCACTCAGTCTTGGGTTCCCCTAAATGTGGGTTATATACCAAATGCAGGACGGTTTTGGGGGGTTTTGATGTCCCAGCATTAAATAACAATGAATACTCGTTTAAAAAAATAAAAAGGCTAGATGCGGTGGCTCATGCCTATAATCCTAGCACTTTGGGAGGCCAAGGCAGACAGATTACTTGAGGTCCAGAGGTCAATTTCCTTGTCTATAAAATGAGAATACGCATCTCCCACAGTAGTAATAGTAGCCAAAGGAGATGATGCAAGTTACATATGTATACATATGTAACAAACCTGCACGTTGTGCACATGTACCCTAGAACGTGAAGTATAATAAAAAAAAGAAAGAGAGAAAGAAAGAAAGAAAGAAAGAAAGAAAGAAAAAGCAAGCAAGCTGCAATTACTTTCTACCCTTTTCACATCAAGGAGACAGTCCCAGCTTGCCACTAATGTCTTTAATGCCATGTACTCACTAACTTCCCTCTCTCTCTCTTTTTTTTGAGACGGAGTTTCTCTCTTCGGCGACAAGCCCAGGCTGGAATGCAGAGGTGCCATCTTGGCTCACTGCAACCTCCGCATCCTGGGTTCAAGTGATTCTCCTGCCTCAGCCTCCCGAGTAGCTGGAATTACAGGCACCTGCCACCAGACTCACCTAGTTTTTGTATTTTTAGTAGAGATGGGATTTTGCCATGTTGGCCAGGCTGGTCTTGAACTCCTGACCTCAGGTGATCTGCCCGCTGCGGCCTCCCAAAGTGCTGGGATTACAGGCATGAGCCACTGCGCCCGGCCCACTAACTTCCCTCTCAAACAGAGAGCAGGCCTCGGGCTGAGAGTTTGGGGCAGGAAACAACATCCAGCCAGAATTCTTGTTTAATTTTTTAAAAATTGAAGTATTTTTCTAATTTTTAGTATTTATTTTTTAAAATTTGTTTTATGGAAGTATTACACAACTGCTGAAATTTAGTAACCTTCTTTTCTTTTTAGTAACTTTTATTTTTACAGTTAACTTTCTGTCTAAGGTAAGCATAACTTGCCACAGACAGATGAAGTCCTGACCATCAACATTCCAAATTTGCTTAAGAGATTCAGTCCATTAGAAGAAAAACAACTTAATAAAAGTCATGGCACAGGTAACACTTGGATAAAGCAAGTGAACCAGGGTGCCAATTGTAAAGTTGGCACTTGGATGTAACTAAAATCATGACTGAAGTCTGAAAATACTATTTTCATCTTCAATAATTGTACCTATGAGAAATCTGAGGCTTGTGCCTGGCCCGGAGTACTGAGCTGATTGGTGGACTGGTCATCAGGCCTGAGCTGATTGGTGGACTGCTCACCGGGCCGGGCTTGTGTTCTGGTGCTGCAGGAATAGGGCTCAGATGGTCTTTGGCTCCCAGATGGCAGCAACGTGGGTGCCCACTGTGGTGTGGGCCTCAGAAAGAAGGCTGGGTGCGAGGAGGTCCCCAAATCTTTGGCAGCTTTGAAGTCAACTAAAGGGAGACTCAGGGAGCCTCAGAGAGCCTCTTGCCGGCTTTAATGGGTATTAGTGGATCTTCTGTTTTCACTCAGGTTGGATATATATCCCCTGCGTCATACCCATATGGCCCCAATCTCACAGGGGAGGAATGTGTCCCTCCCCCAGGCAGTGACAGGTTTCTCAACAACCCGCTTCCTCCCCACTGGCCTCACCAGTGATGTTGAAGTCCTGTTTGCACTGGCAGTGCCATCTGCCATTATTCGATTTGCAGTCCTCGTCTATACTGCACTCCTCACACGTCCCCTCCACGGAGCTGGGGTCTGCAGGGTCACAGGGACAGACAGACAATCAATAAGGACGCACCCCCGTCCTCTGCAGTGCCTTTCCAGGCCTGGGATGAGGACTGTGGGGAGACTCCGGCTGACCTGTGCAGTACGCCAGGTGACACTCGGGGGGCGCTGTCAGGTTGTAGACGTAGTAGCCGCCGGCACAGGCCTTCACCTGGACGGACGCATCCCACAGGCAGCAGTGGCCGCTCCAGTGCGCGCAGGCCTTGCGGCTCACGATGCCCTCGTCGCTGGACGGATGCGTGCCATTGAGCCACATGGGGGCGGCCGTGTTGCAGCGCAGGACTGGCACGCAGGTCTCGGCCATGCGCGCACCGCCCTGGCCCACGAAGCGGTACCAGCCGCGCAGGTCCGTGTCGCAGGCGTAGCCCTCCCCGTACTCGGTGCTGCGCCAGTACTCGTCCAGGGTGCGGTGCGCCTGGCACGGATCCGCGCACACGAGCGCGTCGCCCTCGGGCACGCAGTCCAACCCCGGCCCGCAGGAGCCCGGGGAGCACTCACAGTGCCATCCATCCCCCCGGTAGCCCGCGGGGCATACGCACAAGTAGCTGCCCACCACATTGACACATGTGGCCAGGGCGTGGCAGTGGCTAAGCCCAGGCTCAGCGCACTCATCCACGTCTGTGCAGCCGAGACCGGGCGACAGGCGGAAGCCTTCGGGGCAGACGCAGGAGAAGGAGCCTGGCGTGTTTACGCAGCTGCTGTTGGCGGAGCAGTTGTGAGCTCCAGGAATGGCGCACTCATCCAGGTCCACGCAGGTCAGGCCATCGCCGGTGAAGCCCTCCTGACAGGTGCACGTCGTAACGGCCTCATCCTCCGTGCAGGTGGCATTGCTGTGACATTCAGAGCACCATCCTGTGGACAGAAAAGCCCAGCTTCAGGGTTTGGGCAGCTGGGCCCATGGCCACCCAGAGATCCTTCCCTCATTCTCCAGGGAACTCATTATTTTTAAGACTTATTCCCTAGAGGGCTCCCTCCAAAACAAGGAAAGAAGCAAAGAAACAAAACTCCTCTGATGATGTCAAGCCTCCACCGTTCATTCTGTGTTTATTTCATTGTATTTTTTAACTTTATTTATTTTTTTGGAGAGGGGTCTTGCTCTGTCGCCCAGGCTGGAGTGCAGTAGTGCGATCATAGCTCACCATAGCCTCCAATTCCTGGGTTCAAGCGTTCTACTCCCTGAGTTCAAGCCACCACCGCACCCTGCCTCAGCTTCCCAAAAAGTTGGGACCACAGGCACGTGCAATCGCGCCCAGCTCCACCATTCATTTTTTGTGTTAAGCATTGCTTTCAAGCTGTCTTCTTTTAAAATAGCCACATTCAGAAAAGTAATGCGCAGAATTCCTATACTTTGGTAGGATTTACGGTGAACCTGTTGCCCCTCCCTTTCTTTGCACATTTTATGTTTTCTGCTTCCCTGGCTGGTGAAATCTTCATCAGGACCCTGCTCAGTGTCGCCTCCTCTCTGCGGAGTCCTCCAACTCCACCTGGCTGGGCAGTTGTACTTTGTTCCTCCGTAATAAAAATAACCATTAAAAAAAAAAAGAAGCTGTTGTTTATTAAGCAATTACTATATGCCAGGCAATAGGATGTGCACTTTTCACTCACTATCTTGTTGAATACTTCCCAAGGGCCTCGTGAGGTCAGTTTTTTATGTATCCTTATTTTAAAGATGAGGAGACTGAGGTTCAGAGGGATTAAGCCCCTTACTCCTTTGGTAAGAAGTAGAACCAGGATAAAAACGCAGATGGCAGGACCACAAAATATGTGCTTTTAACCAGGACACCGCAATAGTATTCATCGTGCCCCAACGTACTCCAGGGAGAAAATGAAAGTGGGGTGACAGCAAATCTCAACCCAATGGAATGACCTCTTAAAGTTGAAAGGGAAGGTGTTTGGATCCTCCTGCATGGGTTCAAATCTCCTATGTGATAGAGTATGTTTCTGACTTCCAATAAAGGGCCTGCAGGCCTTAGAGATGTTCTAGCCCCTTGCTTTTCAATGTGTACTCCAGGGACCCCAGTATGAGCATCGCCTGGAAGCTTGTTAAAAATTCAGCATCTCAGGTCCTACTGCAGATCTGCTGAACCAGAATATGCACTTTAGCAAAATTTCTAAGTCAGTCCTGTGCATATTGAGTCTAAGAAATGGACTTAGAATGAAGACAATGCAAGTCTCAAGTGCGATAGGAGGATTGAGATCACCTCTGACAGGTGCTACATTGCTTCCCCCACACATTCACACATACACGTGCATACACACATATACAACGCACACACACTTTTCACTTACTTGCTTCTGAGGTGTCAGTGGCTGCAGTTGTGATGAACCAAGAGGCCACCACCACCATCAGCATCCAAGTCAGAGATGGCTGCCCCATCCTTTCTGCTCTTCCCGCTACTTCAGGTCTAGATAGCACCTGCCCAAAGGAAAGACGGGTTGGCCCTTTGAATTTTTCTCTCTGTCTCTGATGTCTGGTGTCCTGTGAACAGAGATGGATGGGACAAATGCATGATCTAACTCTCCTCCCCACAGCTGGAAGGAGTGCTTTGATTGTATAGTATACAACTCCAGGAGGTGTCACTTATATGGACTAAAAAATTGCATAACACTGCAGCCCTTGTTTTGCTGGGACTTTACCCCTTGTACTCCCCCTCCTTACCTCACCAACATCCCAGTCTTGGCTCCCCAATTCTCAGCACATTGCACATTTTGAAGAACTCAGTCATTTGGAGCAGGAAGTAGCCAGATGGAATAGTGTTCTGGACTCACCACTTTACTGAAGGCAGCTTTGGATTTTAACTGATCCTCTGCCTGGAAACTTTCAATTTGCCTGGATCACTTATTCATTCAACAAACATCTATTGAGTAGCTACATTGTGCCAAACAGGGAGCTAGTCACCATGGAGAACAATGAACATGGCAGTCTGCTCCTTCATGCAACTCACATATCGTAAAGAAGTGGCTTGAGACGAGCAACTTGAGAGGTAATTAACCTTCACAATGCATTTAAATGTTTCTGGAGTGGTCACTTACTATTTCTTCCAATTGGAAAAATAGTCCAGGGTGGATGCCAGTATTACCCCAGTGTTTATAGCAGCAAAATAGGGTGGCATGTTGGTTAAGTATGTAGGAGCTGCAGCCTGCACCTGAGGTTCAAATCCCTGCTTTACTGATCACTAACACTGTGATGTGGGTATTTCAGTTTACTAAGTCTCCGTTTTTGTCTGTGAAATGGAGATTGTTGCTTTCACAAACTGAATATCTATGATGGGCCAGGCTCAGTTCAAAGACATTCATGTGCTCAAAGGCATTGGGTCCTAGAGCAACGTTTTCCAGATCTTCGTGACCATGATGTACTAAAAGAAAAACATTTTATGTTGCCAGGTGCAGTGGCTCATGCCTGTAATCCCAACACTTTGGGAGACTGAGGGGGTGGATCACAAGGTCAGGAGTTTGAGACCAGCCTGGCCAGCATGGTGAAACCCCATCTCTAATAAAAATACAAAAATTAGCCGGGCATGGTGGTGGGCGCCTGTAATCCCAGCTACTCGGGAGGCTGAGACAGGAGGATTGCTTGAACCTGGGAGGCAGAGGTTGCAGTGAGCTGAGATCGTGCCACTGCACTCCTGCCTGGGTGACAGAGAGTCCATCCCCCCCCCCCAAAAAAAAAAAGACAGAAAGAAAGAAAAACATTTTATGTCATGATCTAGTGCAGTCGCTTCTGCATGTATGTGCACACACACATAAAATTTTATAAGACAATTGATATCCTTACTACATTAAGTGATTTAATTCTTACCACAACCCTATGAGATAAGTATTATCCTAGTTTGCAGATGAGAAAACAGGGGGACAAAGAGGCTAACTGCTTGCCTCAAATTTGTATTGCTTACTGACATATTCTATTATATTTAATTAAAAGAAGTCCCTGGATATAACCCACAAAAGGAATGATTTTATGACCCGCTAATAAGATGCGACCTAAAACACTGCATATTGTCACTGGGATTAACTAAGATGACATATGTCGAGCAGGGCCCAGCACATAGCAAGTTGTTCATTGTTGTAACCCTGGTACCTGGCACATAATAGGTGCATAACTAATATTCATGGAATAAGTCAAAAAATAGTAGTCATTGTTACTAGGACAGAGAGGATCAAAGAGAGGAAAACTAACTTACTAAAGATCATGAAGCCAATAATTGGCAGAATAATGACTCAAATCCAGGTCTGACCCCAGTGTCCAAGGTCTTAATTTCCTCTCCTACCTCCCTCAAATAGGATGGGGAGAAGCTGGGCTAGGAGAAGACAGCTACAGATAGCCTTACCTGAAGCCAGAAAGGTAGAGTTAGTCTGGTCATGATGTGCCTCATACTTATATATACACATTTGCCCCAGGCTGGCAATCTCTCCTCCAATTAGTCTCTAGTTCTGTTTTTTGATATTGTTTTCTTGGGGGTGGAATATTTTTTCCTCCTGGCATAATGTTTGCCTTGTCCAAGCTGTGAGGTTGTTGTTGTTCTTTTTCCTAATAGCTAGAGACCCCAAATGATTGACATTGGGGGGTCACACCTGTGCCCGGAAATACAAGGTCACTGTTTCGCACCTTCTAACAGCAAGAGATTCCATAGTTAGAAATTAACTGGGAAAGCAGTGCCAAGGTGCTGGGCTTCTTCTTGGTCACTGACAAGGGCAGGGTGGGATCAAGGAGCCAGGCAGAAGCCAGTATCTGAAGCCAGGCTGCATAAGGACAAAAGGGATATTCACTGCCCCAGATGGGAGGTGCACCTGTCTTGGAGAGGGCACCCTTCTGAAACACCCATTCTCATGAGATCAGCCTTAGAATCCAGACACAAGCAAGAGAGGAGCTGAGAATGGCTGAAAGTCAGAACCAGAAGGTAGTTCAGACATCACTGGACCTGACCCACTCTGTACAACAAAGAATCAGGTCTGATGACTGGGAGGTCCCTTTGGAGGCGAAATAAATTTGCACTTAAATAGACTGACTTTGGAGTCAGTCTGCCTCCTTTATCTGGTGTTTATTGTGTGGCAGTGGGCTCATTTCTTAACCTTCCTGAGGTCCAGAGGTCAATTTCCTTGTCTATAAAATGAGAATACCCATCTCCCACAGTAGTAATAGTAACCAAAGGAGATGATGCAAGTAAAGTCATATAGTAATGATTATATTCATGGAAGTAGTGAAAATTCTGCTTTGCTGTTGTGCAATCACTGAGGTAGAAAATGACAGAGCCTGAGTTAAAACCATGTCTTCAGACCCAGTTCAACATACATGACATTCCAAAAGTCAGTGTGAGAGTGGCTGTCATCATGTTGAGAAAAATAAAATATGTGTGAACTTGGGCTGAGCAGGAAAATATCACCATGATCACTGCATTGATCTTTTTTTTTTTTATACTTTAAGTTTTAGGGTACAAGTGCACAACGTGCAGGTTTGTTACATATGTATACATGTGCCATGTTGATGTGCTGCACCCATTAACTTGTCATTTACATTAGGTATAACTCCTAATGCTATCCCTCCCCGCTCCCCGCATCCCACAATAGGCCCCTGGGTGTGATGTTCCCCTTCCTGTGTCCAAGTGCTCTCATTGTTCAATTCCCACCTGTGAGTGAGAACATGCGGTGTTTGGTTTTTTGTCCTTGCGATAGTTTGCTGAGAATGATGGTTTCCATCTTCATCCATGTCCCTACAAAGGACATGAACTCATATTTTTTATGGCTGCATAGTATTCCACGGTGTATATGTGCCACATTTTCTTAATCCAGTCTATCATTGATGGACATTTGAGTTGGTTCCAAGTCTTTGCTATTGTGAATTGCTCTTTTCAGGACATTTCTCCATCCTGTCCCACTCAGTGGTAGGGTAACCACTGGCACTGGTGTTGTCATCTCCTCAGGATTATGTCCAAGGAGTGGAAATTCTGGGTCAAAGAGGTAGCACAGCTGTAGGAATATTGACTCCTCTTCCCAAACAGCACCCCAGAGAATTATTATAAATTGGTTTACAATCCCACCAACACTACTCACCAGTTCTGAGCATTGGTAACTTGCTTTCATCTTTGCCAAAAGGATAAGTGGAAACGATCTCATTATTGTTCATTTTTGCAATTCTTTGATGAAAAGGGAAGTTATCTCTTCATTTATTTACTTTTTTTTTTCTGAACTAGTCGTTTTTATCCTATACCTTTTTCATGAGGCCTTGTCTAAACCTTATTATGGGTGTCTTCAAAGGATTAAAGACAGTGACCCCAGGTGGCTTCTGGAGTTTTCTTGACAAAGACTTGGGCAGGAAAATGGGGAGTTTGGGTTGGAATCTATTCATAAGTGTAATCACCATGCTTTCTAGTTTCTGTATTTGGTGCTTGTACATTTTGGGGCCTTACTGATCATGGAGGGACTGCCCCTCCCAGGGCTCAATAATTACTAGAGATCAAAAACGACTTATCTGTGAATGTGCCTTTCCGACTGCAAATCAATCAATCCAGACCACATACCCCCAACCCTTGGCCTCCTTTTTGGGGCTTTTACACTTAGGGTCACTACTTGCTGCTTTAGATCACCCCAAGGGACCAGGTACCAGACAACTAGAGACAACTCCTATGGCCCAGAGGTCTCTGAAATTATTCAAACTAAGCCAATCCTAAATCTGCTTACCTTGCCTCTCCCATTCCTTCCTGCAGAAACTACAATAAAGGCTCTTTCCTGCCTTTTCCCTTGCTCTCTTTGCTTCCTGACCGACCCTGGTACTTCCCAGCAGCTCTTCCTCTCCCTTCAGCCCCTCTGCCCAGTGTGGTGTGTCCCCTTCTCTTGGGATCTGTGAGTATAACAAGTTGTCAGTGGCCATAATTTCCTGCTCTGTTGCTCATCAAGTTCACCAAAGACATCCATGTTACCAAATTCAATCAATATTTTTCTCTTTATCTTACCTCTAGGACAGTGCACAATAAATATTTGTTTTTGAACGAACCTTAATCTCTCAGCACTTCGCTCTTGAAACACTCTTCTTTCTTTCTTTCTTTTTCTTCTTCTTTTTTTTTTTTTTAATGGAGTCTTGCTCTGTCACCCAGGTTGGAGTGCAGTGGCTCAGTCTTGGCTCACTGCAACCTCCACCTCCCAAGTTCAAGTGATTCTCTTGAATCCTTGAATCCTCAGCCTCCCGAGTAGCTGGGATTACAGGTGCATACCACCATGCCCGGCTAATTTGTGTTTTTTTTGTACACATTGGCCAGGCTGGTCTCGAACTCCTGACCTCAGGTAATCTGCCTGCCTCGGCCTCCCAAAGTGCTGGGATTACAGACATGAGCCACCACAACCAGCCTGAAACACTTTTCTCTCTTAACTTTCAAACATGGGTAGGAGACTTGATCTTAATAATGCTGAGAACAATCACCCACTGAGCACTTCTCTTGGGTCAGACACTGTGCTCAGTGCTTTTGCCTCCATTGTCTCAAACAATGAAACACAACAACCCACGTCACAGGGAAGAAGACAAGTTCAGAGAGGTGGAGTAACTCCCCCAAGATTACACAGCTAGCGAGTGTTAAATCCAGACTAAAACTCAAATCTCACTCAGATTTACCTGCATTCCTTGGGTTACAGAACATTCCATGCTCAGCCATGACAGGGTCTTAGAAGGATAAGTGGTTTTAGGTAGTTTTGGAAAGAGTGAAACTAAAGGGTGGAGAGTTTTGAAAAATTGATCAAACAGAACACAAAAACTTAGAATGAGAGGTTGGTGTGTGTCAGAAAGCGGCAAAAAATGAGCCAAGGGAGAAGATCCCCCAAAAGAGGGGTATTACCTGTCCCACCTACCTCTCTGAGCACACACCTCCTGAGGCTCCAGTTACGCCTGGGGGACCTGGAGGTGGCACACCCATTCTCTGGCTCGTGGCCTGTCAGGGGCTCTATGCCACATGATCTAGTCTAGGCAGCCCCCCGTAACCCTCCTTCAACTGGCAGCCACATGACCTCAAGGCCGAGGCAGGTGAGCCTTACACCGTGTCCTGAATACTAACACCTGCTCCTGTTGGGGAATTCGGCTCAGGTGAGTTCCAGAGCCGCAGGCTGTTCCCTGCTTCCTCTGGTTGTGGACAGGCCAGGTTCAGGGTGAGGGGCATGGGAGCTGTCTCTGGAGGTATGAGAAAGCACAAATAGCCTTTGCCTTACATGACAGGTGAGGAGTGGAGAGACCCAGGTGGTTTCTAGAGACCTCAATTTCTAAAAGAATGCTGCCCTTCTTTTCTCAAGAGAAGGCCTGGCTGAAATGAATGACACAAATCCATGAGTTAAATCTGTGGTAGGCTGAATAATGACCCCCAAATACGTTCACCTCTGAATCCCCAAACCTGTGTGTGTTGCCTTTTATGGCAAAAGGGACTGTGCAGTGTGATTACAGATCCTGAGATGGAGAGGTTGTCTGGGCAGGCTGGATGCAATCACAGTGGTGCCTATAAAAGTGATGCAGGAGGAGTCAGAGGAAGTAGGTGTAAGGATGAAATGAAAAGTCAGAGTGATTCTAGGACAGAACCATAAACCAAGGAATGCAGGGGCCTCCCAGAAGCTAGAAAAGGCATAGCAGGGAATTCATCCAAAAGGGACTAACTCGTGAATTTAGTCCAGTGGAATTGATTTCTAATTTCTAGCCTCCAGAACTCTAAGAGAGTAAGTTTGTGTTGTTTTAAGCCACTTAAGTGTTAATTTGTCAGATCAAAAATAGGGAACGAATACAGATTCCAGTTTGGATCTGGGGACAACACTGTCAGCACCTCTGCCTTTTGGGATGACTATGAAATTATGTATTTCTCACCTAAAATGGAATATTTGATTGATCCACGAGCATTTATTGAGCATCTACTATGTGTCAAGCAGAGTTCTAGGCAAAGGGAATACGGCAAGAAAAAAAACAATAGATATATCTACTTTCGTGGAGCTTACATATTAATTGGAGAATCAGGCAATATATCATTGCACAACAAAATAAGATGCTTTCAATTTTTAGTCTCCAGGAATGCCTTTTGGAGGTGGTGACAGGTGAGCTGAGATTTGAACCAAGAAAAGAACATGGCTATGTGAGGAACTGGGGGAAATGTATTTTGAAGGGAGTGCATTTAGGCAGAGGGAACATGAGGAGAGAGTGAATTTGGCTTGTTCATAGAGTAGACAGGAAGTGTGGCTGGGGCCTAGAATGTGAGGGGGAGAGGGAGAGGAGGAGATCTGTGGGGCCAGACCTTTCAAGGTGTTGAAGGCATGGTAGGCAGACTAGATTTTATTCTAAAAGCAATAAAGATGCCATTACAGCAGCAGTCCCCAATCTTTTTGGCATCAGGGACCGGTTTCCTGGAAGACAATTTTTCCAGGGATGGGGGTGGGAAGGTGGAGGGGGTCGGAGGGTGTCGTGGGGGGTCAGGAGGGAAATGGTATGAAACTAGGAAATAAGAAATGGGATGAACCTCTTCAATGGCACAGATCTAATGCCAGATCATCAGGCATTAGATTCTCATAAGGAGCCGGCAACCTAGATCCCTCATATCCCAGTTCACAGTAGGGTTTGGGCTCCTATGAGAATCTAATACCCAGGTGGAGCTCTGGCGGTAATGCTCACTCACCCGCCACTCACCTCCTGCTGTGCCGCCGGGTTCCTGACAGGACACCTACCCATACGGGTCAGCGATCCGTTCTGCATTACAGAATTAGACAAGGTGATGTTGCAAGTGCTTAAGGCTATGGGTTTTTAAAAGATAGCCTCAGTGATTGCATGGAATATGGAGGGGTTTGGGATGGGGGCTGGGAGGGAGGCACAGAGGGGCAGCAAAAAGACCAGTTAGGAGACTTCAGCTGAGAAATGGCGGGTGACAGTCAGTGGAGATGAAGGGAAGTGGGTAGAATTACATGGATGGATAAGCTACTTTTATGATAGTAAAAGAAGGCAGTTGAACCCAGCATTTTCGGAGGTCAAGGCAGGTGCATTGCCTGAGCTCAGGAGTTCAAGACCAGCCTGTGCAACATGGTGAAACCCCATCTCTCCAAAAATACACAGAAATTAGCTGGGCATGGTGGTGCGTGCCTGCAGTCCCAGCTACTTGTGGGGCTGAGACGGAGGGATCATTTGAGCCTAGGGGGTTGAGGCTGCAGTGAGCCGTGTTCATGCCACTGCACTGAGTGGATTGATTCCAATAAAAGCATATATCATTGTGGTAGGGTAGGTGGGTGGCTGGATAGGGTAGCCTGGGTGACAGAGTGAGTCCCTGTCTCCAAAAAAAAAAAAAGAAAAAAAAAAGGAAGAAAGAAAAAGTCAGTTGTTGATGATTCTGGAGTGATTGCTTGAGTGAATGGGCCACTTACTGAGATGTGGAAGTCTGAGGACAGGTTTGGGATTTGATCGTTTTCTTACTGTGCCCAAATGCAGTGTAAGCCAATCAATCCACCTTATTTGAAAGACAGCCAAACTCTGGGGACACCTAACCTCGTAGGAGATGGTAGCATAGTGGTTAAATGCACAGTCTTTGGAGTGTGATTGCCTGGGATTGGTTGCATCTCAACAGCTTTCTACCTGTGTGATCCTGACTGGTTGCTTAACCTCTCTGTGACTCAGTTTTTCCCATCTATAGAATGGGGATAAGGAACCCCAGCTCAGTGATGGTGTGAGAACTAGATGAATGCCGAGCATGTTGCACACACTCATTGAATGTTGCTACTGTGGCTTCCCTTGCAGTCGTGTCTGAATTCTAGGTCAAACAGTTCTTCTAAGACTGCACCAACCAGGAAAAAGAGGTCATGAGTAAAACAGAGCCAAGGACACTCAGAGGCTTTATTATCCACCCCTACCCCCGCCCCACCTACCCTACCACAATGATATATGCTTTTATTGGAATCAATCCATTCAGAAAATGATGCCAGGATCTGGAAAATAAGCATCTTTTTTCCTGGTATTGGAGAAGCTAAAGTTCTTCCTTGACTTTTGGTTTCTTCTTTTGCACTGGAGGTCCCTTTGGCTTAGCCACCACCACCACCACCTCCTCAGATGTTTTCTTCTTCCCAGCGGGCTCTTCCAGCTTGGATACGTACTTGGTCATGTTCTCCAGCTCAGGCGACTGCTGTTCAGGTAACCCTTTCCTCATCATAGGCACCTCCTTTTCCTCAGCTAGCACTTCCTCTTCTATCACTTCATTTTGCTCAACAGACAACAGCTATGAAAGCAAAGGTGGAAGGAAGAAGGGAGGGAGGGAAGAAAGGGAGAAAGAAATAAAGAGGCAAGAAATATGTCATCATTGTGGTTGTAATAGTCAAGCCTACTTTTTCTGAAAGTGCCCAGAGAGAATCAGTCTTTGGACTGCAGGGTTTTCACAGATGCTGAAGATCCGTTTGGTTTCAGAGGTAAAGTGCCCAACTGTGGTTTCACCCTTCAGGTAAGAGGACCTTTGGGGGAACCAAAGGTTCTAAGTCTGTAGATGTGGCTCCTGCACCACTAGCTCCAGGACTGGACAGGTGACCAGTCTTAGCTAATGAGATCTCTGTCCAGGACATTTTCTGGGACATCTAAGAAGTAGATGCTTGCTTTCTAAACTGGGAGGATGATAGTTTGGAGCTGTGGTGTAATCTTTGAACTTCTGTGGGGAAATGACTACTTGAGAATGAAACCAACATAGAGGAAAACAGAGATGGGAAGACAGAAAGCAAGTCTGGGTTCCGGATCCACCCACACCTGATGTTCTACCAGTTATATGGGATAAATTCCCATTGTTGCTTAAAGCAAAGAGTAGTGTCTGAAATTTCCAGTGGAAGTCTTAATTAATACAGAGGGCACTGTCCAGCAGAGGGCCTCACTGAGGCATGGCTAGGGGAGAAAGGGGACTGTGGTCCTATGCATCAGGAGAGTAATGCCAGAGGGCAGAATCCCACCAAGACATCTGGTCAGTGCCAGGGAAGCGGCCCAAGGCAAGGAGCTGTGTGTTACCTCAGAGCCTTGGTCTTTCTAGATGTTTCTAAAGTTTGCCATTTCTGCTTCCCATAGTAAGTGCCTTTGAAATAAAGGTGACTAGTAGAGTCACCCAACCTGGATGCTTCTCCATCCATCCTCAACCATCTCCCAAGATTATGGAACTCCAGCCATACTCTTTTGTTGTCCATTAAGTTCCTAGGGATTCTGTGTGGGACAGAATAATTCAGAGTATTTCTGTTGCCCCTTACCTCATCCTCATCCTCAATCTTAGTTTTGATGTGGCTTTCCAGGAAGTCAGAGAAGCCCTTCAGGGTGTGTTCTCCCTTATACAGGACAGCCTAGGATGAAAATGGAACAGGGTCAGGATGGGATCCTCTTCCCGCAGAGATGCTCGAGGATTGCTACCTAGGTAAACCCAGGGTCAAATTCCTAACAACCCCGGGTATGTTATGCAGGTTCCCTAACCTCTCTTAGCCTCCAGTGCCATGGTTCCAAGGGAAGGATAATAAAAATGCTTCTGACATAGGGTTGTTATGCAGTGGATCAAAGCACGGACTGTAAAACCACACAGCAAAGCCTTAAACTTTGGCTGCATTACTGCAGTGTGGTCTGCTTATTTAATTTCTCTGACTCACTTTTCCTATCTCTAATATGGAGACAAAATAGTACCTACCTCGTAGGGTTGTTATAAGGATTAAATGAGGTAATGTATGTGAAGTATTGAAAACAGCGCCTGGTTCATGATAAGCACGATAGGCGTTTGTTATTATTATTATTACTATCATAGCAACAATAATAAGAGGAAGAATAGTTCTTTTCGGAAGCATCTGGTACATGGTCAGTGCTCCATTATCACAAGTTCCCTTTCCTCTTTTTTTTTTTTTTTATATGGAATCTTGCTCTGTCACCATCCTGGAGTGCAGTGGCGTGATCTCAGCTCACTGCAACCTCTGCCTCCCAGGTTCAAGCGATTCCCCTGCCTCAGTCTCCTGAGTAGCTGGGACTACAGGCATGCACCACCACGACTGGCTAATTTTATATTTTCAGTAGAGACGGGGTTTCACCATGTTGGCCAGGATGGTCTGGATCTCTTGACCTCGTGATCCAACTGCCTCAGGCTCCCAACGTAATGAGATTACACGCGTTGAGACACCACGCCCGACTCCCTTTCCTCTTTAGGAAAGTTCAGAAGCTGCTTAATGCCCACAGGTCACCTAAGCTTCTTTTCAGATAATTTGAGATTACTACCTTAGCCTCATCCTCTCAGCCCAGCCTCAGTAACACAACTCCCCGACATGCATCCTCTGCAGTGCAGACTGAGCAAAGAGTGGGTCACAGTGGAATCTTGCCACAGTGCTGGGGTCACCCTTCTGCCCACCTCTTTGTTCAGACCACACTTCCTACCTGTAGTACACAGTCCCTCCTCTAACCTGATTTAAGTCCCCACCATTCTGCAGAGTCCTGGGTCTGCATGGAGACTTGCAGCCATATCTGCCCTCCAGAAGCTCTTCCTCCCCCTTGATTTCAATTGCATTCATCCATACTCTTCTAAGGAGCAGGAACCTGGGCTCACATTTCTTTGACTGATGCTCTTTCCCATGCATGGACATGGCATGGAGTGTGGGTTGTATCAACACTGGTTATGGCCAATGACTGTAATCCCAAGGTGGAAATGACATTGTTTGTCTCTAGCATGTATTTTTGCCTTCACCTGGTAATACCCCACATCCAATATTCTCATGGAGATTCCTCCCACCTTATTTCAGATAGTTAGGGCAGAGCTCAGCCCCAATGCTAGCAGGAACCATATAAAACCAGGCCTGCCCATCAAAACACCCACATCCACTTGGCCACAGTGGTTGGGTCAGGGATATGCAAGCTACACCCAATGATAGTGAGTCTCAGGACTTTGGTGCAAACTACTGGAAAATAATCTTTGAACTTGAATGTGAGAGGATGGATAGTGGCTACAGCTGAGAATAAAACTGGTTTGGTAGAAAGCGCAGCTGGTGGTAGGGAGAAACTGAGTCCCTGATAATAACATAACATTGTTTTCAGCCATGTGCGTCCCAAGAGCCCCTCACTTGTTGAGAGCCGCTGGGGAACAGCCTGAAGAATGGGTACCGGTCCAGGTACATCAGCTGAATGTCATTTGCTGTGACATCGATCTTGGCAATGATAATTGTGGAGTGGTTTTGATATTTTCTGCCCAATTCCTCCAACAGTGGGAACAGCATCTTGCACTTTTTAGACCAGGGTGCATCTGGAAGAGAAGGTCCATGGCTCAGGCTCACATTGATGAAGATCCAGAAAGCTGGCGCCACCCTACACATGGCATCGCTGTGTTCCACTTGTGGTCCTGCTGTTTTGCCAATTGCACTCCCTCCTTCTTTTAATCATATATTAGATTATTTTTACATTTCAGCAATAGTTCCCAATTGTTATTCGATAAATTAGAAAAAAAATAGTTTTGGCTGGGTGCAGTGGCTCACACCTGTAATCCCAGCACTTTGGGAGGCTGAGGCGGGTGGATCACAAGGTCAGGAGTTCGAGATCAGCCTGACCAACATGGTGAAATCCCATCTCTACTAAAAATGCAAAAATTAGCCGAGCATGATGGCGTGCACCTGTAATCCCAGCTACTCGGTAGGCTGAGGTAGGAGAATTGCTTGAACCCGGGAGGTGGAGGTTGCAATGAGCCGAGATTGCGCCACTGCACTCGAGTCTGGGTGACAGAGAGAGACTCCATCTCAAAAAAAAAAAAAAAAAAAAGGAAGAAAGAAAGAAAAAGAAAAAGAAAACAAAAAGAAAAAAATAGCTTAGCCCTCTTCCACCTAAATACTAACACTTTTAGTGTGTTCATGTTTTCTTCTATTTTTTTGTTTTGCTTTTTAGAGGCAAGGTCTTGCTATGTTGCCCAGGTTAGGCTCAAACTCAAACTCCTGGGCTCAAGAGATCCTTCCATCTCAGCTTCCTGATTTGCTGGGACTACAGGCTTGTGCCACTGTGCCCAGCTTGCTTTTTTTCTTTTTTTCAAATTCCTTTCTTTTAACATAGTGTTCCACTCTAGTAGAAGAAGAAAGCCAAGAACAATATTTACGCTAGATGACTTTAATGTTCTTCCAAAAAGTGTGTGTGTGTTTTTGTGTATGTGTATGTGTGTGTGTGTGTGTGTGTGTGTGCATATGTGTTACAGCACACGGGGGTTTTCACAATAGAGGTTTGGGAACTTGCCCAAAGCTATGCAGTAATTGCACTTTTCAGACCAGAGTAATTAAGCAGAAGAAGTGGGGTTTAAAGACAGGCTGCTTTGACCTGTGACCACTATACCACAGGTAGGCATTAATATAACATAACATATAGATATTATGTTATGTTATGTCATGTCATTTATAGGTAATTACATGTCATGTTATTATACATATATAATTCAGAGGAGGAGAACATCCCCAAGAAGTGTGACAGGTATAATTACTCTTGGACAGGGGACACTGAACTTTCTTGTGGACAGTTCTTTGGTCTTTGAGTGTGGTCCAGGCTCCTGGGCCTCTGGAAACCAGAGACCAGCTCCAACCCAAGGGAAAGCAAATCTTTCCTGCTTTCCTTCTACTAGAGCTCAAAGCTCAGTTTCTGGCTCTGTAAGCGAAATGGCCTCAAAAGCCCCCAGACACACCACTTTTGGATGATCATACCCCATTTACAAGCCAAGTGTCTCCATGGCCATCCCCCCTGCCTGCAGCATCTCTGGCAGCCCCCCTAGCACTCAGCGGGTCCTGGGTCAGAACAGGAGGGGGCATAATGGCTGCAGCCCCAGGGGGCCAATCCCGTGGCCCTACTTCCAAGAAAATGAAGCTGCTGTTGCCTTTTATCAAAATGAAATGGACAGTCTTACAATTCTGGGTGTGACTTAAGTACAGAACAGCTGCATCTAGCCTCTCATTGAAAGGCAGCGGATCTTGGTGATTCAGCCACAGACCTTAAGCACCTCACTCTGTGAATAACAGTCCCTTTCAGAGTGATTGTAAAAGGCCTGCATGATGCAGTGTAGCCCTTGTCTTACCCTCCAGAAAGTAATAGCACTAGAGCTTGTGTTAAACTTCTTGTCTTGCTACTTACTGTGTGACCTAGGGTAAGATCATTAACCTCTCTGAGATGGGGTTCCCTGATCTGTGACATGGGGAAAACCACCATACCTTCCTCACAAACTTGTTACACAGCTCATTAGAGCAGGTGTGTCAACAGCAAACTCATGCTTGACTCATTGTAAGGGCTCATTAAATGTTAAAATAAAAGAAATGTCTGAAGGAACTTCAGTATCACCTTTCTCTGTGTCTCAGGGTGGGAGAGAACATCTCTGGCTTTGTCTCCCACGTGCAAATCAGAAACAATGGGAAAAGGGCAATAGTCCTTAGATAAGCCCTGGAAGTAATTATAATGATAGGAATAACAACAGCAGTAGCAATTGTCACTTATCAAGTGCTTACAATATGCCAGACGCTGTGCTAAGTACTGTACATGGAGGATTGGGGTCCCCACCTCCTATGGGCCATTTGATAAGTCATCTAAAGCCAGAAGCAAAGAAATCCTGTACAGCAGTTAGGAGTGTAGGTGCTGAAGTCAGATGCCTAAGTTCAAATCCCAGTTCCGGCACTTACTGACTGCAAGATAATGGAAAAATGTCTTCTCCTCCCTGAGACCCTATTTAGTCATCTGCAAAGTCTGAGCAATAAAAGTAGCTACTTTCAAAAGGATGTCGTTAGGATTAAATGAGATAATGTATGCAATGGCTTAGAATAAAGCCCAATATACTACAGCATCCAAGCAAACATTGTCAGCCATGAGCATTATTGTTTTTACAAACAGCCATAGGCCTGGGTTATGTGGAAGGCATTGCATACATTCCAATAATTACATTTCTGGGGGAAAGAGTTGCATTGTTCCTGATAGCATCTTGAGTCAATCCCTTTGGGTATCTGAAGACCATCCTTGGCATGGTGCATTGATGGGTTTTAGAGATTTCAGTGCCCAACAATTCAGGAGAAACACTTGAAACATAATTTTGGCACCCGTTGCCTCAGAACCCCTCTTGGAGATACTTACAGAACATCACAAATACGTCCTTTTCTTTGTCAAAGACGACTACGTTGAAGTTCTTCCCCACGAGCTGCTTAACCAGTCCCTGGTCCCAGTATTTTGGAATCTCTTCACTGGATTGATGTTTCTAGGAAGCACATTTGAGAGGCCTAAGAGTCTTCATAAAGGGTCTTGAAGTTGTGGGGCTCCCCACCTTGATTGGAAACCACTAAAGGTTTTCTCGTGTTTTTTTCACAAGAGCCTTAGGAAAGGGTTTGAAATACTGAGATGGATCATGAGCTTGATGTCAACCCTGGATGGTTCAGGGCGATTTGGGGTCAGGGGACTGAGGAGCAGACAAAGCTTCAAACTGGGATGGATTCTCAGATTTTATAAAAAGAAGATTTAAGCCGGGCGCGGTGGCTCACGCCTATAATCACAGCACTTTGGGAGGCCGAGGCGGGTGGATCATGAAGTCAGGAGTTTGAGACCAGCCTGGCCAACATGGTGAAACCTCATCTCTACTAAAAAAAGAAAAAATACAAATATTAGCTGGGTATGGTGGCATGCACCTGTAATCCCAGCTACTCAGGAGGCTGAGGCAAGAGAATTGCTTGAACCCAGGAGGCAGAGGTTGCAGTGAGCAGAGATTGCGCTACTGCACACCAGGCTGGTTGACAGAGCAAGATTTCGTCTCCAAAAAAAAAAAAAAAAAAAAAATTAGTTGTCCTCAATTACTCTAAGAATCAAGATCAAGACCATTTGCATGACCTATAAAACCTTGATCACACTTTGATTGGTTCCTGCAATAAAGGAAGTCTTCTCTTTTCTTTCCTCAGCCATGTTGGTCTTCAGCTTAACCAAATGGCCAACCTTCCTCCCAGCTCAGGCCTTTGTTAATGCTGTTCCCTCTGGCTGACAGGCCTCCCCACTCCTGATTCCTACTCTCCCTTCTTCATCTGGGTAACTCAAAATGTATGTCTCAGAATGACCCAAGGGAGGACTTCCTTGACCCTCCCCGCATCTAGATGAGGACTTGCTGCCATAAATTCTCATAATGCTCAGCACTTTTTCTTGTATCACTTATTCACGTTTACTATTTATATTTATTTTTCTAATTATTTGATTAATGTGTCTCTACCATAATAGATGGAATGTCATAAGAGATTTTTCTTTCCTCGCCATTGAGCATCCATTGCCTGTTACATAGTAGATCCTCAATAAATGTTTTGCAACTGAATGAACAAAAAATGAGCTCAGCTTTTGCTTCTTTTTGAAGTAAGTGTTGGAAACCTCAAAACATATTTTTTATCTACAACCATTGCCTCCTGAATGTCTCCTGAATCCACATCATTTTCTCCATCTGTGTGGTTACTGACCAAATCCAGGTAGCCTCCATCTCTCATCTTGATTGCCAGAAGAGCCTCCAGATGTTCTCCCCCCGTCCCCTCCCAATCCTCCCACACCTTTATTCTCTATAAGCAGGGCTCTATTTCTACCATGCAAATCTGGCTTCTCTCATTGCTCTTAGGAAACCAAATTCTTTCCTTCCTTCCTTCCTTCCTTCCTTCCTTCCTTCCTTCCTTCCTTCCTTCCTTTCTTTCTTTCTTTATTTATTTCTCTCTCTCTTTCTTCTTTCTTTCTTTCTTTCTTTCTTTCTTTCTTTCTTTCTTTCTTTCTTTCTTTCTTTCTTTCTTTCTTTCTTTCTTTCTTCCTTTCTTTCCTTTTGAGACAGAGTCTCGCTCTGTCACCCAGGCTGGAATGCAGTGGTGGGATCTGGGCTCACTGCAACCTCCACCTCCCGAGTTGAAGCGATTCTCCTGCCTCAGCCTCCTGAGTAGCTGGGACTACAGGTGCGTGCCACCACACCCGGCTAATGTTTTGTATTTTTAGTAGAGACGGGGTTTTACCATGTTGACCCTTGCTGTGCAGCCTCTGTCTGGCTCACAGCCTCTTCTTCCACAGTGTCCTCCCTCACCACACCCGCTCTAGCCTCTGGAAAGCACTTAAAGATTCTTTCAGTGGGAGCACACATGGGGTGGCCATGGGGCATGGGAGATAGAAAATGGTGACAATTGTGGGGAATTGGGAATGGCTCAGATCAGGTGGATCTCATAGATCTTGTAGAGGATGCCCATCTCTCCTCTAACAGCATAAGAAGACATGTTGGCCTTTGCGAGGGAGACGGACACCACCTCAGATCTAACTGCAAGGAAGAGAGAGAGGATAGGTAGGATTTTAGATGTGGTAATGGAAAGTGAGGAGGCCTCCAATGTGAGGACATCTATTTTCTTAGTGATCTAGGGGTACAGTACTCAGCTGAGAGTGAGTGGGAATGGGATATGAGGAGAGAGAGACTCTGAGATTTAAAAATGAACACACTAACTGAAATTTCCATATGGATGCCAGGACACTTTTCAGAGTCCATGGGAGCCTGGTTTGCAATGCCATGAAGCCAGTCACCCTCGTGGTGATGTTGGTCTGGAAGCAGGGAAGTTAAGGGGGTTCAACCAGAGTTGGAACTTGCCTGGTGAGTACTATGGGGTATACAGGAGGTGGAAGATGGAGGGGATAAAGGAGGTAAGGGAATCATCATCAGAGCAATGAATGATGGAATGCAAGTTCACAGAGGGGGCACTAAAGAGAAATGGGATCAGGAGGGTGAGGGCAATGAGAAGGATGAGGAATCGTAGCCATGTGTGTCCTGGAGGGAAAAATCAGGCATTGGGAGGTACTGCAATCTCCGGGTTGTGGGCATGGGAGCAGGGAGCTGACATGGCATGGACACGTCAGCTATTGGAGAAGAGAGACCAGGGTCGTAGACACTGACATCTCTGGAAATGACAGCAGAGTTGGGGCTAGGGAAAGGCTGCCATCAGGAGCCTAAGTCCTCAGAGAGTGAAGGCAGATAGTCAGAGGACAGCAACAAGGAGGTGGGAGCACAGGGTCAAAAAGCATGGGATCCAAGGCATCTGGGGTTTCTGAAGATGAAAGAAGGAAAATGGGTTGGAATTGGAAAGAAGGACAGCAGCCTCACCGCTCAGCCCATGAAAATGCTGTGCACACGAGACAGCTTCCACAGAAAAGGCTATAGGGGCAGCTGTGTCTCTGGGAGAATGGACAAAAGGCTGTAGAAGACTCAGGTAAGGGGACCATCATTTGGGTTTGTCTGGAGTCTCGATTTACTTCTATTGTTCCAGACTTTTTTTGGGGGGGTGGTGCTGGACAGGGTCTTCCTCTGTGGCCCAGGCTGGAGTGCAGTGGTGTGATCGTAGCTCACTGTAGCCTTGATCTCTAGGCTCAAGCAATGCTCCTGCCTCAGCCTCCTAAGTAGCTGAGACTACAGATGCACACCACCACACCTGGCTAATTTTTAAATTTTTTGTCAAGATGTGATCTTGGTATGGCCTCGAACTCCTGGGCTCAAGTGATCCTCTCACCTCAACTTTGCAAAGTGCTGGGATTACAGGCATGAACCACCGCACCTGGCCCATTCCAGAATCCTTTACTCCCATAATGTCCCAATTTGGAAAATTAATAATATGGTTACCTTACTCAGCAGAGTAGCTGTGGAGACATAGACAGTGGGTGACTACGTGTTCCATGTGTTTCTGCAGCCTCTCCTTCCTGTCAGCGAAATAGACTATGCCCTTTCTAACCCCATCCAACCAAAAGGTCCCTAAAGCTTTTAAGGCTACATCTTGATTGCCCTGTGGCTCCATCTCCCTTCTCCTCCTCAAAGCAAGCATCTACTCTTGGACCAAGTAGATCTTTCACATTGGAGGTGATAGGAGAAGAAGAGCCTCCTTTCAGAGTGCAAGTTAACACTACTGAGTGCCTGCATTTCTATTGTGAATTCCTGCAAAGGAAATGCCTCCACTTTACAACTAAGAATAAGTGGAGGAATTAAAGGCTTGGGATAGGTCAGAAGTTGGATAGATTTGAGGTGGGGAGATGGGGGATTTCCCCACATTGAGCCACAAAGTTGATCTTTATTCTGCCTCCACATACAGGTGAGGAGAATTATCAAGGCCAACAGAATTATGAGAAGGAGATGATTTTGAGGTTCTGGATAAACCTTGTCCAAGAAAAAACCTACTGTGGCATTTTTACTCAGGAAGCTGCGGCCAAATTTCTTGAGGCTTTCGTAGGTTATGTCATCTGAAGGCATTTTGTACCTGGCGTCAGAGCTCAAGTTTAGGATTTGGACGGATGGGATATCGACCTCTGTGACCCGGAAGTACTTGAAGACACGTCCATTTCTGGGTTCGTCTGCATCCACAAGGATGAAAAGGATCTGCCAAAGAAAACAAAACCCTTGTCTCTCTGGATCCTTTGCCAGTGGAGAAAAACTGCTGAAAGGCTGTGGACTAAGGGGATGCACATGGTGGGGTCTGTGGAGCACCTCTGCAAAATGTAACAAAGGCAGGTGGAGCTCTGCACCGAAATGCATGGCAGGCAGTAGCCACCAGCCTGGCTTCAGCCTCCTTGTGGTGTGCTCCATCCACACAGTTTCAGGAGGTCAGGAAGTCCTGAGCTTTCATTCTGTTTCAAACTGTTTCATCAGTTTCCTGATCTGTAAAATGATTATCATAGTGACTATCATAGGGTTGCTGTGAGAATTAAACAGGACAATGTATGGAAAGGCTTAGTTCAGGGACTGGCAGGTAGAAAGTGTTCAATACATGACAATTCTTATTATTTTTTATTTGAATAATTATTATTCAAAATTATTCTATCAAGGAAATTCATGACTTCATTCACTCATTCATTAAACAAACATTCATGGAGTGTCTACTATGTGTGAGCCATTTTACTCAGCACTGAGGACACAACCCTGCCCAAAGCAGACAAAATCCCTGCCCTCAAGGAGTTTATGTTCTAGTGGAGAAGACAGGCAACAAATGAGTGAATGAACTTACAAAGCCAAACAGCAATGAGTGCCAGTTAGACAATAAAACAGGGCAATGTGATAGAGAGTAACTGCCCCGATGGGGTAAGGTAGGGGCTCAGGATTAGGTAGGGTGGTCAAGAGGAGAACCTGAGGAGGTCACATTTCAGCTGGGACATAGTTGATAGTAACAAGTCATGGAACACTATTCCGGGTGGTGGAAACTGCCAGTGCAAAGGCCTGAAGACAAAACAAACACCTAGAGAGCTTAGAGTGTTCTGGGAATAGAAAAGAAAAGTCAGTGTGGCTTTGTCAGAGGTGTTTAAACCAGAGCAACTTCATCTTGAATACAGGCTGGGTAAAATGAGGCTGAGACCTACGGGGCTCCTTTCCCAGACGATTTAGGTATTCTTAGTCACAGAATGAGATAGGAGGTCGGCACAAGATACAGGTCATAAAGACCTTGCTGATAAAACAGGTTGTAGTAAAGAAGCCAGCCCAAACCCACCAAAACCGAGATGGTGACGAGAGTGACCTCTGGGCATCCTCACTGCTACACTCCCACCAGCACCACGACAGTTTACAAATGCCATGGCAATGTCAGGAAGTTACACTATATGGTCTAAAAAGGGGAAGCATGAATAATCCACTCCTTGTTTAGCATATAATCAAGAAATAACTATAAAAATGGCAACCAGCCGCCCTCGGGGCTGCTCTGTCTATGGAGTACCCATTCTTTTATTCCTGTACTTTCCTAATAAACTTGCTTTCACTTTACAGACTGGCTCTGAATTCTTTCTTACACGAGATCCAAGAACCCTCTCTTAGGGTCTGGAACCGGACCCCTTTCCAGTAACAGCTTCAGCACCATGAGGGAGAGAGACAAAGGAGAAAAGGTCAGAGACTGTCGAAGATGAGGTCAGAGGTCCAGTAAGGAGCTTGGGTTTAGTCTGAATATAATAGTGGGCCACTGAAGGATGGTAAGCTAGAAAGTGACATGATAATAATTTTGAGAAGGTCATTCTGGTTGCAGAGAAGAAGCAAAAGTGGAAGCAGGGAGATGAGTTAGAGGCCACTGCAGCCACCTAGGGTCAGATACTTGCAGTTCATTCATTCATCAGAAGATTAAAGGCCTCACTGTGTGCTCCTCTTCTAGGTGCCAGGGAAATTGAAAAACACAGCAAACATATTAAAACCATCCTTGTGTACTTTCAATAAATATTTGCTACCTTCTGTTGGCACTGGAGCACAGAGGTGAACAAGATAAGAGGTGCAATCTGTTGAAACAGTATTAATTCAACTGTTTAGCGTTGTCTGTGAAATGGATCACAGTCTATAAAAGGCATTTGGGGAATTCACTAGGGTGACTGAAACTTAGAACTTCATCTTCTGATGTAAGCCAAAATAAATACCAGGGAGATTGAAGAGTTAAAAAAAATGGAAGAAAATAATGGCTAAGCATTGACTACTGTAAAATAGGAGAAACAGAGAAAAAGCAATCAGGTTGCAATCAATTTAACTATATCCAAAAACTTAGAGTAAAATTGGAAAAAAAAAGACCCCCAAGACATATATTTAACAAGAGGAATTATTTCTGTGATTTGAACCATCTTTTTTGAAAATAATGTGGTGGAATGTAGCATGACCATTACTTGTGTTATATTCTAGTGGCTTTCTTTATTTTAGGTTACAAAGTTCTCAATTGTTTTATTTAATTTCAGATTAATTTTTTTAAAAGAGAAAAAAAACCCTGCCATGATTATACTTCCTATAAAGATGAAGAGAAAAATTAATCAACTAGCTTCCATAGTTCAGGTACTTCTAACTACCTTAAATACAGGAACAGCGCTTAGGGGAAACCTTTGTTTCTAATGGTGATGATGATAATAATAAAAAGCACCATTGATTGTAAAGCTCATTGCTTTACATATATATTTTCTAATTCTTACTACAACAGTCCATTTCATGCATGAGGAGACCTCAATATGGGGTTAAGAAACTCACCTAAGACAGTGTAGTTTGCCAGAGAAAGAGAATTTGAACTTGGGTCTGCACAATGTTAAAGCCCAGAATCTTAGCAATTACTTGCCAGACAATCTGTGCTACTCCCCACCTTCAGGCTTTCATAGTCCTTGACCTCAAACAGCAGTGGTCTTTCCTGCCCCCACCTCCAGGCCAAATGATACCACTCTTAGTGTATGGAGTCCACTTAGTGGTCCATCAAAAAAGCAGGCAAGCCTTCATGTTCTCAGAGTAGACTCATTACAAAGAAGAGTGAAGAAGTGTAGATTTGGCATGGAAGAGACACTGGGCAGGAAGAATGGAGAAGGCATATTTAAAATTAAATAGTAAATGATATGTGGCATTGACATGCAAATCAGAAAACTGACAGGCAATTGCAAGTGCCAATCTTTCCTGATTCAATTTATAATAAGCAGGGCAGGCAAATGGGCTCAGGGTCTGCAGGTCTTGGATCCTCATCCAGGAGTCCCAGAGAGCAATGGTGCACTCTACAAACCTTGTTTTGGAATTCCTTTGATGCCAGCTTATAATGCTGAATTATGATACCATATGACTCGGAGCTTTTGGAGACAAACAGCAGCATGTGACTCATGATGTGCAACTCGGAAATCAGATCCTTATTCTGAAATGACCAGGAAAATATGTCATCCCAAGCACACACAGTGGCCCCAGCTCCCCTTCCTCCGGGGACCATTTACTCACTGACCTCAGTGTTGTATTCGATCACAAAATCTGTAAGGTGCTGTTTTATGACACGATTGAGTTCCTGTTTGTTGGTACTGTCATTAATAAGCTTTTGGCGGTTCACAATTTTTCCCTTGTACAAAAGGAGAAACATATTGGAGGACAGTAGCTTTCATGATATAGCCACTTAATAAATATAAATAGCACAATTTTCTCCTTGGATAAAAGGAAAGCACTGAGGAATGGTATCAGGTGTAGTCTGTAATCTAGGTAGTTAATAACTAGGAGGGGCTGGCCAGATTAGTCAGTGGGTAGAATCTGGGTAGGTGACAGCCATGAAAATCTCAGATCTACGGCAGGCCACAAGGAGTGTAATTGACTTAACAGCCCCAGCCATTGTCATGCTGTGTAATCCATCAAATATTAAAATATCTGTGCCAGGGCTGAGAAATTTCTCACATACTGCTCCAACTAATGATTGACGGCTCATTCATATTAAGACAAACCCAGTCCCAGGAGATTCAGGACTTCTCTGATAGGTGTTAAATCAAGTTTAGCATAAAGCTGCCTCCTTACATGTTTTAAGTTCAGCCTAAACTTTTCACTATACATAGTGAACTATAACCTAAACGGAGGTGTAACTAGACTGTCATAGCCTACACTTGTGCCAATCACTGAGTTTTGGCCAATCAAAGGTGGCCAACTGTTCAATCATTGTTAAAATAAGGCAAACACTGAGCTGTAACCAATCTAGCTGTTTCTGAACCTCACTTCTGTTTTCTGTACATACATCACTTTGCTTTTTCTGTCCATAAATCTTCCACCACTTGGCTTTGCTGGAGTCTGTCTGAGCCTACTCTGGCTTGGGAGGCTGCCTGATTCATGAATTGTTCTTTGCTCAATTAAGCTCTTCAATTTAACTTGTTTTAAGTTTTTCTTTTATCTTTATTATTCTTTTTATTTATTGTATTTCTTTTTGAGACAGGGTCTTGTTCTGTTGCCCAGGCTGGAGTACAGTGGTTTAATCAGCACACTGCAGCCTCAACCTCCCAGATTCAATCCTCCTGCCTGAGCTTGCTGAGTAGCTAGGACTGCAAGAACTTGCCACCATGCTTGAATAACTTTTTTTTTTTTAAAGATGTAGACTCACTATGCTGCCCAGGCTGGTCTCGAACCCTAGGCATAAGGCTTCTTCCCTCATTTTATACTGTTGATCTAGGATGGTATCAATAAAGATAGAAATGAATGGTTAAAGAGATATTTTGGTTATAAAATCAGTAGGGTTGTGGTGATGGATTGCTTATGAGAGGTGAAGGAGAGGGAAGTGTTAGGATGTTGCCTGGGTTTTCTGGCTTGTTTAACTGGATGGGAGAGGTGGTTGCATCATTCCTGGAGCAAGAGAAAACACTGGGAGAGGACCTGGAGAGGAGATTATGACTTTGGGCTTAGCCATTTTGAGATGCCTGGTGTTGCACATAAAGGTCTGCAGATTAGAGAAATCTCACTGGAGATGGATATTTATAAGATGTGTGTATAGCATAGATGGTAATTGCTGATGAAGGGTAGAAGGGGAAGCATGGAGTAGAAGAAAAGAGGGCATAGGATTGAGCCTTGATGAACTGCATTTACTAGTTAAGTAAAGAGAAGGAGCTTAAGATGGTAAATGGCTGGAAAGGTTGGAGCAACACTGGGAGACTGTGACTTCACAGAAGTCAACTAGTCCAATGCCACTGAGTTCACAAGTGGCAGAACCAGAATTTGTACCCAAAGCTCATACGATTCCACTACTTTGAACCAGAGACCTCTCACTAGCAATAGGATCAAAATCCTACCTTTTTGAACACCAGGACGCTGTCAAGGGTGACGTGGAAACGCCCAATGACATTGCCAATCGTTATGACTCCAAACGTTAGCTCTGGAAAGTCTTTGATCACATCATAGAACAACTCTGCTACTTCTTCCTCTAAATCCTATTTGGGAAAGGATGTTTGGAAAGGCTTTGGTAGAAATCAAGGTGCCTGGTTTATATAAGGGAAAGACGGCAGTGGTGGCTGATTCGTCTCTTCACTTTTTCAAGTTCTGGGGTTTGCCTGGGTCACCCAAATCCTCTTTCATGAGTATTTCATACTCAAAATGCTTCTCTGGCTATGAATAAAGCCAAAATAGGCAAGTCCTCAGAGATCAACAGAGAGAAATGATAAATGTGACCTTTTCCAATCTCTAAAGGGTGTTCTAACCCAATGAGACTTTTAACATTTATTCCTTAGTTACTTTCAGAAGAGGCAATTGATTTTACCACATGTAATACAAAATGTGAACTTAATGTCAAGAATTTCAGCCTTCATTCTTTAGCTTGAAAGAAAATCAAGGCCAAACACCTCTCAAAGAAGTAACAAGGGGTGAGGGAGAGAGGCAGATAGTCTCTCTGTGTTAAATATAATGCCCAAGTTCTGCCTTCTACTGGGAGGAGAGAAGTCACCAACTTATAGCAAAAGAATTAGGACACATGAGAAACTCATTCTCCTAAAGCAAAAACAATTAGCAAGTTATTTATAAACATTAAAAAATCTACATGAAAGGCTATTATGAGACGTTTCATGATTGTATCTAAGTTACTTATGTTCTTCCCCAAACATCTCCTACTGCACCTCTAAGGGTTGGTGTATTTTCGAATGAGTGCATGTTTATCCTGTGCTATCGGTTTTAATATATGAGGATGCTTGGAAAGAGGTTAGGGAGAGAAACTGGCCTGGCCCAAGCATGGCTGGTGGCCTTCAGATTCATAGAGAACAATGGCTCTGAAACCAGAAACTAAGACATCCTTTTATTAAGTGATGTTCTAAATGGACCCCTAAAATGATTAGCCACACTGTTAAAACCCATTAAATACAGATGCCAATCTTCTCTCTTTTCTTTCCATTCCTGTTCATTTGAACCCTTGGAGCTTCCCCTAAAAACCAGATCATTGGATGGAGAAAATTGGGCAATCAAAACGGAAGAGTCTCCTCACACCACCCCCTCCCAGACACAGCACTTCTCATCAGTTGAAAGCCTCCTCCCACCTCTTGGTCCCAGTACCTGGAAGAAGCCAACGATGACCAAGGGCCTGGATATCACAAACTCTGCCACCTGCTCGCTGCTGTTGAACAAAAATGCTTTCTGGCTAATTTGTCGTCTCAACCAAACGACTAAGGCAGCAGATTCAACCACTCCTGGAGAAAGACACAGTCAAATAGATACCAGAGAAGTTTCCTCTTGAACCAAAGCAAGAAGCTGGTCTTTCTCAAGTTTAATGCATAGAACCTTCTTGTCTCAGGCTCCCACCCCTTGAAGGCCAAAGTCAGTTCCTCCATTCCCCTCTTCCCCAAGCTCCAAGCACGAACATTAACAACAGCAGCTAAATGTTACTGAGCACTCAACAAGGCCCAGACACTGTGCTGAACGTTTTGCATATATTAAATCTTCACAATAATCCTATGAAATAGACACTTTTACTCTCCCCATTTTGCAGATGAAGAAACCAAGGTTCAACTGCCAACAGGCACCCAACTAGAGAACCTGAAGATCAAATTTAGGAGGAGGCATTTCCAGACTTCTTTTCTTATGAACTCTCCAAGGTGACAGGAAGATTGATTTATATTTTAAAATCTCAATAAAATATAACTGGAAAGACCACATAGCTCTGTAACCTTGGGAAAATCCTATTATCTTCCTGCAGCCCCCATTCCTCAGCTGAGATCCAAATGCCCTTTAAGGTCATCCACTCCTGACTGCCATTTCTCAGCTATAGCATGGTTGGTGTCAAGCACACAAAAGTCTTAGCTTCCAAAATTAAGACACATATACTATATCTGGGAAGACAAATTGGTGAGCCAGAAGGTACAGAAGGCTATACACAGGTGAACGTGTGTTTTTCTAGGATTATCAGTTTCACATGATGGAAAGTAATGTAAAATATTATATATTTGTATCTGCTATAGAACATTAAAACTGAACATTTTAAATAAGTTTATGAGCTAAGCATGGTGGCCTATGCCTATTTCCCAGCACTTTGGGAGACTAACGCAGGAGAATCACTTGGGGCCAGGAGTTTGGGACCAGTCTGGGCAACATAGCGAGACACTCAGCTCTACAAAAAACAAAAGAAAATTAGCCAGGCATGGTGGCATGTGTCTGTAGTCCCGGCTACTTGGGAGGCTGAGGCAGAAGGATTGCTTGAGCCCAGGAGTTCAAGGCTGCAGTGAGCTACAATCAGCCTGGGAGACAGAGTGAGACCTTGTCTCTAAAATAAATAAATAAATTTATGAGATAAAGCAATATTCGTTGTGAGTAGCTTTGAACTACATCCACAGACTGTTATTCATTTACGCACTCATTTATTTCTTCCCTCATTTATTTACTTGGCAAATATGTACCGAGTGCTTACTATCAAGTGCTGTACTCAGCCCTGGAGATATAAGGATGAACAGAAACAAACACATTACCACCATTTCACAGCTCTCATTCTGTCGAGGAAGACAACAATCAAATAAATGCATGAACAAGGGCATCATTACACCCAAAGGAAATGTTTGAAATCAAAGTTCTGCGAGTCTGTAGCAAAGATGCCTGACTTAGACTGTGAAGTCAAGGAGGACTTCCTGGAGGAAATTATGGATGAGCTGTAAAATAAAGAATGCACTGGGCCAGGCGCAGTGGCTCATGCCTGTAATCCCAGCACTTTGGGAGGCCGAGGAGGGCGGATCACAAGGTCAGGAGATCGAGACAATCCTGGCTAACACAGTGAAACCCCATCTCTACTAAAAATACAAAAAATTATCCAGGCATGGTGGCACACGCCTGTAATCCCAGCTACTTGGGAGGCTGAGGCAGGAGAATCGCTTGAACCCAGGAGGTGGAGGTTGCAGTGAGCCAAGTTCGCACCACCGCACTCCTGCGCGGGAGATAGGGCAAGACTCTGTCTTTAAAAAGAAAAAAAAAAAGAAAGAAAGAAAAGAATGCTCTGGAGTTAACTAGGAGGCATTAAGGAGAGGGAAAGTCTTCTAGGAGAAACAGCCTATACAAAGTCCTGCAGCAGGACAAATTGCTACCTGAGGCTGGATGAATGCACCCTGAGCTACTAAATCAACTGCAAAGGCTCTACCTTCGTTATATTTGTTTTATTTCATGAGAACATGAAGGCTTTTCAAAAACTTATAATAAAGTATATTTACATGCAGAAAGGTGCATAAATGATAATGTATGGTTAGATGGATTTTTACAAAACGAACACACTTGTGTGACTACAACCCAAATCGAGAACTAGAACATCACCAGATCCTCAGCAGTCCCTGTTGTGCCCACTCCCAGCCTCTACTCCCCTCAATCCAAAAGTAACCACCACTCTAACTACTTCTTCTTCTCCTTCTTCTCCTTCTTGTTCTTCTTCTGCTTCCTCTTCCTCTTCTTCTCCTTCTTCTTCTTTTTATTTTACCTTAAGTTCTGGGATACATGTGTAGAACATGCAGGTCTGTTACATAGGTATACATGTGCCACGGTGCTTTGCTGTACCTATCAACCCATCACCTAGGCTTTAAGCCCCGCGTGCATTAGGTATTTGTCCTAATGCTCTCCCTTCCCTCGCCCTCCACTCCCAGACAGGCCCCAATGTGTGATGTTCCCCTCCCTGTGTCCATGTGTTCTCATTGTTCAACTCCCACTTATGAGTGAGTGTGTTTGGTTTTCTGTTCCTGTGTTAGTTTGCTGAGAATGATGACTTCCAGCTTCATCCATGTCCCCGCAAAGGACACGATCTCATTCCTTTTTATGGCTTTGTAGTATTCCATTGCCACCTTAACTTGTAACAGATTACATTAGTCTGCCTGTTCCTGAACTTCATATAAATGTTCTTGGCTCTGGTTTCATTATGTTTGTGAGATTCAGCCACAGTTTTTCATGTACTTGAAGATTCATTTCCACTGCTGTGAATATCCCACAACTTATTTGTCCATTCTCTGCTAATGGGCATTTAGTTGCTCTCATTTTAGGGCATTTTTTTTTTTTGAGACAGTTTATCCTTCTGTCACCCAGGCTAGAGTGCAGTGGTGTAGTCGTGGCTTACTGCAGCCTCGATCTCCCAGGCTCAAGCCATCCTCCCACCTCAGCCCCCTGAGTAGCTGGGACTACAGGCATGTACCACCACACCTGGCTAATTTTTATTTTTTGAGACAGAGTCTTGCTCTGTTGCCCAGGCTGGAGTGTAAGGGCTCAATCTTGGCTCACCGTACCTCTGCCTCCCGGGTTCCAGTGATTCTCCTGGCTCAGCCTCCCGAATAGCTGGGACTACAGGCACGTGCCACCACACCCCACTAATTTTTTAGTATCAGTAGAGACAGGGTTTCACCATGTTGGCCAGGCTGGTCTCGAACTCCAGGTGATCCTCCCGCCTCAGCCTCCCAAAGTGCTGGGATTACAGGCATGAGCCACCACGCCCAGCCCACACCTGGCTAATTTTTAAGCAATTTTTAGTAGAGACGAGGTTTTGCTATGTTGCCCAGGCCAGTCTCGAACTCCTGGGCTCAAGCAATTCTCCCACCTTAGCCTCCCAAAATGCTGGGATTCCAGGCATGAGTCACCATGCCCGGCTGGGGCTATTCTGAATGAATTCTTGTGCATGTCTCTGGGGCACACTGTATGCACTTCTGTTGGGTGTATAGCCAGCAGGAGAATTTCTGGTCATAGCAGATGCCATGTTCAACTTTAGTAGATATAGTTAAGGTCATGTTAAAAGCCACAATGAGTCAAACCTATGGAAATTCATGTGAAGCTGATATGGTGGCTTCAAGAGAAGAGAGAAGGAGGAGGCATCATGCCACCCTCAGACCTTGGTACCCCACATCTGCTGTAATTCCCTCCTCTGAGATATCAGCCTCAACACTGAGTTTCTGTACAGTGTTTCCAGCCATCTTTAGGTAAAAATAAGTCACACTTGGAAACAAATGGTTTCTCTTATATGCTTTTGTCTGGCAAAAGTATATTGTAAGTGATCCAAAAGGAATTGATTTACAAAATCTGAAAATATCCAAAAACAAAACCTGCCAAATGAATTTAAATTTCAGGTCATCAGAACCATTGCTCTGATGTCACTTTGTGCCACCCTCTGCCCTTTCCACACTCCAACGTTACAGTTATCTTCCAGAACACTGGCTTCAGCCTTGGCTTGTCCCTCCTGATGGGCTGCCCTTTCCTCAGCTCTTCAAGGGCAGTGCCTTCTTCTGCCTGTTCAATTCTCAGTTGGTTCTTCTTTTCTTTTAGCCAATCACTCTCTGTCTTATGACCTGTTCTATTTTCTTTTCTTTTATTTTCTTTTTCTTTTTTTCTTTTTTTTGAGATGGAGTCTCACTCTGTTGCCCAGGCTGGAGTGCGGTGGTGTGATCTCAGTTCACTGCAACCTCTGCCTCCTGGGTTCAAGCAATTCTCTGTCTCAGCCTCCGGAGTAGCTGAGATTACAGGTGCCCGCCACCACACCCAGCTAATTTTTTGTATTTTTAGTAGAGATGGGGTTTCACCATCTTGGCCAAGCTGGTCTTGAACTCCTGACTTCGTGATCCACTCGCCTTGGCCTCCCAAAGTGCTGGGATTACAGGCGTGAGCCACCGTGCCCAGCCGAGCTACCCTATTTTCTTCATTGAGTCTATCCCTTCTTGAAATTATTAGAATGATTTTTCACTAGCTTGTTCAGTGTGAGCTCCCAGTAAGCTCCTGTAATGCCTGGCACATAGTAGATGCTTAAGAAATCTTTCTAGAATGAATGAATGGGCTGAATGAATCATCAGGGAAGCTGGCTTGAGGAAACTTGATCTTGGGCCATCTTCTTGGGGACGTGTGAGCTCCATTTGCCCCTCTGGCCCCTGTGGGACCGAGGTAGTTATGAACTCTGCAAATTGTTGATTCCTTTGTGCCTGCAGATCAGGCACTGCCCTTGTCAGGGACCTCCTTTGGTGCTTGGCTCTGTGCCAGAGGACACGGTGACAACTGAGGTGTGAATGCAATGTCAATGATTGACTAGGACCAGCACTGGGCTGCATATTTCCAGGCACAGACTGTGGCTGCATCATTAATAGAGGCCTAGAGGCAACCTGAGTCTCCCTCCTTCCAGAGCAATGGCCATGGCCAAGTCTCCTGCCATCAATCCTTGGAGATTAGATGAGAATGGGACTGGGGCTTTGACCCTGCAAGGACTAAATCCCACCAGTGTCCTAAGAGGAGTTTTCATCAAAGTCACATTGCAGAAGATGCGTAAAGCACTGTCTCCTCTCAGCTCAGAGGAGCCCTGGCAAGTAGGCAGAACTGGCCTTACTCATCCTGTTTAGAAAATGAGAAATTGGGCCGGGTGCGGTGGCTCACACCTGTAATCCCAGCACTTTGGGAGGCCGAGACAGGTGGATCATGAAATCAAGAGATTGAGACCATCCTGGCCAACATGGTGAAACCCCATCTCTACTAAAAATACTAAAAATTAGCTGGGAGTGGTGGCACATGCCTGTAGTCCCAGCTACTCGGGAGGCTAATGCAAGACAATCACTTGAACCCGGGAGGCGGAGGTTGCAGTGAGCCGAGATCGCACCACTGCACTCCAGCCTGGCAAAACAGTGAGACTCCATCTCAAAAAAAAAAAAAAAAAAAAAGAGAAATTGGAAGCCTGGTTGTAAAAGGCTCGTTGAAGTTCCCATGGTTACTGCTCATCCTAAAATCCAGGCATCCTCAATCCCTGTCCCAGCTTCATCCTGGCATTCCCTTTGCCCTTTCTCTGGTTAGAAGTAATACTGAGGAAGCAAGCCCAGCAGAAATATGGGTGGGTACTTTACCCTATGCCCACCTGCAGTGGGTGCTTCCAATTCCATTGTATTCAAAATCTAAAACTTTTATTATTATTATTTTAAAATTTAGAGACAGGATCTCACTCTGTCACCCAGGCTGAAGTGCAGTGGTGCAATCATGGCTCACTGCAGTCACAAATTCCTGGGTTCAAGCAATTCTCCCACCTCAGCCTCCTAAGTAGCTGAGAATACAGGTATCTGCCACCACACCTGGCTAAGTTTTAAGGTTTTTGTAGAGACAGGGTCTTGTTATGTTGACCAGGCTGGTCTCAAACTTCTGGGCACAAGTGATCTTCCCATATCAGCCTCCCAGAGTGTTGGGATTACAGGTTGAGCCACTGCACCTGGCTCAAAAACTATTTGTTAAGAACTTAATTGTTCCAGGCATTGGACTAGAATGAGAAAACTAATAGTCTGATAATAATAATGAACACATCTGCCTCTTGCTTAGAGTACAGCGCAATGTAAAGCGGATTTCAACATACTATAGCCTGTAGTCCAAATCTGGCCTGCTGTTTGACTGTATAAATAAAACTTTATTGGAACACAGTCATTCCCATTTGTTAACACGTGGCTGCCTTCACATTGCATCAGCAGATCTGAGTAGTTACAACAGAGACTGCCTGGCCTGTAGGATCTGGAATATTAATAATCTGGGCCTTTGCAGAAAACATTTGCTGACTCCACCACTACTCACTGGGCAGCTTTGAGGAAGTTATTCTACCTTTCTGTGCCTCAGTTTCTCCATCTGTAAAAGCACCTCTTATATTGGGGTGTTATGACATAGGAGAAGGGTCTAGAACAATGCCTGGAACACAGTATATGCTACAGGTATGTGTCAGGCCGTGTGCCTTGCAAACATCATTTTATCTTCCCAACAGTGTAGAGGGGTAGATCTTTTCACCATCCCCATTTAACAGATGGAAAAACTGAGATTCGACGAGCGGCAGTGATTGTTTCTTAAGCCTGTGGTAAGGATTTGGATGCAGAGGGGAGTGCTGTCAATTCTGGCAGTCTCTTTAGAGGACCCAGGAGTGCAAGTGAGATCAGCCACTGCCCTTGTGATGCTCTCTGTAGAGAACAAGCAATAAGTAGCAGATGTAATTCTTTGAGGCGAGGGCCTTGATGGGGAAAACACAGATGCTGTGAGGCCACAGAGGTGGAGCAGGCACCCTGGCCTGAGCAGTCAGGGGAGACTTCCTAGATGGGGTGATGATGAAGCTTCCTGTATGGCAGACGAGGTCCCAGGCACTGGTTTCCCTGATGAAGGGGGCTCAGAAGTCAAATGCCTTGGGGACCTTCTCTGCTAGTTTCACCCACAGTCTGGAAGTTGCCATATTGTTACTTTGTCGCCTCTAAGTGGAGTCAGTTCTCTCCTGCCCTTCAGGAGGGAAGGTCATTGCAGCACCTGGGCCACTCCATTAGCAGTCATGGGCTCCGATGACCTAGGGCCTCTCATTTCCTCACAGCTCTCCCCAGAGCAAACACATCACAAAGGGCTCCTTGCTGGTGTCAGCGAGTCCCCCTTGTTGAGGGTCATCCCCTGGTATCTATAGGAAACAGCATCCTCTGTTGCTTCTCTCACTGCTCCCGCCCTCCCTCCCCATCTCTTCTCTGGCGCCCGCAGCCACCACCCTCCCACAAGCCTGCTGGGAGCTGCAGCCCTGCCCTTAGGTGATTGCTCCGAGGTTCTCTTGTGGCGCCTTTCTCTGGGTCTATCCTGTGTCTTTCATGCCCTCTTGTGTCCATTCTGAGAACTGCAAAGCATCCTGCAGCCCCTGGATGTGTGTTTCTTGCAAATAACACTGAATCCAGCTTATTGGAAGCTGGCTATACACCAGATCCAGTGGAAGGCAGTTTCCGTTACTCAAGACTCAATAATTTAACATATATAATGGGAACATTCTACTGGCATGGCTGTTACAGGCACTTCTGTGTTCATCAGTTTTGTTACTTCCATCCTTCCATCCATTTATCCATCCTGCATCCATGAATGCCTTCATATATGTAACTTTCTAAAAGTTGGGACTACCATATGTGCCATACTAGTACCTTATTCTCCACACATCCTCAACATCAAGATAGGGCTTGGCACATGGTAGCTTGTCAATAAATGGATGCTGAATAAATGAATGAACGAGTTAATCAATGAATGAAAAATATGATAGAACGTAAGGTGTTTGGTAGACATTGCATCCCAAGCCTGTCTTGTTCCATCATCTCCCAATTTCCCTTTTGGCTAAATAGTGCTTCCCTAGTCCTAGGACTCTGTCAAATCATTCTAAAGTCAAAGATTGGGAGTGGGAAGTGGAGTTAGAACTTAATCTCTGGTGTCTGATAGTTTCTAAGCCATGCACCCCACCCTCCCACTTCTTGGTGTTTCTAGGGCCCATCAGCTGAGCTTCAAGCTGTAGTAGAAGCAGCCACATATTCACTAAACCCGTTTTCTTTCTAAAAACAGAGCTGAACTGTATTTCTCCGCCTTTCTTGCAGCTGGTTCTGGCCATGTAACAGAATTCTGGTCAATGGGATGTGAATAGAAGTGATACTTACCACTGTTCATGGCCAGGGCCATGAACAGTACCCGTGGTGACCTTCTACCCCTTACCCCAACTGCTGGCTGGATACAGAGGAAAGAGCAGGTGGCTCCAAGGCCCTAGAGAAGGGCAGAGTCACAAGCTGGAGGATCCTGGGTCCCCGAGAAGCTGCATGGAGCAGAGCCTCCCACCTTTACCCTATAGCTGTTAAGTGGACTTTCCATGAGCATGAAACAAGTGTGACACACAAGCACCATTACCTTTGCAGCTGATGGGCTCTGACCTGTTGCCCTCAAAAAACAGCTTCAACTCCGGGGCCTTGGTAATCCCAAACTCCTGCTGAAGCTCCTTCTCTATGGTAATGTCCACTTTGCCAAAGCCGATCCCATTCTTGCCTTTGCCCATGATCTCCACAGCTTTGCCCAGCTCTTCCGCCAAGTTCCTGGATTGCTTTGAGGATGGGTTGTCTGAAAGAGTATGAAGACAAAATTTGAGAGGCCTTTCCTCGCTCCCCATCTCCAACAGTAGATTATTTGTTGGGCCTGCTTAGCTCCCGGAACCTTTCTTGTGCTCAGCGGTTAATGGCTGAATTTTCATAAATGTGACAAGATGTGAGACACAATGGTTCATGAAATTAGACAATCTGGGAGATGTCTATCAAGGTTCTTTGGATTCAGTAGCATTGGAAACAACACAACCATGGGCAACTTTACTCCATCTCTCTGAGCTCCACTTCTCTTGTGTAAAGTGGGTGAAAATAATAGTGGTTACTTCAAGGAATCGTCAGAGTTAAATGAGATTTATGTCACAACCAGCTATAATTGCTTATTGTTTTCTAAGAGTTTTACGTGCATTAAGCCATTTACTCCTCTCTATAACTCTGTGGGATAGGTATTATTATTATCTCAATTTTATACATGAGGAAGCTGAAGCACAACAAATGACTTACTTGCGCAAAGCCCTGTGACAGTGAGAGGTAAGGCCAGGATAAGAGCCCATTCTGTCTGGCTGTAGAGTTCTTTTCTAATCTCCACTAGGCATGTAAACCACTTGGTATAATGCCTGGCACAAGTTAAGTACATGCTGCGTTCTTATTACTGCTTCCATTATTATAGTAAAATTTCTGTGGTCAAAGCAGGACCCAAGCAATGATTACACAAAGGCATGCAGAGTGGTATAATGGACATTGGAGACTCAGATGCGGGGAGGCTGGGTGCAGGGTGAGGGATCAAAAAAAACTGCATATTGGGTAGAAAGAACATGACTAAGGTGATGGGTGCACTAAAATCTCAGACCTCACCTCTACACAATTCATCCCTGTAACCAAAAGCCACTTGTACCCCCAAAGCTATTGAAATAAACAAAAACAAACCACTCAATAGCATAGACACGATGATCACATTTATGGAATTGTTAAAAAGTGTATGCCCAGGGCAAAAGAAGTCTAGAGGGAAATTTTCCAAACTATTAAAATTTTTTGTTTTAAAAAAATTCTGTGGTCAGAAATTATGGAGACAGAGAGGAAGCATGAGAGCTCATGAGCGCCATCTGGTGGAACGTCCTGGAGCTAACAGGCCAAATTGAGCCCCTGCAGTTGCCCTGCATGTAATTGGACAGGGGACTTTCGCAGGTAAGGAAAACCAGGTGTGGGGAGGGCGGGGATAGGGGAGGTTGTGGTGTTCCCCTGAGTCCACCCTCTTGTCTCGAAGAGACCTGGAACTCTCCATTAAGAGATCTGATCTGGACGCCTTGGCCCCTCACGTTGCTGGGCAGTGGGGAGGGACTGGGGAAGCCCTTTTCTGGAAGCGGTATCAGGGAGCTGGCACGTGACCTTGGCAGTGCAAGAGGCTTTTCTGGCTAAACGGAGGGGACTAAAAGGCGCCCAAGTGTGCCTTTCTTCCTCCTGATAACATTGTGAGGCTGCAGGTTCCTCGCTACCCCATGACTGAGGAAGGGGGGCTGAGCCAGGGCAGGGGGTCATTGATTGCCTTTCAAGCCAGAACATTTTATCTTTTTCACTGCCGCCCACCCCCGTGGTCCATCTGGAGCACTTGGAGAAAGTGCAAATGACCTCTGCTGCAGAGGGCAAGTTCCAAGTCCAACAGAGAGGTCTTTTGTAAAGTGCCGCTCAGAAAGCAGGGCCCCGGGACAGCTGGCGAGGGCCCCGTTGCTGGTCAGCACGCCTGCTCCTGCAATGGGATCGGAAAGTGAATGATCGCTTTCATTAAACTCCCGGTCAATGGACCGGAAGCGGGGACTTTGTGCCTCCCTCCTGGATCGATGCCCCTCCACTGCCTGCTTTGTCACCGTCATCGCCTTCGATATCCCCTGATATCCCCTATCCATCATCACCAGCATGCACTGGCCAATTGCTGGCTGCTCTGGTCCATGGGGCTCTCCCCGGCTTCCTCGTGGATGTGGCCATGCTGGGCTCAGGATTGCTGATTGACATAGAATCCGAATCTGAGTTTCTGAGGGCGGAAGCTCAGGGCAAGAGAAACACTTGGAATGATTGTCCAGATGGTAAAGCAAATTTTAGAGGTTCCACACACAACCCAGTGCCCCTGGGTGTCTGAAATGGAAGTGACAGAGAGAGCTTGTGGCAACCGGAGTGCTGGGGTCTGAGAGCTAGATTGATGGGGCCTATGATAATAGTAATGGAGATTCATTCATTCGTTTTATGCATTCATTCATTTATTCATTCATACAATGAAACTTTTAGGATATGCCATGTGCCAGGCACTGTCCTAGGGATTGGGGATATAACAGTGAACAGATAAAAACCCCTGCTGTCACTTGAAAAGGCAGAAAATAAGCAGAATAACAAAGTAAAATATGTGCTGTGTTAGATAATATGTGCTTTGGAAAAGAACAGGAGAGTTGGAGGTTGGGAGTATTAGGGAAATTGCAAGTTTAAGTAGGAGGCTAAAGATGGCAATGTTTTAATAAAGATGGAAAGAAATGAGAGCGCAAGCCATGTAGACATCTAGCAGGAGAGAATTCCTGGTAAAGGGCCAGTGTATGCAAAGGCCCTGAGGTGGGGCATGTGTGACATGTTCAAGGTATGACAAGAAGTCCATTGGGTCTGGAGCAGAGTGAGCTGGGGCCAGGGGACAGGTGATGTAGGGTCTCGCAAGCCACTGAATAGACTTTGACTTTTCCCAGAATATGGAATGGTACCAGAGGGTTTGGAGCAGAGGTGGAGGTGATCTGAGTTACTCTTTTTCTTTTCTTTTTTCTTTTTTCTTTTTTTTTTAGACGGATCTTGTTCTGTCACCCAGGTTGGAGTACAGTGGCACCATCTTGGCTTACTGCAACCTCCACCTCCCGGGTTCAAGTGATTCTCCTGCCTTGGCCTCCTGAGTAGCTGGGATTACAGGCATGCACCACCAGGCCCTGCTAATATTTGTATTTTTAGTAGAGATGGGGTTTTACCATGCTGGCCAGGCTGGTCTTGAACTCCTGTCCTTAGGTGGTGATCTGAGCTACTTTTTAACTGGATTTCTCTGAATATTATATGGAGATTAGACAAAAAGGGAAAGAGAAAGGATGCAGGTAGACCAGTCGGAGGCTACTACAGTAATCCAGGCAAGAGATGGTGATGGCTTTGGGCCAGGAGAGTGGTAATGGAGGGGCTGAGAAGTGATTCCATTCTAGAGAGATTTGGGAGGAGGAGTTTGGATATGGAACATGGTGAAAGAGAAGAGTCAAGGGTGTCTCTGAGGTTTTTATCTGAGTGACATAGGATTATGTAGGATCTTCTATGGAAAGATGATGATGATGTCACTATCATCGCCATAATGATGATGATATTGATGGCGATGTTGATAATGAGAATAGTAATAATAACAACACGTATTGATCCCTTACTGTGCTAAGTACTTGCTTAGTGTTCCATGCATTACCCTGGTTAATCTTCAGAACAATCCTGTGAGTTATCTGTGATTACAAGCAGGAATATCACAGATAAGGAAATGGAAACCCAGAGGTCTTACAGCTAGTATGCAGTTAGGCTGAGAGTCAACTCGAAGGCTGACTGGCTCCAAGGTTCATGCTCTAAATGACCAAATTGGCCAGCTGGTCTGAAAAATCTTTTTCTTGGAGCAGATTAATGGGGGCATGTTTTTCATTTCTTCTGTTCCAGGTGGTTCCCATCAGAGCAGAGACAACCTACACAGCCAACGCCACTCTTTAAAATTTAGAGTCCGATTTTCTGGCTTCTTTCTTTAAAAATTTTGTAAATTGGGCCAGGCGTGGTGACTCCACGCCTGTAATCCCAGCACTTTGGGAAGCCAAGGTGGGCAGACCACCTGAGGTCAGGAGTTTGAGACCAGCCTGACCAACATGGAGAAACCCCGTCTCTACAAAAAATACAAAATTAGCCTGGCGTGGTGGCACACGCCTGTAATCCCAGCTACTTGGGAGGCTGAGGCAGGAGAATCGCTGGAACCTGGGAGGTGGAGGTTGCGGTGAGCCAAGATTGCACCATTGTATTTCAGCCTGGGCAACAAGAGCAAAACTTCATCTCAAAAAAAAAAAAAAATTGCAAATTGGTTTTCCTTCTGGGCTCTGGAACCTTGAATTCCAAGTTTGTAGGTGTGAAATGAATGCATACACTCCTCAGGTCTCAGCATTTACATTCTGCCCTGGTCAACTGGAAATGCCAGTTTGGCCAGGTATGGAGACAATTCACGTGTATATTGGCACTTAGGCTGAGCAGTGCCCAGTGGGCTGTAGATAGGCAGAGGCCAAGGGTGCCCATGGACCCAACTTCTCTCAGGCCCTAGCTCATTGTCTGCCATATACTAGATGCTCAATGAATGTGAATTCCTTAGGCTATCTCATCAAAAAGAGGCAGTTATGGTGGTTTACTTTCCTTGTGGCCCAGGAAAGTTGTTTTTATTTTTTTAAGTCTCTGTGACTCAGTTTCCTCATTCATAAAAAGTGGGGTTATTAATAGATCCTACGTCTCAGAGTGATCCTACAAAATAAGACAAGGTGTGCAAAACTTTGGTACAAATAAACATTAGCTATTTTGATGACATAGGTGGAGACTCTTTGGTCTTGCTCTGACCAGATTCTCTCTGGGAAGGGAGGGTCCCATGGCAATGTCAGGAACCCCAAAGATCTTCCGGCTACTGATGAAAGGGAACAACAGTGACCATCACCAAACCATCCACCACAAGTTCTAGGCCTATTATGGAGCTCTCACATGGGTTTCAGGGTAAGCACACGGGACTCAGGGCCATGTTAGAATAGGCAATGGCTCCCTGACTGTCTGCTTGGTGTGTAGATGTGTTAATGGCTGATGGACCTAGAATTAACGTTTGCCTGGTCTTTAGTAGAAAACCCCAGGTTTCCTTCTCTGAGCAGTGAATGTGAGTCAGAGGAGGGGCTGATGGGTGATGGGGAGGTGATGAGTATAGGGACTGGAGTTTGATCCCAGCACAAGGAAGTTGAGTCTGCCTTTCTTTAGACCAGTGGTTCTCAATGTCGGACGTTTTGCAAGGTCTGGAGGCATTTTTGGTTGTCACAGTTGGAAAAAGAGATGCTACTGGCATTTAGTGGGTAGAGGCCAGGGATACTGCTAAACATTCTACAATGCTCAGGACAGCCCCCAGCCCCACAAGCAAAGAATTATCTAGTCAAATGTCCGTAGGGCTTAGGATAAGAAACCCTACTTTAGATCCAACTTCTGATCAAGCATGAAAAAAATATTCTGAGAATAACCCTCTGCCCATTCCATAGGGCCATGTACAGTATACAGAGGTACTCACAGCTGATAGGGACTTCAGGATTGTCATCAATCTCTTCTTGTTTCTCAGGGGCCAGCCACCAATTTGTTTTGACCATTGCAATGGCCTTTAAGTTTTTAAAAGATCTGTACCTCCCTATTTTTCTGGCCTCATTTCTTAGTCCTCTTCTCTTCAGAAACCCTATATCTTTAGCCAAATGGGCACAATCTCCCTCACCCCAGGGTATTTTTACTCTCTGTTCCTTCTGCCCTAAATCTGCATGGATCACTGCCTCACCACCTTAAGATCTTTGCTAAAGTGTTACCTTTCCAGGGAGGCTGTCCCTGGCCATCCTATTTAATACTACAGCCCCATCTCCATCCACCCCATGCATTCCCTATCACTCTTGTGTATTTTTCTCCATAGTACTTTTAACCGTAGGAAATACTATATATTTTACTTATTTTTCTTTTGTCTTCTCTCACTAGGATGTCAGTTCCAGGAGGGCAAGGATGATCACCTGTTTTGTTCACCACTATATCCTCAGTGCCTACAATATATCTGGGAAATAACCGTATTCAATAAATACTGAAGGAATGAAGTTTCCAATGATCAGCACAGTGCAAGAAGATGAATTTAGCACCAGTTTTGGTGTCAAGCTTGGTCTCAAATCCAGTCTTCACCACTTACCAGTTGTGTGACCTTGGGCAAATGATCTAACCTTTCTGACACCTACGTGCTTCATATACAAGATGGGGACAAGGTTTTCAAGTGCCGTGCCTGAAACACAGGTGCTTGATAAATGGCCTTTGTTATCATCACCATTGTTGTCATTATCATCACCATAACCATCATCACCAGCACCATCATCACCACTGTCATCACCATCACCATAACAATCATCGTCACCAGCACCATCATCACCATTGTCATTATCATCAGCATAGTTAATAATCATTATTACCAGTACCATCATTGCCATTGTCATCATCACCATCATAACAATTATCACCAGCACCATCATCGCCATTGTCATCATCATCACCATAGTTAATAATCATGATCACCAGTACCATCATCACCATTGTCATCATCATCATAATCGTCATCACCAGCACCATCATCGAAATTGTCATCATCACCATAGTTAATCATCATCATCATTAGCACCATCATCGCCATTGTCATCATCACCACTATAATTAATAATCATTACCATCACCATCATCACCATTGTCATCATCATCATCATCTTCATCATTATTCCATCCACATTACCGTCTCCACATCATGCTCACCATCATCATCTAACCTACTCCTAGGACAGAATCTTGTCACCTCTGCCTTAGGGACAAGTGATAAAGGACCCTAGACAGCTCCTAATCTTATCTTGACCTCTCTCCACTAATGGTAGTGAGTCCTTCTCTCCTTGATTCATTCAAGTTAATGTGGATGGAGAAAATTATGGGCCAAAGGAAATCTCATTCATTCATCTATTCATTCATTTAACATCTATGGAAGCCTACCATGCTCCAAGCACAATGCTGAATGTTAGGAATCAGGAGATGAATAAGATTTGGCCCCCAACATCATGCAATGTACACGATGAAAAGCAGTTTTGATACCATATAGCGAATGCTGAGAGAGAGAGGTTAAAAAGAAGGCAGTGGGAGCATAGGAAGGCCTCCCAGCCAGACTAAGTGGGAGTGAAGGTGGGTACAGCCTACCAATGAGGGGCATAAACTTCACAATCCAGGTGAAGGAGTGTAGGAAGGATACTATGGAAGCTGCAAGTGCAAAGGCCCAGAGGCTGTAGCTGTGGGCTAGATCAAGCAGAAGACCTTAGCTACTGAATGACCTGATCAGATTTGCATTTTAGAGGAAGTCTCTCTGGATGCATTGCAGGACAGCATTGGAGAAGGCAGGGAGACCATCTCAGAGGCTGCTGCAGTGGTTCAGGTGAGGAATAATGAGGCCTGAACCAAGGCAGTGGTGGTGGGATGGGGAGAACAGAGATTGCAAAGGGATTTAGAAAGTGGCATCCACAGGACGTGGTGATGGATTACATGTGAGAGTAGAAGAATCAAGAACAACCTTGAGGTTTCTGACTTTGATACTGAGTGGATGGTGGTACTTTCAGTGAAGGCAGGACATAAGGAGCAGCAGATTGTTGGGACCAAATCAAAGATGCTGAGGTCTGTCGTGGACATGTGGCAATGTCCACATGTGGACAATGTGGGACTGCAAAGAACATTGAGAGGAAAGCTCCCCCAACCACTGGCTCTTGGCCTGGAGTTCTCAGAGAGAAGAGAAAGCTGGTCACCCATTAAGGATCTGAGACTGGGGTGGTCCCTGGGGGCAGTGTCTGAAAATAATCTCTTTTGCAAAGAGCCCATTTACCCTTGAAGAAAGCTTTCATAGTGCTTTCCCCAAGTGATTTGTTTTTCCAAAGGCCACTTTAGAAGGCCGGCTAGTTTTTTTAAGAACTCATTTTGAATTTAATTATGTATTGGCAGGAATCAAAGATGCAAATGTAATGAGATTAATTGAGTGTCCCTTTTAGATAAGAAAATTTCTGCTGTTGTTGAGTTCACTGCTTTGAAATACCTGCTAGTGGAAAGGCTTTAGGTTTAAAGTATGCATGTTGGTTGTGTCAAATGCAATTCAAGAATGTGAAATTGATTGGTTCCCTCTGTAGCCTCAGATTTAGTGTCAGTTCTTAAGTCATAAGAATTAAAGAACCATGAACTCACCCTTCTGCCCTGGTTAAAACAGAGCAGAGCCTTCTATTCTCATGTGGACTGGACAGGTTTCCCAGCCTTATCCATCCACTGCACCATTTTTGGAAGGGGAATGTGTTGAGGTGTGTTATGTGTTTGTGTAAATGTATGGCTCTAAGCCTTTTAACACCTCCATTGAGGGTCTCAGATTAGAAATTAGGGCTGCAGCAAAAGAGATGGTTTGGATGTTTTATCTATGTAAACCATTAGTTTACCAATTCCACAGCAAGTGGAGTGAGACTGCAAGTTTCTCTGCTCCTCCCTGTAAAAGTCACCATGAAATAGATGCACAAGTGCTGGCCTGAATTCTAGTGTGGATGAGGGATGTGCAGAACTAGCTGGAGGAGTCTTTCAGCAAAGTGGAAATGCCTGCCGTGCTCACAGGCTCATGTAAAGAAAATGGCCTAGGCTGGATTTCTCTTACAAGGTATTGCTCGAAGGGCTTTGAAGTAAAATCAAGCTGGCATCCTGAAGAACAGCCTGAGTTAGAGGGAGGTCACAAGCTTGGAACTACATTGATGAAACTTCAAGCAACACGCATGTTCAATATTGGATGGAGGCAAAAATGACCCAATTGGACATTCCTTGTGGGAACTATAAATGTTAACGGTAGAAAAAGAAGGTGATTCATGCTTCTATGAAGTGGCAGCATAACCTAGCAGGGGAGGCACCAGGACTCAGGGGGGCTGAGTTGTTGATGCTCCCATATCCCCAAATTTCCTCATTTAAGTGGCACCACTCACAGAGTATACCTCAAATGAGAAGGACAAGGATTGAGGAAGGAGCTTTGGAAGACCGAATTTCTGGCAGGGGACATAGACTCAAATGTCATGGGGGTAAAGCAGAGAGTGTGACAGTGTGAGGTTGGCTGGATAGGAATATGGCAAATTGATAAGCATGTTCTCTGACCACAAGGAAAAATCACAACTCAGCTTCAGCCAATTGTCACCTTGCAGGACTGTGGGCCAGAGCTTCCAGGTCTTCTGATTTTTTGAAGAGCTGATGCACATTCAGTTTTAACTGTGACATGTTTCATTTCTTTTAAACACTGCATGGGCCAGCTGCCAGCTCATGGGCTCAGTTCCTGGGCTTCCTGTTATATCCTTAGTTTCAATGTTATGGGAAAGAGGAGGAGTCATAGAAAAGAACTGTGAAAAAGGAGCCAGAGAGATACACAGGAACCAGAAGAGACTGAGTTCACTGAAACCAGGCACTAGGGGGTCTTGGCATGAATATGCAAAGAAGGTCAAGGAAGGTGAGGGCTGTCCAGTGTCCACGGGATTTGAGAAACAGCTGTCCCTTGAAAGTTAGCCTGAGCCAAGGCAATCTCTTGGAGAAAATAGTTTTTGACATTCCTACCCAGAAGAGAACTCTTTCTGGTGGTTCACTGTCTGAAAGAGCTTATTCCACCAGGCTGCCTCTCAGCCTGCCCAGCTTTGAGTTGTTTCTGAACAAAGGTCATTTCAAGGCTTTTATAGCAAAAAGCAGGTGCAATGTGACTAAAGGAAGGCAATATTGTGGGTTCCCCAGGCCTGGTTTCTTTTTCCTCTTGGTGTATACAGCCATACTACATTTCCCAGCCTCTCTTACAGATAAGCACGGCTATAGGGCAGTGATCAGGCCAATGGAATGTGGGTAGAAATGATGTACACCAGTGCTTCTCACACTTTAATGTATGTGAATCACTTGAGAATCTTGTTAAAATGCAGATTCCGATTCAGTGCTTCTAGGATGAAACCTGGGAGTCTGCATTTCTATGAGCTCCTGAGTGAAGCTGACATTGCTGGCTTATGGCCTACACATTGAGTAGCACAGATGGGCATCATTTCCAGGCCTAGCCTGACCCAGAGGCACATCCTCGTCTCCCTCCCACCTTGCTGGCTGGAGGCAGAGGTTTCTGTGGAGTACTCTAGGCCCTAAGGGGTGGCTGAGGTCCTAGGTAGAAGGAGACTGGTTGCCTGAATGATTGTATGGAGCAGAGCTTCTCTGCAGACCCACCTGGGACTAAGATGATATGGACCCTTATGAACCTAGATTTGGTGATTGTTATAGCAGTTAGCTTTCCCAGTAAACACAGTGATCTTTAAGATAACTAGTCAAAATTAGAGCAAAGAAGAAGTTTGAGTATTAAAGTGGGTAATACATATATAATTTATTTCTTTAAGGGATTTCATTGATCTCGTATTAATTGACCCCATGATATGTAAAGAACTAATAAGATGCTTGACACATTTAAGTTAGCCTATAACCTTGGATCTTATGGCAAATACTGAGAATCAGCCATTTATAACCTCCTTTTGTTTTGCTTTCTCAACTAAAGAGGTTGGAAACCTAAAACATTCACCATTCCAGACTTCTCAGTTAGAAACATCCATGGGCCTAAGTTCTAGCCAATAAGATGTTACCAAAGTGATTGGGTGCAGCTCTGGGAAAGTTTGATTTTTTTAAAGGGACATAGGTGGCTGACGTATTTTATCCCTTTGTTGTTTGCCCATCCCTTTTTATTTCTAGCTGGAACGTGCAGTGCAATGCAAGAAGCATAGCAGCCATCTTGTGACCATCAGTTTTAATGTGTCAAGGATGAGGGAGTCAGAAAATAGAAGAAGCCTTGTCCCTGACACTGTGGAGTTGCTATGTCAGGCATTGACTTCCTGTCCCACCTCACATAGTGTGTGAGATCAACTCTTGGAGTAAGCCACCTGCTATAGTTTGGTTAGTTCGACTTTCTTTAAATGTCATGTTGAAATTTGTTCCCCAGTGTTAGAGTGGGGCCTAATAGGAGGTGTTTGGGTCATAGAGGTGGATCCCTCATGAATGTTTTGATGCTGTCACCAAGGTAACGAGTGAGTTCTCACTCTATTAGTTTCTGCAAGAGCTGGTTGTTAAAAAGAGCCTGGCAGCCGCTGCTCCTCTCTCTTGTTCCCCTCTCACACATGATTGCTGCACACACCAGCTCCCCCTTCACCTTCCACCATGAGTAGAAGCAGCTCGAACCTTTCATCAGATGCCCAACTTACAACCAGCAGAGTTGTGAACCAAATAAAGCTTTATTGTTTATAAATTACCCAGCCTCAGGTATTCCTTTGTAGCAACACAAACAGACAAAGACATCACCATTAGCAGATTCTTAATTACTTGTAGTTGAACTCTGTCTTAACTGACACAGGGTTGATGAACTGCATTTGCCTCAGTGCCACAGGGTAAGGGAGAATGGGAACTCATGTTTATTGAGCAACTTCCACATGTCAGGTGATAACCTCTCAGTTAATCCCTATAATGACTATACCACTTTCAATATTCTCGCTTTACAGGTGAAAGTGAGACAACAAGAAACTCACCCAAGGCCACATATCCAGTTTATGGAAGAACTCGGCTTTACACTCAGTCTTGCCTGGATCCCAATATATGTTACACCAAACCTTGATGTTGCATAAGAACCAAGATGCATGAATGATTCAGGTTAAGAGAGATTCTTTAGAACTTACTAATGCTTGGCATGAGGTCTTTGATTAAATATTGATATCAACAACCATAAATTTCAACGACTTCTACTAACTCTTTGGCTTTGATTATCTATCACTGGGCATTACGTGGAAGCCCAACAGATGCTGTCTCTCACTTCAAGGCAAACTTCAAGCTTCCAGATGCATTTGCATTGGCCTGGGAATCCCTCGTGCACTCAAAGACATGAGGGAGCAGGAACCAAGCCAGAGAACGTCACTCAGCTGCTGCAGTTGAAAGAATCACTTCTGAGGACAAGTTCAAACCATTACTTCTCCACTTCAGAGCACCCAAAGTATACAGTTTAGACTATTTTAATTGCATGACTTTATCACACTTTGTTTTAAAGGGTTTCTCATGCCTTGTGACATTCCTGGCTTAAACTGTAAAGTCCTTGAGAGCAGAAACCAAGACACTCATAGAGCCCACCCATTGCCTGGCATTGAGCTGCATAAGTGTGGGGTGAATAAGAACCCAATGGTGATAGCTTCTGCCTGTGGAGTGCCCCCTGTGACAGGGGACTGCATATCTGAGCCCACTTTCATCACCACAACAACCTGCAAGGGAGGAATTATTAACCTTGTTGTACAGGTGAGAAAACTGGCGAGGATGATGATAGTGGAAGCCAACATCTTCTTAAGTTCTTATTACGCATCAGTCACTGTGCTAAGCACATTATTTCACTTAATCCCCACAATAACCCTAGGAGTTATAAATTTTATGTATGTACATATTTATTTATTTATTTATTTTGAGACAGGTTCTCGCTCTGTCAGCCAGGCTGGAGTGCAGTGGCATGATCACGGGTCGCTGCAGTCTTGACCTCCTGGGCTCAAGCGATTCTCCCACCTCAGCCTCCCAAGTAGCTAGGATTACAGGTGTGTGCTACCATTCCTAGCCAACTTTTGTATTTTTCTTTTTGGTAAAGATGGGGTTCTGCCATGTTGCTCAGGCTGGTTCTTGAACACTTGAGCTCAAGAGAGCTTCCCACCTCGGCCTCCCAAAGTGCCAGGGTTACAGGCATGAGCTACCATGCCCAGCCTATAAATGTTATTAAATTCCCCATTTTACAGTCAAGTAAACAGAAGTTCAGAATGCTCAAGATCACCAGCCCAAGGCCACCAGTCCAGTAAGTGGCAGAACTCAGCCTTTGAACGTAGGACTGTGAACCCCTGAAGCTGACCTCATCACACTACATTGCACTGGTTGGACTAGAAATAAAAGGGAGTCTGTAAATGGTTCTGGTCAGAGGGCAGCACACAGAGAAGGGAGAAAGGGCTGTCTCAGAACAACAGCCGCGAGGAGGAGCATAGGGGAGTGTGGGTGGAGGGGCAGCTTGGGAAGCAGGTGAAAACCAAGAAGGGAAAGGCACCCTGCCTCCCCTGCCCTGCTCTTCCCTGGAACCTTAGGCTCTGCCTAGCCTCTGGGAACCTGGTGCTGGTCAGGCACGTCCTGGAAGCAGGCCTTAGGGACTGACACGGAGCCAGCAATTTTCCAGGAGTGGCTCTGAACACAGGATTCCAAATCCAGTGTTCACACCTGCGGTCTAATTCTCCAAATCCTACCATACAGAACATGGGACAACATGGGGTCTGTGGTCGCCACTTGTGCTGTGTGACCTTGGGCAAATTGCTGATCCTTTCTGAGTTTCTGTTTCCTCAACTATCAAATAGGGAGATGACTAGTACCCATCACACGGGGTTGTGAGGATCAAATGATGTCACATTTAATGAAGCACTTAGGACAGTGCCAGGCACACCATGAATGCTCACTATGGGGAAGTTGTTATGAAAATCCCTTACATTCTGTCCCAGGGCATGGCTTGGTCCCAATGCCTCAGGAAGAAGCAGCCTGCTCTGTCCCCCAAAATGTCTGCTGATGCAAAATGTCCAAAGAACAAAAGTGGCCATGCAAATCTGACAGCAAGAGTGATGGTCTCGGCTGGGCACAGTGGTTCACGCCTGTAATCCCAGCAGTTTAGGAGGCTGAGGTGGGCAGATCATTTGAGGTCAGGAGTTCGCGACCAGCCTGGCCTACGTGGTGAAACCCTGTCTCTACTAAAAATACAAAAATTACAAAAGTTAGCTGGGTGTGGTGGCGGGTACCTGCGATCCCATCTACTCAGATGTATGAGGCATGAGAATCGCGTGAACACAGGAGGTGGAGGTTGCAGTGAGCTGGGATTATGCCACTGCACTCCAGCCTGGGAGACAGAGCAAGGCCCTGTCTCAAAACAAACAAAAAAGTGACGGTCTAAAAACTGTCTCCAGAGCTTGCCCCAGGCTGCCATCATTTATTTCTCTCTAGATGTGTTCCAGGAACTTATCACATCTCATTTAATCTTCACTATAATCCAGTGTGTCATTAGGTTCACACCCATTTTACAGAGGAGAAAGACTGAGGCTCGGAATAATACAGACACCTCGGGTTAAAGCCTGGCTCCTCTTCAGTGGGACAGAGGAGCCACATACAAATCCAAGACTACAGGGATGGCATAATATATTGCAATTTGCTTAACCTCCCTGGAGTATTCTCATCTGGAGATTGGAGATGATGCTGTCTATATATATTAAATGTCTGTTTTAAATAATATGTGTTCTTATGTGTTTAGCAATATATAAAACTCTTCTGGTCCCCACACACAAGGAGGCAGGCCTCATCCCATCTATCATCCATCACCCAGGATGGGGGCACTCACGGAAAAGCACCATGAGGAAGCGGGTCTGGTTCAGCATCTGGGTCAGGCCAGCGGGCGTTAGCACTAGGAGACTGCGTTCCTCCAGGATGTGCACAGGCTTGGTTATGTGGATGCTGGAAACACCGGCGTTAACCTCTGGTGAGCTGTGGACAGCAGAGACACAAGCGGCCACCAGCAGCAGGGGCATCCAGAGTAGGTCCATGGCTGTCCTGCAGGGGCCGGAGAAGGAACAGAGACCTTATCAACACAGGTGGTGGAGCCCCACGTCATCACCCCCACTTCCTTGTCCAGCTGGTCCATGTAGGGTGAATGTGGCCTGAGCATTGCCTCCCAGCAATGCCTGCAGCTTGGCAGCAGCCCTGGAGAAGAAGCAAAGTATTAGGTCGACCTCAGGCCCAGTAGTGACTGTATGGGGAAAGCTTAAAGCAGCAAGAACCCACTGGGAGCAGCTGGATGCTGAAGCAAACGCAGACCACTCAAGCCCACTGACTTCCCAGCCACGAGGTGAGACTTGTGCAAAGATAAGGTCCCATTTCAGAGTCCTAGGGTGAGCCTCTGGATCTCAGAGATAACTGGTTCAATCCCCCATCACAGCCCCCCAGGAATCCCCCTGCCTACAATGCCCCCACTTCACCCTCCTCCAGCTCCTGCTTGAATGCCCCTGTGAAGGGAAGCTCACTACCTGCAGTGTACCCTGTTTAATTTTTGAACAAATTTTATCAAGTGTAAATATTTAAAAAGTCATAACTATAATACACACTTGTAAAAGTTTCAAGCAATACAATACAAATGTCAAGAAGGAAGTAAAAATCTCTCCCATTCTCTCACTGCTGAGAAAGTGACTCTTAGAGAAGTATGGAATGAATCCTTACAGATATTGAAAATATCTATGTAAACATACCTTTGAATATATCTCTATCTATCTATCTATCTATCTATCTATCTATCTATCTATCTATATATATATATATATATTTTTTGAGACGGAGTTTTGCTCTTGTCACCCAGGCTGGGGTGCAGTGGCACGGTCTCACCTCACTGCGACCTCTGCATCCTGGGTTCCAGAGGCTCACCCTAGTGATCCTCCCACCTCAGCCTCCCAAGTAGTTGAGATTACAGATGCCCACCACCACACCTGGCTAATTTTTGTATTTTTAGTAGAGATGGGGTTCCACCATGTTGGCCAGGCTGGTCTCGAACTCCTGACCTCAAGTGATCTGCCTGCCTCAGCCTCCTAAAGTGCTGGGATTACAGGCATTATCCACTGCACCCAGCCTGAATGTATATTTTTAAATATAAATGGAATCAGATGATACTTTTTTTTTTTTTTTTTTGCAGCTTGGTTAGCTCTTTTTAACCCTGGATACACATGAAAATCCTCTGGGGAGCTTTTAGGAGAATACTGACACTCAATCTCACTCCAGACCAATTAATTCAGAATTGCTCAGGATGGGGTCTGGATACCTACATGTTTCAAAAGCTCCCCAGATGATTCTTTTGTTTTATTTCAACTTCTATTTGGGAAATTTTGAATATGTACAAAAATAGAGAGATGGTACAAGGTACCCCCAAGGTACCCATCACTCAACTTCACTTATTGTCATGACCAATGTTATTTTATTTATATTCTTGACTCCCTGCCTTGGATTATTTTGAATCCATTCTGGGAATCATGTCATTTCACCCATAAATATTTTATTATAAATATTTAAAAGGTAAGGATTTTTCAAAACAACACAATAACCACAATACTATGATCATACTTAATGAAATGCACAATAATGTCATCATATCATCAAATATCTAGACAGTGTGCGAATTACCCTGATGGCCTCATAAATTTTAAGTCTGTTTAAATCAGGACTCAAATGAAATCCATGAATTGTCATTGCTTGTTTTGTCTCCTGAGCCTCTCCCAGGTAAATCTATCATTCAGTTTGTAGCTTGAGAAGCACATGGTCAAATGAAACCAACAAAGGGCAAGTGGAGAAAAGGAAGAAGGGCAAGTGGATAACCTGGTTTTCTGGACAGCTAAATGATACAGACCATTTAAATCTGTGTCTCAGCCAAAGGGCTCATTACTGTCAGCCCAGCCTTGAGTCCTTGATGATCTCAAGGTCCCAGAATTCACCAGGTGTTATGCCACTTATCAGCCCGGACTAAGTCTGGTACAGCATGATGACTATTAGGTAGAACCCTTGTTCTTAGAAATAATTTACTTCCTTGTTTATTTGTTCTTTGATTCACTTACTTGTGAGAGAAACGGCTGCCTAAGAATTCTTTGCCCAGCTGGAGACATCAAAGTACTAGAGAGTTAGTTTTTATTCTACAGAAAGTCACTTGAATAACCCCTCCTTTGTGACATAAACGTAAGGTAGGGAGGGTCACCCAGAACCGTCCTAGGCCTGACAGTCCCTTCAAACCTTCCAAACCTCCTCGGTGCCCAGAATCCCTTGCCTGGCAGGAAAGGGCCAGATCTGCAAAAGCCTCAAGGGGCCTTCAGAGAAGAAACCTTGAAATTCAAGATTGTGAGACCATCTCTGAGGGGTGTGGATGGCACTTGCTGGAGGACAGAGGACACTGGGCCAGTGACCCTGAGTCAGCTGGACACCTTCAGGGTACAGAGCTGAACCATGGGCCCAGCTCAGCCACCGTGGAGGGCTGAGCCTCTGAGCAAAAGCCAGGCGGGAGGAGCTACAGTGGGCTCCCTCTCATGTCCTCGTCTCCCAGGCCTTTGGCAGAGTGTTCGCCCTGAGTTCCTGATCAAGGAAGGGGCAGTGGGAGGTGTCAGGTTTCCTGCTAACCTGGGCAGGCTGGATCATAAGCCTCAAATGTTTCCAGTGATTCATGTCCAACAGGACGGAGATCAAGCCCCACTGGCTAGTGAGCAGAGCCCTCCACAGTCGGTCAGACTCTGGCCACCAGGCTTCCCTTTGGCTCCACGGAGCCAGCCACAGCTCCTCTTTACTCACTTGCTCACTCATTCATTCATCAAATATTTTTGAAGTCTTAAAACATGTTAAGTACCATTCTAGGTGCTAGGGATACAAACAATATTCCTTACATCTTAGTAGTGGGAAATGCAGTGAGATAAATAGATGCAATCAATGGTGTGTCAGATGATGGTAATGCAAAGGAGAAAAGGTGGATAAGAGAAGATTCAAAAGTGTTGGAGTCAGGGAGGAGTGTTGATCTTTTCTTTTCTTTTCTTTTCTTTTGAGACAGGGTCTCGCTCTGTCGCCCAGGCTGCAATGCAGTGGCGCGATCTCGGCTCTCTGCAACCTGCGTCTCCCTGGTTCAAAGGATTCTCCTGCCTCAGCCTCTGGAGTAGCTGGGATTATAGGCGCGTGCCATCATGCCCGGCTAATTTTTGTATTTTTAGTAGAGACAGGGTTTCGCCATGTTGGCCAGGCTGGTCTGGAACTCCTGACCTCAGGTGATCCGCCCACCTCGGCCTCCCAAAGTGTTGGGATGACAGGCATGAGCCACTGTGCCTGGCTGATATTTTAAAATAGGGTGACCGTGGGAAAGCTTCATTTAGAAGTTGACATTTGACTAAGGGAAGCAAAGAAGTGAACTACTGTATTTGCATTTCTGGGAGTGTGGGAGAAATAGTCTCTCTCTGCCCTGCTGCTGTTTTTTCTCCCAATCTCTCCCACAATACCTGGCTCAGCTCTGCAGCATCCCAGGGCTCCCCTGAGACTGTAGCATCCACCCTGTCCAGCCCTGGGACTGTGCTCTCAGCCATCCTGCCTGCAGCCTGCCCTGACCTGCCCCTTTATTCTCTCAGCCTTGGCCCTTGGTTCTGCCGGCACCTGCCTTTCTAGCCTGACACCACTGTGGCTCCGCTGTGTCCCCCAGCCTCACAAAGTCCAAGCTCAGCTCCAACATCAGCTCCCTACCCCCTACTCAGAGGAGAGTGGCTGTCATGGGAAACTTTTATTAATGAGAATAGCCAAAATCGAGGGGCTGGTCACCAGCCATATTGTGCTGAGTGTCAACTGTGTGCATTCCCTCCACATTCTCCCTGTGTGCATTCTCCCTGTATGCCGTGGAGAGACCCCATGTCCCAGCCACTGTGGTTTCCCGCCAAGAGGGTGTGGTAACCTCCTTACTGATCCTGCCTCTGCTTCTACTCTTTGTGCTTCACCTCAACCCATTCCCCACACAACAATCAGACATTTCCTTTATTTTTATTTTTATTGTTTGAGACAGAGTTTTGCTCTTGTTGCCCAGGCTGGAGTGCAATCACATGATCTTGGCTCACTGCAGCCTCCGCCTCCTGGGTTTAAGCGATTCTCCTGCTTCAACCTCCCTAGCAGCTGGGACTACAGGCACCCGCCACCATGCCCGGCTAATTTTTGTATTTTTAGTAGAAACGGGATTTCACCATGTTGGCCAGGCTGGTCTCAAACTCCTGACCTCAGGTGATCCACCTGCCTGGGCCTCCCAAAGTGCTGAGATTGCAGGCGTGAGCCACCGTGCCCAGCAGAGATTTCCTTTCGACACAGGAATTCCATCACACCACTGTGCCTATCAAAAGGTGCTCACTTTTGTGCAAAAAAAAGCTTCTGCCTCTTTTTTTTTTACAATCCATTCGCAAAACCGCACACCAGCCAAACTGTTCTCTGTGGTCTACCAGGCCCCACTGGCTCTGGACCCATCTGACCTTATCGCCCTCCTCTCTCTCTCTCCTCCCGCACTCTGGGGAGCCACACTGGCCTCTTCCCTTTCCCAAGCACACCCTACCCGGGGCCTTTGCCTCTGTCTGGGGCACCCTTCCCTCACATCGTCAGCCTTTTCTGGTTCTCTGGGTCCTAGCTCGAATCCACGCTCATCAGAAGGGTCTTCCCGGGCCACTCTGTCTCACCCCATCTCAGCTTTCAGCACTCTCTGCCATATCACCATTGTTTGCATCATATTTTGTATTATTATTTATGAGTGTACTTTGTTGTTGTTGTCATTTTGAACTTTTTAATGTAAATACCATTGTTCACAGCTGTTTTCTCCCCTTCAGAACAGTGCCTGTACCAGATTTGGAACTCAATGAATGTTTGTTGAATGAATGAATGAATGGCCTAATTTAACTCTTACAGCAAACCCCATTGGTTCATTTCAGTGGTTCTCAACCATGACTATGCTGAGAATCTCTTGGAGAGTTTAATAAAAAATACTGATGTTCAAACCCAAACCCAGTAGGTTCTAATTTAATTGATCTGGGGTTGGGTGAGTCTGGGCATTATTATTATTTTTTAAAATCCTCAAGTTGATCCTAATGTGTAGCCATCTATACACCAAAACTGACACTTAAAACTTAAACTGGTGACTCCTGGTAGAGAAAAGCCTCCCAAGGCAGGGCCCATCAGTCAGATTTCCCATTTTCACTGAAGCTCATACCTGCAGGAAGCCAAGGCCACTCCCAGGGTTCCTGGGGCCAAGGTGGGGCTGTGCTGGGGGTGGGGCCACAAACTCTGTGGCCCTTAAGAAGGAAGGTTGTAGCCTGAAGAGGAGGCTCCTGGCTTCTCCTTGTGATCAGGGCAGGACCCGCAGACGACTGGGCATTCTAAAGAATCCACAGGCAGAAATGAAGTCCCTTCCTGGGCACACAGAGGCCACAGCAGCCTCAGCAGCAAAGTTCTGAGTTCTGGGGTTCTAGAGGACCAGGGGTGACCCTGTAGAAGAATGGGCCATTGTTGAGTAAGAGGGGGCCCTGCCTGGCAGCCCTTGCTGAGTTTGCTTGAGGGGCTAGAAACAAAACTCAGTGTGGGGTGCTGGGTATGGCCCAGGAGGGCTCTGAACTCAGTGCCTATAGATTGGAATTTGAATCCCAGCTCTGTCTTGAACAGCTGTATGGCCTTGAGAATGTCACTTACTCTTTCTGAGGTTCAGTTTCCATGCCTGTTACATGGCATCTAACTCATGGGGGTGTTGTAAGCAAAGTAAATTATGTGGAATTTAGAAGATAATTAATGATATGAAGAAAAATAAAACCTGGAAGGATGATGAGGAACGCCTGAGAGGGGGATGGGATAAAATAAGAGGATTTATGCAAAACGAGCAGCTCAGTACCTAGAAGGCAGGAGCCCCTCACGCATCACCACCCTGGCCTCATCTCCTAGGGGAGAAAGATCTCCACTCACCCTGCTCCAGCCACACTGGTGTCCCTGCCAGTCCTCCAATACAATGTCTGGGCCTCTACACTTGTGGTTTCCCCTGTTAGGGAGGCTCTTCACCCAGGTGGACTCAGGGTTCACCCCTTAGCTCGTTCCAGTCTTTGCCCAAATGTCACTTCCACAGTTGGGCCTTTCCTGGCCACTTTGTTTAAATTTGTAAGTGCCCCATCCCCCTCTCAGGCGTTCCTCATCCTCCTTCCAGGCTTTATTTTCCTTCATAGCATTAATTTTCTTCTAAACTCCACATAATTTACTTTGCTTACCTGGTGATAGGTGCTCAGTAAATATTTGTTGAATGAATAAAGAAAAGGCTGTTGATATTATTAGCATCGTTATTACTGTCAGAGTTTGCAGCCTTTGGCTATCTGCTGCCCAACTGTTATTAAATACTGATGGAGATGACTAACATTCATTTCACTAAATTTTAACATCTGTGGGTTTTAGTCCTAGCGCTTTGCTCTTCTCTTTCTTTTCTTTTTCTTTGAGACAGTGTAGTGGCGCGATCTCCACTCACTGTAGCCTTCACCTCCAGGGTTCAAGCGGTTCTCCTGCCTCAGCCTCCTGAGTAGCTGGGACTACAGGCATGCACCACCACGTCTGGCTAATTTTTGTATTTTTAGTAGAGACGGGGTTTCACCACATTGGCCAGGTCGGTCTCAAACTCCTGACCTCAAATGATCTGCCTGCCTCGGCCTCCCAAAGTGCTGGGATTACAGGCGTGAGCCACGGCATGCGGCCCCACTCTTCTCTTTCCATACTTAACTTCCATACTTTTGTTGGCTTGTTTAAATGCATGACTTCAAATACACCCCTTTATAAGTTACTCTCTCATTTACTCTCCAGGATTTGATCAATTGATTACATTTACTATTAAGACCGTTTTCCATCTGCCTATTAGAAAAGCTCTTTTTGGTTGAACCACACTCACTGAATATCTGAATGTCTTAATTTGAACTCATCATGTCCCTTTCAACTTTTCTTGGCAATTATTCCTTTTCTGGATGTTGTGTTTGCAAATAATTCCTGGGATGTGTTTGACTCTTTTTTCTCCCAGGCCTAAATCAACAATCTAGTCTGGCATATATTATTTTGACATCTTTCACACTTGTCAACTGTTAGTCACAAACTAAAACACTTGGGTTATTATCCCAAATGTCCTTCATTCATTTTCCTTCACTCTTGCACACAGTTGTTTCTTGACATAACATAGGCACTTTTATGATGATACTCATTTACTGATAAAGCTGCTGCTGCTTTTTTTTTTTTTGACAGAGTCTTGCTCTCTTGCCCAGGCTGGGGTGCAGTGGTGCAATCTTGGCTCACTGCAACCTCCGCCTCCTGAGTTCAAGTAATTCTCCTGCCTCAGCCTCCTGAGTAACTGGGATTACAGGCATGCACCACCACGGCCGGCTAATTTTTGTATTTTTAGTAGAGACGAGGTTTCACCATTTTGGCCAAACTGGTCTCAAACGCCTGACCTCAGGTGATCCACCTACCTCGGCCTCCCAAAGTGCTGGGATTACAGGCGTGAGCCACTGTGCCCGGCTTAAAGCTTCTTTTTATAAAATAACATTAATTTCTTTCTGATTAGAAAAGAACAGGATTTAATTTCTAAAACATAGAACATACAGAAAAAATGAGTTAATTGAAATCATACATCATCTTACTTAGAGAAACATTCATATTTTGTTACGTATGGGATTAATATATACTTTTTAAAAATAAAATTGTGATTATATTGTCTATAAAGTGTATCCAGTTCTTTCATTGAACATTTATGAAACATTTGTCATGACTTATGATTATATATTCTTCTAAAAAGTACTGATTGAGAGTAACGATATTGAGATTAGACTGCTGGAGAAATAATGTTCAACAGTCCGTCCACCCCTCTGAGGGTAGAGATTGTATCTTTACATCTGGCTGCAGATTCAGAGATGAGGTTGTATCCTGGGTCGCAGTAGAGGACTGAATGCTGAGCAAATGGACATTGAGGGCTCATAAGATGGTTCCCTGTGGCCAAGCTTGGCGGCAAGGGAGAGGAGCTGCCTGCGTGGAAATGGGCCAAACTGGCCAGGCCAGGAAATGAGACAGAGTCACAGGGGAACAACATACAGTGATGGATAAAAATCCAGGGTGAAGTTTGAATCACTGCAAAGATAGGCAGTTAATGGCTCAGCATCCTCTCTATAGGACACCCATAACCCTGTCATTTGCAACAACATGGATGGAACTGGAAGTCATTACATTAAGGGAAGTAAGCCAGGCATAGAAAGCAAACATTGCACATTCTCGCTTACCTGTGGGAGCTAAACAGGAAAACAAATGAACTCATGGAGACAGTAGAAGGACGGTTACCAGAGGCTGGAAAGTGTTGCAGGGAGTTGGAGGAGAAGTGGGGATGGTTAATGGGTACAAAAAAGTAGTAAGAGTGAATGAATAAGGCCTAGTATTTCCTAGCACAATAGGATGACTATCTTCAAAAATAATGTAACCATACACCTAAAATAACTACAATAGTATAAATGGATTGTTTGTAACACAAAGGATAAATGTTTGAGGTGATGGACACCCCATTTACCCTGATGTGATTCTAACGCATTGCATGCCTGTATCAAAATATCTCATGTAACCCATAAATGTATATACCTACTATGTACCCACAAAAATTAAAAATAATTTAAAAAGAACTTCAGAGAACAAACAACAAAAAGACCGGTATGGCTGGAGCAGACTGAGACAGGAGGTTTGAGGCGAAAGGCTCACAGGAATTCCTGTGGGGCCCTGTAGGCAATTGCCAGGACTTTTTTTTTTTTTTTGAGACGGAGTCTCACTCTGTCTCCCAGGCTGGAGTGCAGTGGCACGATCTCGGCTCACTGCAACCTGTGCCTCCCAGGTTCATGCCATTCTCCTGCCTCAGCCTCCAGAGTAGCTGGGACTACAGGCGCCCACCAGAGTAGCTGGGACTACAGGCGCCACCACGCCTGACTAATTTTTGTATTTTTAGTAGAGACAGGGTTTCGCCGTGTTAGTCAGGATGGTCTCAATCTTCAGACCTCGTGATCCGCCCGCCTTGGCCTCCCAAAGTGTTGGGATTACAGGCGTGAGCCATCCCACCCGGCAATCGTCAGGACTTTGGCTTGGACTGTGAGTGAGATAGGGAGTTGCAGGAAGCTTTTTCGAAAAACCACCTTTGGGCCAGGTGCAGTGGCTCCCACCTATAATCCCAGCACTTTGGGAGGCCAAAGCAGGCAGATCACTTAAGGTCAGGAATTTGAGACCAACCTGGCCAACATGTTGAAACCCCATCTCTACCAAAAAAATACAAAAATTAGCCAGGCATGGTGGTGCATGCCTATATTCCCCGCTACTCGGGAGGTTGAGGTGGGAGGATCGCTTGAACCCGGGAGGTGGAGGTTGCAGTGAGCCAAGATTGCGCCACTGCACTCCAGCCTGGGCGACAGAGCAAGAGCCTGTCTCCAAAAACAAACAAAAAAACCCAAAAAACTTCTTTTGGCAGTGTACAATTATTATTACTATTTTTTGTAGTAAATTTACAGAGATCTGCAGTCATGACCACAATCCAAATTTAGAACAATTCTATGACTTCAAAGGGATGCCTTAGAGCCGTTCCCTGGAACCACTCCTCTGTTCTCTCTGTATCTACTGGAGGGTTCTAAGCAGAAAAGAAACAAAGTCTGACTTATATTATTATCACTATTGCACCTTTTCTGTTAAAACATCATAATCCCAGCACTTTGGGAGGCCGAGGCGGGCGGATCACGAGGTCAGGAGATCGAGACCGTCCTGGCTAACACGGTGAAACCCCGTCTCTACTAAAAAATACAAAAAATTAGCCGGGCATGGTGGTGGGCGCCTGTAGTCCCAGCTACTCGGGAGCCTGAGGCAGGAGAATGGCGCAAACCCGGGAGGTAGAGCTTGGGGTGAGCCAAGATCGCGCCACTGCACTCCAGCCTGGGCCACAGAGGGAGACTCCGTCTCAAAACAAACAAACAAACAAAAAAAAAAACCCGTCATAATCTTCCTGTTGCTTTTTCCGATTAGATGGCGACTTGAATTTTTAGGGAATACATCCACCAGTTTGGGCACACCCACCAGGCACGACAGTTGAGGTCTGATCTTCCAGCCACTGTGAGTACTGAGAAAACTTGGCAGGGGGCCACTCTCACTGGCTCAATGCACCCTGACCACTGGAAGCCACTGTGTCAGCTGCTGGGTTCTGGCTCTGCCCACTCTTGGCTGCATTTGGGGCTGAAGTTCCCTGTGGGAGGCTGTTTTCTGAGGGAGCTGAGTGTTTACAGCCACTCAGCCCTGCTCTGCTCAGCTGAAGCAGAAAACAGAGACCTTTTGCATTACTTTGGTTCAAGAGCAAGGTAATTTGGAAAGAAATTTTTCAGACGAAGGTATCAGCTGCCTCTGAGGCCTTTGCTGATTAAATCAAGAAGTGACATCTGAAATGGTGTCGGGGAATGGGAAGGAGGCCTGGGGATTCTAAATTATCAGCTGTTTAGGTGGCTGAGGAATCCAGGGGTGGGAGACTGAGGAAAAGGACTGGGGCAGAGCTCAGTTCAGGAGAGGTGAGGGGCGGGAGAGGTGAGGGGCGGGAGAGGTGAGGGGCGGGAGAGGTGAGGGGCGGGAGAGGTGGGTCAGAGAAAGGAAGTCTCTGAGGCTGCAGGCCTAGGCCTGGTGGCCACTGCAGAGGCTGGGGCCTATGTTTTTCCAGGAAGTGAAACCTGAAAGTCACTTTTCCCCTTTAAGCCTCATTTTCTTTATCTTTAAATGGAGAAAATAACATTTACAGCATAGAGTTGTTATAAAGATTTCATGAAATAATGCCTCTAAGCACTCTTAAAATGCTTGGTACACAGTAGGCCTTCAATAGACTGAAGCTGTTATGGTTTTTCTTGTTGTGCCACGTTATTATTGTTGGTTGTTATTACCATATTTTGTTATTATTATTACTAAGAGGAATTTAATGCAAGGAAACTGAAACTGAGGTCACACGCAGCTCCCGGGCCAGTGCCTCTCAAACTTTAACATGCATATGACTCATCTGAAGATCCCGTTAACTTGCAGATTCTAATTCTACATATGTAGGGTGGGGTCCCATCTGCTGGTCCCAAGATCACACTTTGAGTAGCAAGACACTAAAACTGGGCTGGGCACAGTGGCTCACATCTGTAATCCCAGCACTTGGGAGGCCGAGTTGGGAGGATCACTTGAGGCCAGGGGTTCAAGCCCTGCCTGGGCAACATAGTGAGATCCTGTTTCTACAAAAAAACTTTTTAAAAGTTAGCCACACATGGTGGCTAGTGCCTGTAGTCCCAGCTACTAGGAAGCCTGGGGTGGAAGGACTGCTTGAGTTTGAGGCTGCAGTGAGCTATGATGGCACCACCGTACTCTAGCCTGGGCAGCAGAGTGAGACTCTGTCTCAAAAACAACAATAATAAAAATTTTAAAAATAATAAAATTAAATAAAAAAATTAAAAAGACACTAAAAGCCCATCATGCCATACAGCAGCCACTTGTGGCTTTTGAGCACTTGAAGTGTGGCTAGTCCAAATTGACATGTGTTTGTAAGGGTAAAGTCTATTTCAGATTGTGAGGACTTAGTACCAAAAAAAACAAAAAATAAATAAAAGTATGTAAAATATCTCTTTAACAATTTATTCTTCTATTGACTAGGAATTGAAATGGTCATACTTTGGCTCTATCTGGTTAAATAAAATGTTTTATTATAATAAATCTCACCTGCTTCTACTTTTCTTAATGGAAGTACTAGAACATTGTAAATTGCACAGGTGGCTCACGTTCTATTTCTGTTGGACAGTGCTGCCCTAGAGCTGTCTTCAGCTTTGCAAGGTCAGTTCAGGATTGGCCAAAGCCTTTTTGAGGGATTCCTTTTGAAGTATTGAGGTTTGAGAAGTGGGATCTGAGTTCTGACCTCAGACCCAGATACCCACAAGTCAGTGAGAGGTCAAAAGGACAGACCTCGGGGTCAGAGGAGAGAAATGACCATCACACAGCAGAACTGAGACTGAAGGTGGAGAGTTTATTCTACAAGTCAGTAAGGATCACAGTCACCATCAGCACTAACCACAGGTTTCTCCTAACCTATGTGTTGTCCCCAAAGCCCAGAATTTATGACAATGCCCTCTTTCCTCTCTTTGGTGACAGACAGGAGGCGACTGCATGAGACCATGGCTGAGACACCTAGTCCTCCAGGCACTGAGGAACTCCAGGGCATTCTGTGGGTCTCATGGGAAGCCAGCACCTCTACCTGTTCCTCAGAAGATCGTGGCCACCTGGGAAGCCATCAGCCTGGGAAGGCAGCTGGTGCCTGAGTACTTCAACTTCGCCCATGATGTGCTGGATGTGTGGAGTCGGCTGGAAGAGGTGAAGCCTGTTCTGTCCTAGAGTCCATCTGGGGCATCTGAGGCTGCCCTCATGTACCACAATGAGACTCAAGGCTCCAAGCATGTTGATGAGGAAATTTGGACCTGGGAATTTTGCTAGTTCTAAAATGTAAACTGTTGGCATTTGAGACTTAGGAAAAAATTCTGAGTCAGTGTTGTGAGCCTTAGACATGCTTGTTCCTTCTCTGAAGTGTCCTGCATTCTTGAGCCCAAATCACACAGTGAGACAGTTATGTCCCTTCCGATTCCCTTCCAGTTGTTCATCAACTGAAGGAGGAAGTTTTGTTTTGCTGCTACTCTGTCTTTGATGTTTTTCTCTCACTGTCACGCCCTTCTCTTCTAAATAAGGAAAGAAGGCCGGGCGCGGTGGCTCATGACCATAATCCCAGCACTTTGGGACACCGAGAAGGGCAGATCACCTGAGGTCAGGAGTTCGAGACCACCCTCACCAACATGGTGAAACTCCGTCTCTACTAAAAATAAAATAAAAAAAAATTACCCAGGCATGGTGGCGCACACCTGTAGTCCCAGCTACTTTGGAGGCTGAAGCATGAGAATTGCTTGAACTCGGGAGGCAGAGGTTGCAGTGAGCCAAGATCATGCCACTGCACTCCAGCCTAGACAACAGAGTGAGACTCCACCTCAAAAAATAAAATAAAATACAACAAAACAAAATAAAATAAGGAAAGAATAGGGCTCAGGCTCAAAGCTTTTTGCAGATCATAACAGATACATAGAATTGAATAAGATAACCCTGATTTCTTTGTGTGTCTCTGTGCATCTGCTTTCTTCTTTATTTTCCCTTATATCTGTGTCTGTTGGGTCTCTCTATTTCATGGTTACCTTTTATTTGTGTTACATGATACTAACTTTTCATTTATAAGAGGAAGACATACTTCTAAAACTGTATTTCAACCAATGTGAAGCTTAACCAATGAGAAAAGCCTTTTCCCTAGGGGTTTTTGTCCAAAACAATTACGGACAAATGTTTAACTTCATTGTTGCCTAAGGTGGTGGATAACAGTAGGCACAAACAATAGATTCACCAAAAAGTGAAAAAAGAAAAGCTGGAGAATACAAAACTGGAAATATAAAATTTAATTCAAAGAATTGTATTCATGTTAATTATAAGAAGAGATTGTTTAAAGAAAAAATATGAAGTAAATGGCATTGTTAGTAGATACAATAAAATTAACTGTCAGCAGATGTAGTGAAACTTATGAAGGTGGTATGAGGATGACTGAGACTTAAAAGCAGGATTTGCAGTCAGATAGACATTGTTCATCCGTGTACTTGAAGTGTGACCTTGGACAAGTGCCCTAAGTTCTTTAGATCTCAACTTTCTCATCTGTAAAATGGTAGTCAGACCATATGCTACTTAGAGTAATAGTGAGAATTAAATGAGAATTGCATGTAAGACATGAAGCCAGGATGCTCCATTCCTGATGGCCTGCAAAAATCTAAGTTCTTTTTGCAATACTAGGGGTATCCTTAGAAGACTTCTCCTAATGATAAAAACAAGCAAGCAGGATTAAGTCAGGAAAAAAAATGGTAGAATAAGGACTTTCCAGCTATGTGGTAGCCTTGAAAAATAACAGCCCCCATTTCTGGTGCATCACGGCAACCATTAGATGGGCCAGAATGGAGTTGGAGTTTTTTCAAAGCTTCACTTATGAAGAACTGTTGTTATTTGAGCTGCCCATTGGTTCTTTGGAAGACCCTACTTGTAAAACTGTATTTGAATCAACTTGAAGCTCAACCAATGAGAAAAGCCTTTTCCCTGGGGGTTTTTGTCCAAAACAATCACAGACAAATGTTTTAGCTTCATTGTTGCCTAAGGTGATGGATAACAGTGGGACAAACAATAGATTCACCAAAGAGTGAAAAAAGAAAAGCTGGAGAATCCAATGTCTATGGGAGCTTTAAAAAATTCTATTGTATTCCTGGAAATCTAGAAATCAACACACCTAAGTAAGGCTGTGTGCTTTCCTAGGGCTTTGCACACGCTTAGAAAAGATCTGAGGAAACTCTAAGCTCGCACTTCTGGCAGACTGAGAGTTGGAGCATGCAGGAAATTAACACTAAGGCAGGATTGTTAATTGCCTGGCTGAGTGCTAAAGGTGTGCCCCAACACCCACCCAAAGACTGGGAGATTTATTGGTTTCAGGCATTTAAAGATATTTCTGTCTAATCATAAGATGACTACTAAGCTAACCAAGTAGATATCTCAGTGGCCACACAGAACAAATAATGCAGACTTCACAGAAATGGTTCACAAAAATCACTAAACAAATGACAACAAGCAGCAACAGCAAACCAAACTCTGGGGAGTTGTGGGGAATGGGTGGGGGTGGATCTGATTTCCTGAGTAATCACATGATGTAATTTTAAATTTATAGTTTTCAACAAAAATTTACAAGATACGCAAAGAAACTAGAAAGAGCATGGCAATGGTTATCAAAATAATGCACCCCTTCCCCAAGATTTTTATACCTTAATCCCTGAAACCTGTGAGTATGTTATCTTACATGGCAAGAGACTTTGCAAACATGATTATACTAAAGATATTCATATGAAGAGATTATTCTGGATTATCTGGATGAGCCTAATATAATCATAAGGTACCCTATGAGAAGGCAGGAGGGTCAGAGTCAGAGAAGGAGATGTGACAATGAAAACAGAGGTGGGAGTGATGTGGGGCCACGATCCAAGGAATGTGAATTGCCTCTGAAAACTAGAAAATGCAAGGACACAGGTTCTCCACTAAAGCATCCAGTAGGAAAACAATTCTTCTGACACCTTGATGTTAGTCCACTAAGACTGATTTTGAACTGTTTATCTCCAGAACTATAAGGCTGTATATTTGTGTTGTTTTATGCAATTAAGTTTGTGATAATTTATTACAGCAGCAATAGATGGGATTATTCAAAACCAATACAGATTTTGGCACCAAGAGTAGTAATGAGAGCTGTAATAAATACCAAAGGATGTGAAAGTAGGTTTGGAATTAGGTGATGGGTAGAGGCTGGAAGAATTTTGAGGAGCACGGAAAAAAGCCTAGATTGCCTTGAGCAGACTGTTAGTAGAAATGCAGATATTAATGATTTTGCTAGCGACACCTCAAAAAGAAAGGAGGAGTATGACAGATGAGACTGTATTGTTTTAAAGAATCATGAAGACTGTTAGTAGAAATATGAACATTAAAGGCACAGATGATAAAAACTCAGAAGGAAATGAAAAATGTAATATCAGAAACTGAAGGAAAGTGGATCCTTATTATATAGTGGCAGAAATTTTGGCTGAATGGTGTCCTAGAGCTAGATGGATAGAATAACTTATAAGGGATAAGCTTGGATATTTAGCTAAGGAGATTTCCCAGCCAAGTGTTGAAGATGTGGACTGATTTCTTCTTGCTGGTTATATTACAATGCTGAAGGAAAGAAATAGACAGAGGAAAGAATTGTTAAGCAAAAATAGAGCCAGAACCTGGTGGTTTGAACAATTCTCAGCCTTCCTATATTATAAAAGACATTAAAGTTAGGATATTCACTGTCAGAAAAGTATGCTGCAAAGGGAAATCCAAGAGTGTGGTTGGACAATCTTTTGCTAGCAATTCGAGTATCAAAAAGTCACAGAGAGCTTTTTGAAGAGATTAGACAAAGTTCCTCAGTTCCTTCAGCCATGGAGGCAGAAACCAGCAATAGAGATGGGATTATCTGGAAAAGATCTGTGGAGGAGCCACTTCCCTAATGGGGTGAATCACTGAGACATACATGAGAGAACCACTAGTTTCTTGAGAATGTTTTATCAGCAGAAATACTGCCATCTTGTACTGGACAGAGAGAGGAAAATATAGAAGAAGGCTGTTGGACTCCCCAAATTCTACAGGCAGGAAACAGGTGGTTAAATCTACTTAGCTACAAACATGTGTTACCCTTCTTGTAAAAGAAGAGATGATTTAGGGCAGAGTTGTTAGTCAAGAATGTGGAATTGGGAGCCCAGAGGGTGGAGCTGAGCAACTAGAAAGCAAAGCCACAATCACAGATGATTAAGGGCTTTGAAACCTAATAGAGTTTTCTCAGTTGGATTCAGAGTTGCTTGGGATTGGTGACTCATTGTTTTCCTTTTATTTTAATTCATTGTTTGAATGGATATGTCTCTGACTATTATGGTATCCCTACTTCATCATTGTATTTTAAGAGCAGATAACTTAATACTCAATACTCGAGTAAGGAGCAATAAAAAATGAAGTTAAGAAATGATTTCATTTACTAATAGCGTCAAAAAGAACGAAATACATATAAATAAATTTAACCAAAGAAGTATAAGGGTTGTACATGGAAAATGACAAAACATTACTGAAATAAACTGGAAAAGATGTAAACAAATAGAAATACACCCCATGCTCATGGATTAAAAGAATTAATATTGTTAAGATGAAAATACACCCCAAATTGAGCTGCACATTTAATGCAAACTTTATCAAAATCCTAGGAGACTTGTTTACAGAAATAGACAACCTGATTCAAAAACTCGTATGGAAATGCAAGGGACCCACAGGGACCAAAACAGCCTTGAAAAAAAAAAAAAAAGAAGACTCACACTTTTCTATTTCAAGTCTACTGCAAAGTTACAGTAACCAAGACAGTGTGGCACTAGCATAAGGATAGACTTGGATAAATAGGTATGAATTCAGAGTCTAGAAATAAATCCACAAATCTATCATCAATTGATTTTCAACAAGGGTACCAAGACAATTAAATGGGTGAAATAATTGTCTTTCCAACTAATGATGCTGGCACAACTGTGTGTTCACATGCAAAAGAATTAATTGAGTCTCCTACCTGACCCTAAATACAAAAATTAACTCAAAATGTATCAAAGACCTAAATGAAGAAACATAAAGTACAAGAAAATTTTTAGAAGAAAACATAGGAGTATATTTTTGTGACCTCTGATTGGGCAATGGTTTCTAAAGCAAAAGCAACAAAATAAAAAATAGATTAATTGGACTTCATGAAAATTAATAGTATTTATATATCAAAGTAAAAAGCTCACAGAATAGGAGAAAATATCTGAAAAATCACATATTGGTTAAGGGTCTAGTATCTATCATGCATAAAGAACTCAAACTAGACAGTGAAAAAGACAAATAACCCAATTAAAGTATGGGCTAAGAATCTGAAGAGACATTTCTTCAAGGAATATAAACAAATGGCCAATAGACACATGAAAAGATGCTTAACATCTTTATTCATTAGGGAAATGCAAATCCTAGCCACAAGGAGATACCACTTCATAACCAGTGGCATGGCAAAAAAAAAAAAAAAAGGTACAATAACAAACGTTGGAGATGATGCAGAGAATTAGAACCCTCAGACATGGCTGGATGGAAATGTAAAATGGTGCAGTGCTGTGGAAAACAGTTTGGCAGTTCCTCCGAAAGTTAACATAGAGTTATTATAATACTGACCCAGGAATTGTACTCCTAAGTAGATATCCAAGACAATAGAAAACATGTGCTCACAGAAAAACTTGTACATAAATCCTCATAGCAGTGTTATTTATAATAGCCAAAAAGTGGAACCAACCCTAATGTCTATGAACTGGTGAATGGATAAACAAAATGTGGTCTATCCATACAGTGGAATATTATTCAGCCATCAAAATAATGTAATGCCAATTCATGCTATGACATAGATAAATCTTGAAAGCATTGTACAAAGTGAAAGAAACCAAACATAAAGCTACATATCATATGATTCCATTCATATGAAATATCCAGAAGATGCAAATCCATAGAGACAGAAAGCAGATAAGTGATAACCAGGAGCTGGAGGAGGAGGGAATGGGAAGGGACAGCTAATTTGCACAATGTTTCTTTTTAGGGCAATAAAAATGTTTTGGAATTAGAGAATGGTGATGGTTACACAACCTTGTGAACATACTAAGAACCAGTGAGTTGTGCACTTTAAAATGGTGATTTTTATGGTACCTGAATTATATTTCAATAAAAAAGGGAAAAACAGAAAACAGTGTTAATCATGTGCTACCTTTTGCATTAAAAAGATAGTAGAAAAAAATATATGCTTGTGTTTGCCTAAAGAAACTATGGAAGGATATGCAAAAAACTAATAAAATTGGTTACTTATGAGGCAGAGGAAGTGGAAAACAGGGCAGGTAGGTATAAGGAGGGGAGCAAGCCTTTTCAATGCATGTCTTTCCATATTGCTTTGCTTTTTGAACCCTGTGAATTTTATATTAACTATTATAAAACATTAAACAGCAACAAGCAAACAAAAATTCTCAATAAATTGCTTCTTTTTTTTTCTGCCTGTACCACCATCTAGGCTGGACACCGCCCCCCAAATCCTGCCTTCTGGTGGGTCAATGGCACAGGAGCAGAGATCAAGTGGAGCTTTGAGGAGCTGGGGAAGCAGTCCAGGAAGGCAGCCAATGTGCTGGGGGGTGCATGCGGCCTGCAGCCTGGGGACAGAATGATGCTGGTACTCCCACGGCTCCCGGAGTGGTGGCTGGTCAGTGTGGCTTGCATGCGGACAGGTCAGTAAGCAGGGCTGGGAATTTTAGTTGGGGGCAGACACAACTTGCCAGAGCTTTGCAGTGTCCACAGGGTCTTGAAGATGGAGCAAAAATAAACTGTATGTGGAGTTGTGTTTACTTCCTATTTGCCTAACAATCACAGACTTGATTGTATAGTAGGGGCCAGACAATGATGTAATTGATAAAAGCAGGCCAGTGCAAGGCAGTAGGGAGTTGTGAGGACTGCGGCAAACTGGAGATCACATGCTTTATCAAATGGGGTCGCTGCTTCTCAACTCGAACCAAATGTTCCCACGACAGAATGAATACCAGTGTTATCAGAACTTCTGATTTGTAATTGAAAACTCTGGATTTTTATGAAAAATCCCCCTGTCTTTTAATGTTGGCATCTATCATTTTAAAAAGTCCTGACTGGGACAAATCAAGCATATTTTCTGCTGGTTGTGGTTTGGGAGCCTTGCTTTAGTTGCTAGAATTTTACCCGAACGATGCAGTTATAGATGAGGGACCCTTATAACCAATCTATGTTAGTTTCACTCTTAGACTTTATGATTCTCATTATCACAGCATCATCCAGCTCCCAAAGGAAGGAAGATAAAGATGAAATAAAAGAACCAGTGATATTATCCCTTGCAGGAGGTTAGGGGGACAGGTCCTCCTGTTGTCATGAATGTCCAGGGCAGTGAAACATTATCTTCTTAGAATGGTTCCTTCAGCAGAGAAACAGAGGAGGAAAGAGGCCACAGTGAGCCTAGCAAGCCTCCACTGATGCTGAGTGAATAAGTGATCATGCACTTATTCAGACGGCTAGGGTTTTTAGGCTGTTATTATTATTATTGTTACGTCTTCCAGCTCATGCATTCCAACCCTCCCCAGCCCCTTCCTGCCTTCATCTCTTACCTCTATACCCAAGGCCTTCCCCGCTATCCACTCAACATCCCCTTCTGTTTTATGCCAGGGACTGTGATGATTCCGGGTGTGACTCAGCTGACAGAGAAGGACCTCAAGTACCGGCTGCAGGCGTCCAGGGCCAAGTCCATTATCACCAGTGACTCCCTAGCTCCAAGGGTGGATGCCATCAGTGCCGAATGCCCCTCCCTCCAGACCAAGCTGCTGGTGTCAGACAGCAGTCGGCCAGGCTGGTTGAACTTCAGGGAACTCCTCCGGTGAATTGGGGCTCTCCAGAACAGCAGAAAAATGAAGTCATTTCCCCTTTAAGCAACAAAAGATGAAATGCATTGCTGATTCCACACATAGAGAGCGAATCAGAGAGGAGCACTCCCATTGGCAGCCAGGCTGACCTGAGCATAATCCTGGTCCCTACCTTAATGTTCAAGGTCCCTCATTCAGTCAGTGCTGGATTTGTCAGCAGCTTTTCTGTGCTTCATTTGCTTCTATAATGCGGTGGTAGTTATTAGAGCTACCATTCAGAGTACATGAAATAACCAATATGGTGCATTTAGCACATAGCAGGTGGTCAGTTAATAATAAACTAGTGGCCATGTATTGGGTACTTAGTGTATCGCTAGATACTGTGCTATGTAAGCCTTCACCTTCATTCATTCATGCAGCGAAGATTTAATGAACATCTATTTCACGACAAGCATTGTGTTTGGTGTTCAGAACACCATAATGGATCAAACATCACCTTATTTAATCCCTGAACAGGACATTGTGATGGGCCCTTTAACCCAGTTTTACAGATGAGGAAACTGAGACTTGGAAAACTAAAGTGACTTGCCCAAGGTGCTAAAAAGTAGTCAAGTCAGGAGTGGGCAGAGCCGAGAGCAGATGTGCCTTGGAGCAAGGGCCTGGTGGAAACCCATCTCAGAATTTGAGACTTTGTCCTGATTGGAAGCCAGAACCCAAAAGGAGCCTCTCAGGGGCCTGAACCATTGAGTTATGAATGCTCACCCCACAGACCAGCTGCATCAGATTCACCTGGCTGCTGTTTTGAATACAGATGACAAGGCCTCACATCTGACCTACTTAACCAGACACAGCTGAGCAAGAGCCCTGGGGATCTTTTTTAAAAAAATCAGCCCATAGGGCCAGGCGCCATGGCTCACGCCTGTAATCCCAGCACTTTTGGAGGCTGAGGCAGGCAGATCACCCGAGGTCGGGAGTTTGAGACCAGCCTGACCAGCATGGAGAAACCCCGTCTCTACTAAAAATACAAAATTAGCTGGGCGTGGTGGCGCACGCCTATATTCCCAGCTATTTGGGAGGCTGAGGCAGGAGAATCACTTGAACCCGGGAGGCAGAGGTTGCAGTGAGCCAAGATCCCGCCATTGCACTCCAGCCTGGGCAACAAAAGCGAAACACCATCTCAAAAACAAAACAAAAAAAAATCGGCTCATATGATTTTGAGAGCTGTCAGGTGGGCCTAGATCAGTGGTTCTCAATTTTGGCTGTTACTAGAATTACTGAGAAGCATTTAAGAAAACATTAAAGATTCTGATTTTATTTTGTTCAGGGTGGATACAGACAAGTTTCTTCCAAAAATTTACCAGGGGACTTCACAGTGCAGCCAGGGATGAGAGCCCGTGGATTAGCTGATCATCCAGATCACAGAACTTTGGGAATTACCTAGATCTCAAAACCCCATATTGGGGGAAACCTTTAGAAAAGAGTTCTAAATTATTAGAAATTGGGATGGGGGTGGAAGCTGTGCCTAAATGTGCAGAATTATAGACATGGACATGTGTGTGTTCTACCAGAAAGTCCTCATACCTTGGTAAGAAAGCATGGACTCTTTTGCGTGAATTATTTATCTATTTTGAGCCTCAGTTTCCTGGTCTGCAAAAGGGTTATAATGATAGTACCTACCCCATGAGGTGGTTGCAGATTACCCAAGCCAGAGCTTTCAGCACAGCACCTCACATGTGGTATTTATGAAACGGTAGTCATATTGTTGTTACACATATTATTGGTGCTACTAACTGTTTTTACCGTGGTAGTGCCACCTAGTGTATTTACGTTTTACAGGGAGGCTTCTACAGAGCACAACTGCATGAGGACAAAGAGTCGAGACCCGCTGGCCATCTACTTTACCAGCGGAACCACCGGGGCCCCCAAGATGGTCGAGCACTCCCAGAGCAGCTACGGACTGGGTTTTGTGGCCAGCGGAAGGTACCAGAGCAGCTTGTCTAGAGGATCCAAGAACAGAAAGTGGGGAGTGGTCTGGAGGGGGTGGTGTGAGGGGAAAGGTGTCAGGAACGGAGGTCAGAGAGCCAACAGAATTACTGAGAAGCCAATAGGAGCAGCTTAGGAAGGATCTTGATGGTTCTGGATTTTACTCTGAGTGAGGTGAAAAGCCATGGGAGGTTTCTTTTTAAATCGTGGCTATATATATATATATATATATATATATATATATATATATATACACACACACATATATATACATACATACACATATAAACATATATATACATATATCATAAATGTACCCTTTTAACCATTTTAAGTGTACAGTTTAATGTCATTAAATACATTCACATTGTTGTGCAACCACAATCACCATCCATTTCCAGAATTTACTTTATCTTTCCAAATGAGAACTGTGCCCCCATTACCCAATAACACCCCATTACCCTCTCCCCTCACCCCTGGTAACCTCTATTTTACTTTTCATCTCTGTGAATTTGATACTCTAGGTATTTCGTGTAACTGGCATCATGCAGTCTGTCCTTTTGTTTTGCAATTTGGCTTCTTTCACTTAGCATAATGTCCTCAAGGTTCATCCGTGTCATAGCATGTGTCAAAATTTCCTTCCCTTTTAAGACTGAAAAATATTCCATTGTATGGATAGACCACATTTTATTTATTTTTATTTTTTATTTTATTTTTATTTTTTTGAGACAGAGTTTTGCTCTTTTGCCCAGGCTGGTGTGCAGTGGTGCGATCTCCACTCACTGCAACCTCTGCCTTCCAGTTTCAAGCAATTCTCCTGCCTCAGCCTCCCAGATAGCTGGGGTTACAGGTGCCCGCCACCACACCCAGCTAATTTTTGTATTTTTAGTAGAGACCGGGTTTCACCATGTTGGCCAGGCTGGTCTCGAACTCCTGACCTCATGATCCTCACGCCTTGGCCTCTCAAAGTGCTGGGATTACAGGCATGAGCCACTGCACCTGGCCTCGACCACATTTTAAATAATCCATTCACCTGTTGATAGACACTTGGGTAGCTTCCACATTTTGGCTATTGTCAATAATGTTGCTATAAACACTGGCATGTGAGTATCTGTTAGAGTCTCTGCTTTTACTTCTTTTGGATATACATGCAGAAATGAAATTGCTGGATCATATGGTAATTCTATGTTTAATTTTTTTTGAGAAGCATTGGGTATTTTGAGCAGAGGAGTGACATAATCTAATATGTTTTTTAAAGGCTCACTCAGGATGTTGGGTTGACAATGTAACTGTAGGGGAAACAGGTAAAGAAGATGACCAGTGCATTAAGAGGCAAGCATGGTAGCTTGCCCGGGGAGCAGTAGTGGGAGAAGAGATGAGATTCTGAATGTATTTTCAACCTAGACCCAATAAGGCTTGCTGACAGAATCAGTGTGGAATGAGAAGGAGGAGTCAAGGAGAGCTCTAAGAGGAATGGCCTGAACAACTGGAAGCACTAAATGATGGGGGAAGAACTGTGGGATGAGCTGTCTGGTGGCAAGAAAACAGTTTGTTTATGGAGTTGTCAATTTGAGAGTCTTCTTAGAAATCTCCATCTCCTTGTTAAAAGTGGAGATGTTGAGTGGGCATTTGGATACACATGTCTGAAGTTAATGAGAAAGATTCATGCTGAACTTATCAGTGTAAAGATGGTATTTCATACCATGAGATGGGATGAGATCAGCAAAGTGTAATATAAACTGAAAAGAGAATGGGTCTCAGGACTGAGTGCCCGAGGCATTTCTGCACTGAAGGGGAAGACCAGGAGGACTCAGCAGAGGAGACTGAGAAGGGAACAGCCAATGAAATGGGGAGAACCAGGAGTGCGCGTGTCCCAGGATTCAAGTGCATGACCGCTTTTTATGTCTTCCATGTTTGCAGACACTGTTTCCCATTCCTGGGATGCTCCTGCTTCTCTGCCTCACCTATATAATCCCTATTTATTCTTTATGTCTAACTCAAGTGTCACTTCCTCTACCAGAGCATTTCTCAGAAACCCATGTCCATCATTGCTCTGGGTTAGGTGCCTATTCTCTATAATTGCACAAGGCTTTGTGTTTAGCTCTATTAAAACATGCTCTCCAGGGGCTTCCTATAAGGCCCTCAAAGCAAGACTAATCGTTCATTTCTAGATCCCTAGTGCTAAGTCCAGACTAAATGCTAAATAAATGTTGGCTAAATAAAGTGACCTTAGCACAGAGTATTGAGGTTAATTTTTTCCCCTTATATATCACATCCACTGGACTGTGAACTTTCTGGAAACTCTTTTTGCTTCTGTATTCTTAGCCTAGGGCATAGGTACATGGAAGATGCTGGTTGAGACAATAGTTGACTTGATGGTCTTGTTCAGGTTTCACAAGTATAAGTGAGTACCCACTGAGCAGGGCTCCAAATGTGGTGATATAGATAATACAATCCTTTTTAAAGGTAGAGTCATTGCCAAGGTTACTGACGTTCTCTAATTTTTGGCAGACGGTGGGTGGCCTTGACCGAATCTGACATCTTCTGGAACACGACTGACACTGGCTGGGTGAAGGCAGCCTGGACTCTCTTCTCTGCCTGGCCTAATGGATCTTGCATTTTTGTGCATGAGCTGCCCCGAGTTGATGCCAAAGTTATCCTGAATGTAAGAGGAAAAACCAACAATACCCCATATGTGTTGGGTACAAATGAGATGAGTGGGATATAGATTTCAGACTGCAGGAGAAAACACATAAATCAGTGAATTTAAGGCTTCTTTGGTGTGGCTCCCTGGCCTTCCATAATCTGGTTCCTGACCACCTGGTTCCCTTCAATCATTGCCTATGCTCTAGCTACATTCCTAGATGTAAGACCATTTTGTTGCTATTTCTTTTGCATGGGGTGCCCTTGTTTCCACCACTTTCTTCCCTATGCTCCTGCCAAAACCCTAGGTATTTGTCAAACCCTTAGGCAAAATCAGTCTATGCCTCAACTCCAAATGCTACTGTCCATGGTTCTTAACATGAGTAGTTGGCCCAACTAGAGAGTCCTGGTGACTCCTGCTCAGCCTCTCAGGGTCTTCTCATGGGGAGGGAGGAGATTGGTGGCCCCAGTCAAGACACAGGTCACCTTTCTTCCACCCCCCACATCCTGTCATTCCTTAAAATGTCAGAGGACACTTCTGCTCATATTATTTGTACTGAGATAAGCTGTATCACATGGTAGCTAACTGCATAGGCTGTGCCATCAGTCAAAGAGTCAGACCTGGACTCTGATCCTACACCTTTGATTCGCTAGCTGTGTGGCCTTGGGGAAGCTGCTTAATCTCCTGAGCTGCAGTTTCAGCCTCATCTGTAAGAAAGGGATACATTTCTCTATAGATTTGCTGCGAGAATGAAATGATACAAGGCAAAGGGGCCAGCACATCATAGGTTCTTTTTTGAAATAATTTTTAATTTTTGTGGATACATAGTAGGTGTATATATTTATGGGGTACATGAGATGTTTTGATGTAGGCATGCAATGCGTGAAAATCACATCATAGAGAATGGGGTATCCATACCCTCAAAGCATTTATCTTTTGTGTTACAATCTAATTATACTCTTTCAGTTATTTTAAAATGTACAATTAAGTTTTTATTGACTATAGTCACCCTGATGTGCTTTAAAATAACAGGTCTTATTCATTCATTCTATTATTTTGGTACCAACTAACCATCCCCACCTTTCTCCCAGCCCCCGACTACCCTTCCCAGCCTCTGGTAATCATCCTTCTAATCTCTATTTCCATGAGTTCAATTGTTTTGACTTTTAAATCTCACAAATAAGTGAGAATATGTGAAGTTAGTCTTTATGTGCCTGGCTTATTTCACTTAACATAATGATCTCCAGTTCCATCCATGTTGCAGCAAATGACAGGACCTCATTCTTTTTTATGGATCCATTGTGTATATGTACATCTTCTTTTTCCATTCATCTGTTGATGGACACTTAGGTTGCTTCAAAACATAGTAGATTCTTTTTTTAAAAAAAAATTATTTTCATAGGTTATTGGGGAACAGGTGGTGTTTGATTACATGAGTAAGTTCTTTAGTGGTGATTGTAAGATTTTGGTGCACCCATCACCTGAGCAGTATACACTGCACCCAATTTGTAGTCTTTTATCCCTCACCCCCTTCCCACCATTTTCCCCAAGTCCCCAAAGTCCATTGTGCCATTCTTACACCTTTGCATCCTCATAGCTTAGCTCCCACTTATGAGGGAGAACATAAAATATTTGGTTTTCCATTTCTGAGTTACTTTACTTAGAATAATAGTCTACAATCTCATCCAGGTCCCTGCGAATGCCATTAATTCATTCCTTTTTATGGCTGAGTTGTATTCCATTATATATATTTATATACCACACTTTCTTTGCCCACCTGTTGATTTATGGGCATTTGGGTTTGTTCCACATTTTTGCAATTGCAAACTGTGCTGCTATAAACATGTATGTGCAAGTATCTTTTTCATATGACTTCTTTTCTTCTGGATAGATGCCCAGAAGTGGGATTGCTGGATCAAATGGTAGTTCTACTTTTAGTTCTTTAAGGAATCTCCACACTGTTTTCCACAGTGGTTGTACTAGTTTACATTCCTACCAGCAATGTAGAAGTGTTCCTTGTTCACTGCATCCATGCCAACATCTATTATTTTTTGATATTTTGATTATGGCCATTCTTGCAGGAGTAAGCTGGTATCACATGGTGGACCAAATATAGTAGATTCTTAACCCATATTGATTGTTATCATCATGATCAAACTCATCACCATCATTATCCATGTAGTGCTTGATCAGCCAATGTATGGACCTTCTCCTTGCACTGTCCCCAGCTCTGATATAGTGTTTTCATTATCTATTGCTATGTAATAAATTATACCGAAACTTAGCACTTTAAAACACAAGCATTTATCTCACAGTTTCTGATGGTCAGGAAGCTGGAGGTAGCTTAATGAGGGGTTTTTGGAGCAGGGTCTCTCATGAGGTTGCAATCAAGAGGTCAGCAAGGTATGCTCATGTTCATAGCAGCATTAACAATAACTAAAAGGTGAAAGCAACACAAGTGTCCATCCACAGATGAATGAATAAACAAAATGTGGTGTATATGTACAATGGAATATTACCCAGCCTTAAAAAGGAAGGACATCTTGTTGTATGATATAACGTGGATAACCCTTGAGGACATTATGCTAAGTGAAACATGCCAGTCATACAAGGACAAATACTGTATGATTCCACTTACATGAGATTCCAAGAGTAGTCAAATTCATAGAGACAGAAAGTACAATGGTGTTTACCAGGAGTTAGGGGAGAGATTAATGGGAAATTATTGTGTAATGGGTACAGAGTTTAAGTTTGAGAAGATAAAAATAGTTCTGGAGGTGGATGGTAGCGATGGTTGCACAACACTCTGGAAATGTTTAATCCCACTGGACTATACACTTAAAAACCGTTCCAATGGGCAAATCCTATGTTGTGTGTATTTTGCCACAATAATTTTAAAGAAGATATTTGCTAGGACTGCAATCATCTTAAGGATTGACTGAAGCTGGAAAATTGCTTAAAAGTTCACTGGTGGCCGGGCACAGTGGTTCATACCTGTAATCCCAGCACTTTGGGAGGCCAAGGCGGGTGAATCATGAGGTCAGGAGTTAAAGACCAGCCTGGCCAGGATGGTGAAACCCCGTTTCTACTAAAAATACAAAAATTAGCCGGGCCTGGTGGTGGGCACCTGTAATCCCAGCTACTCAGGGGTCTGAGGCAGAGAATTGCTTGAACCCGGGAGGCAGAGGTTGCAGTGAGCTGAGATCTTGCCACTGCACTCCAGCCTGGGTGACAGAGTGAGACTCCATCTCAAAAAACCAAACAAAAAACAAAACAAAAACCTCACTGGTGGTTTTTAGTAGACTTCAATTTCTCACTGGGTGTTTGCTAGTCTCCAGTTTCTCACTGTGTGCACCTGTCCGTAGGATGGCTTGAGCATACTCAAAACATGGTGGCTTGCTTCCCCCAGAACAAGGGATCCAAGAAAGGCAGAGAGAAAGAATATCCAAGACAGAAGCCATAGTCTTTGTATAACCGAATCTTGAAAGTGGTATTCATCACCTTGGCAGTATGCCATTGCTGTCACAGACCCACTTTGGTATGAGGTGAGAGGGGATCCTCCAAAGGTGCACATGCCAGGAAGTAGGAGTCACTGGACACCATCTTGGCTGCTGGATTCCACACATAGTTTTCAGCTTCTCTGCTTTGGTACTGAGACTATAAAGATGCATTTGGCTCCATCTTCATGGTCCCACCCCAATGATTCTAAGGACATCTTTCACCCTTTGTTTTTGTTTAGACTCTCTCCAAATTCCCGATAACCACCCTCTGCTGTGTCCCAACCATCTTTCGGCTGCTTGTGCAGGAGGATCTGACCAGGTACAGCCCGTCTATTTCGTGCTTTGAGGGCCTAAGTATGTGAATATATAGCATGGGTATCCACACACACAACTACCCTCTCATTCCAACTCTCTTTCTTTCTCTGTCTCTCCCTCTATATATTTTTCTGCCTCTCTCTTTGTCTCTCTCTCACACACACATTTATACACGTACACATTGACAAGTCAACATACCTGTAAATCTCACAGATGCCCCTCAAGAACAAGCTTCTGGCCCCCCAAAATTTGCATCCAGATGGAACTAAATAGATTTAAGGCAGACTGAAATTTTAGCACCTGAGATAGGCTTCTCCTCACACCATACACCCATGGGCTATTCTGTCAGCAGTGTGTCTGCTACTTCTGTGAGGCGAGAGAAATGATTGGAAAATTGTTAGCCACCTGTGGAGTGGGGTCTGTGGCCAGGGCCCTCAGGTGTGGTGAAACTAACAAGCCCGCACCGCAGTAGATGCCCCAACTCTCAGCCTCAGACTAACCCCAGCCAACTGTTCTCTGAGCACATGCCATTGGGCACCCAAGAGAAAGGGACAAGGCACTGATGATGGCTCCATCCTGGGTGAAGCCAAAGCAACATCTTCTAGCAGAACAGGGCTGGTTGCTGGGGTATATGGAGAGAGGCCCACTGTCCTTCAGTATCCACCAACCCTGACCTGTTCTCCCTCTTTTGTCCTCCCGTAAGTCATGAGGAGTCGTCCTCTCATCTTTCCTAATCACATGAATCTACCCACCAAGTGTCCAAAAAAGGGAGTTCTTACATGCTTCTAAAAGTGAATTCTTCTCCAATGTAAGAAAATCATCCCATTCATTGATCTGATGTGTGCATCTCCACATGATGATTTTGGCTGAAAGCAAGCTCCAAGTACCTCGTTAAGAACAATGTCGTTGAATGCTCTTTGGTAATAATAAGTAACTTAATCAAGCCAATTTGATCTCCCCTCTCCTCCAAGATTAAAAATGTACTTGCAGTCACTGTTCTTTTTTATAATTTGGATGATTTGTTGAACAGAGAGGGCATTTTGCAACATAATTAATATCTGTAGGAATTTTTGGGATTCTTAGGGGTCTAATTTTTATCTTTTCCATTTTCTTTTCTTTCCTTTCTTTTCCTTTTTCTTTTATTTTTATTTATTTATTTATTTTAGAGACAGAGTCTTGCTCTGTTGCCCAGGCTGGAGTGCAGTGGCATGATCTCAGCTCACTGCAACATCTGCCTCCCAGGTTCCAGCTTTCCTCCCACTTCAACATTCCAAGTAGCTGGGACTACAGGCATGTGCCACCATACCCAGCTAATTTTTAGTATTTTTCGGTAGAGACGGGGTTTTACCACGTTGACCAGGCTGGTCTTCAACTCCTGAGATCAAGCAATCTGCCCACCTAGGCCTCCCAAAGTGCTGGGACTACAGGTGTGAGCCATGGTGCCTGGCCTATCTTTTCAATTTCTAATTCATCTATCCTTTTCAATCAGATTACTGTCCTAACCAATTTATTATCAGTTTTTTTCCAACTAAATTATTTTGGCCAAGTTACCTGGAACTCACCATATTATGCCAAAACCTATTATATGAGCTTCTGATTTTATCTCAAACTCAGATAGGATGGATCTTTTAAAAATTATCTGTCCATGAGGAGCATGGTTGCAAAGCCAGTGGGTGGACTCACTTAGAGAAGATTAAAAAGCAGGGGCATCTACCCTCTAGTGCCTGTGGTGTTTGCATCTGGGCAGTGGCACCAGAGGGCGGGGTGATATGAAGATCCTGACATAGGTGGCCTTGTTTTCCTGTCTGAGAAAGGTACCAGTTTCAGAGCCTGAGGCACTGTCTGACCGGAGGAGAGGCCCTCAACCCTGACGTGAGGGAGAAGTGGAAACACCAGACTGGTGTGGAGCTGTACGAAGGCTATGGCCAGTCTGAAACGGTGAGTGCTGGAGGGGCCAGGTCCCTACCCCCCAGGTCCCCTCGAGAGCTTCCTGCCTCTCCGGCTGTCACCTCCCTGAAGCTTCTCAGGGACCACCCTTCCCCCAGGGGAGAAGCTGATAACAAAATTCCATCAGCTTTCCTTCCCTTTTGATTTCCATATGTTCTCACTTATAAGTGGGAGCTAAGCTATGAGGATGCAAAGACATACAGAGTGGTATAAAAGACTTTGGAGACTCAGAAGGAAGAAGGTGAGAGGAGGGGCGTGAAGGTAAAAAAACTACGTATTGGGTATAATGTACACTACTCAGCTTACAGATGCACTAAAATCTCAGGATTCACCACTATAGAATTCATCCATGTTACAAAAAAACGCTCGAACCCAAAAAGCTATTGAAATACACACACACACACACACACACACACACACACACACTACTTATAAATTAAAAAAAGGTAATTTAAAGTACTTTTACAATTATACCATGACCAGCAAACCAGCCCTCACTGCTGAAGGCATTGTTTGTCTCCACCAAGACAGTCTACATCTGCCACTGTTCAGAGTCCAAGATTCTAAGCAGCGTCCTCTATAGTCATCTAGGAAGAGATCTGGGGATCAACTGAGTCTTTTGGCTTAGAGATGGGTTAAGTTCTTTATGTTTGAGTGCCCACTGGAGTGCCCCATAATTGTTTGTTAACTATGGAAAGAAAAGAAGAAAGACAGGCAAGAAAGAGGGAAGAAAATAGGAAGAAAATGAAGAAGGAAGGGAGGGAGGAAATAAAGGAAAGAGAAAGGAAAAGAAGGAGGAAAGGAAGGGAAAAAGATGAATGGAAGGAAGGAAATAGGGAACAAAGAAGAAGGGAGGAGAGAGGAAAATGGAGAATGAAATAACGGGGAAAAGAATGAAAAAAAGGAGGAAAGAAAATGAAGGAGGGAAGGAAGAAAACAGGAAAGGGGAAAGAAAGGAAAGAAAGAGGAAAGGAAGGAGTGAGCAAGGAAGAAAAAAGAAAAGAAAGAAGGGAGGAAGAATGGAGAGAAATGGAGAGAGGAGAAGGGAAAGAAAGAAGAAAGTGAGGGAGGAGAAAAAAGAGGATGAGAGAAAGAGTTATCAGGCAGGGTGAGAGAAAGGCATGGCCCAGGAAAGAAGCTAAGTGGAAAGGCTCTTCTTTATCTGTACTGCGTTCTCCCCAGGTTGTCATCTGTGCCAATCCAAAAGGCATGAAAATCAAGTCTGGATCCATGGGGAAGGCGTCCCCACCCTACGATGTGCAGGTAGCAGCCTCCCCCAACTTCTGGCAAGGCCTGGCATGGAGAGGAGAAAGACACACAGGCCTGGTTGGCACGGGCTGCTGGGCTGCTGGGAGAGGCCCAGGGTGTAGACACTCACGTATGCACCTCTGTGATGATTTCCTTACCAGATTGTGGATGATGAGGGCAACGTCCTGCCTCCTGGAGAAGAGGGGAATGTTGCCGTCCGTATCAGACCCACTCGGCCCTTCTGTTTCTTCAATTGCTATTTGGTAAGAGACGGGGAACAGCCGTTCTCATGACAGTGACTGTGTGCTAAGCATTGTGCACCACACTTTGTAAATATCTATTTGTTTAATCCTTACAATGACTGCATGAGGTAGGTTGCTACTATTATTAATAAAGTTCTGTTATTGATAAGGAAGACTATTATTGATAAGGAAGCTACTACAAAGGGGAAGTGACTTATCCAGCATCATGCAAATAGTACAGGCAGGACATGGGATTTAAATGTGGGTGTGTCTGAAAGCGTAAACATGACATGAGGGCAGCACTGTTGTTTTAATGAGGTGAAAATCGAGGTACAGTAAAGGAAAGGAGCTTCTGAAGGTCAAACTGCAGCCGGGTGCAGTGGCTCACATCTGTAATCTCAGCACTTTCAGAGGCCGAGGCAGGTGGATCACCTGAGGTCAGGAGTTCAACACCAGCCTGGTCAGCATAGTGAAACCCCGTTTCTACCAAAAATACAAAAATCAGCCAGGCATGGTGGCGCACGCCTCTATTCCCAGCTACTTGGGAGGCTGAGACAGGAGAATTGCTTGAACCAGGGAGGTTGCCGTGAGCCAGGATCATTCCACTGCCCTCCAGCCTGGGTGAGGGAACGAGACTCCGTATCAAAAAAAAAAAATAATAATAATAATAAAATAAATAAATACATAAAGGTCAAACTGCACTATTGTGTCAGAGCTGTCTTCAGGATTCTCTTTGTGGTTTGCTAGCAGGGCACAAACCTGGGATTTCAGTCCAAGTTTCTGGGATAATTCAGTAACTGCTTCTCTTTTGTATTCATCTTGGGTGGTGTTTATGTCGGGCTTTCTTTTCTTCACAGCTTTCTCTATAAAACTCTCAGACCTGGCTGTGCATTAGAAACACCTGGCAAGCCTCAGTTATTGCTGATGCTTGAGCCCCACCTCAGCTTAATTAAAATCAACATTTCTGTTGGTGTGGATCAGTTTCCCAGGCGATTCGAATGTCAAGCCTGAGAGCCACTGCTTAATAGAAATGCCATCTCATGTGTCTACTAAGCTGTCAATCAGCTACAGAATTAGAAGGAGCAGAAATAAATCAGTCCATTTCTTTTCAAAATGTTGCATTTTAGTGGTTTTTCTGTCACTACAAGAGAAATAATCTTCTACTTTATTTTGTTTAAAATCACAGAAACTTACAAAATCCCACAACATAGTAATCATGCCAAGCTGAGATCATGTTAACATTTAATGTATTTTCTGCTAATCAGTCTTGGAAGCAATAGTAAATCTTTGACCCCACTGAAAAAATGCATTCATTCATTATTTATTGTCGACTTCGTGCCGCTCGGTGTGGAGCAGGACTCTGGTACTTAGTGTGGAGCAGGACTCTGGTACTTACTGCACTTGTACACTTTCTTTCTGGTTGTGAGATTGTTCCACTGAGTGTACTAAAGTAATTTGAAAAGTTATTTGCTAGACAACAATCTAGTTTTTTTGACTGTTTCTTTCCGTCACCTGTACCAACAGTTAGTTTTCTTTCCAGATCATTCTTTTTTTTTTTTTTTTTTTTTTTTTTGTGACAGTGTCTTCTCACTCTGTTGCCCAGGCTGGAGTACAGTGGTGCGATCTTGGCTCACTGCACTTCCACCTCCTGGGCTCAAGCAACTCTCGCGCTCCAGTCTCCCAAGTAACTGGGACTACAGGCGCACACCACTTCACCGGGGTAATTTTGGTATTTTTAGTAGAGACAGGGTTTTGCCACCTTGGCCAGACTGGTCTGGAATTTCTGGCCTCAAGTGATCTGCCCGCCTCGGGCAACTCCCAAAGTGCTGGGATTACAGGCATCAGCCACAGTGCCCGGCCCAGCTCATTCTTAATTAAGAGAAAAATATTAAATGTCTTCGTGAGAATCAGGAAACATGTGAAAATTATTATAGAGGATCTCAGACCAAAATTGTTCTGTGAGTTTTGATAAGCTAAGCTCATTCTCCCCCTACAATAAACATAAACATTTCAAATTCACGTTGGTCATTCCCATTTAGCTGAAATTGCACATGTCAGTTAAATGAATATGCCCGTGTCAACTGTATATCCCATATAAGGAATGTGCTTATTTTCCTAGGGAAACAAATTATCAAATGCACAAATATTTGTTATAGTGCTGGCTGTTTATAACAGATAAAAAAGGTGGAGGGACTATCTAAATTTCTAATATCAGAAATTAGTTATGTAAAGGATTATATTATAGCATTGTGAACAAAAGCAAAAAAACAAAAGAAAAGGAGAAAAAGAAGAGAGAAAAAATTTTAAAAAAAGAATCCAGGAATTTGTTCAAATGCATAATATCACCACCACACAGAAATATTATGCAACTATTTAATACAATTTTTTTTTGGAAGCAGGGTCTCCTTCTGCCACCAAGGCTGGAGTGCAGTGGCACAATCATGGCCACTGCAGCTTTGACTTCCTGGGCTCAGCTGATCCTCCCACCTCAGCCTCCTGAGTAGCTGGAACTACAGGCACATGCCACCACACCTGGCTAATTTTTTTTTTTTTTTTTGTAAAGATGGGGTTTCACCATGTTGCCTAGGCTGGTTTTGAATTCCTGGGCTCAAGTGATCCACCTGCCTCAGCCCACCAAAATGCTATGATTACAGGCATGAGCCACCACTCCCAGCCTATAGGAGTTCTTAATATATTCTTGATATCGGTCCTTTGTTTGTTTTAAGAGTTGCTAACATCTTCCTCCTTGGTTGTAGCTTATCTTTTCACTTTCTTTCACTTTCTTTAAGCTATTTTTGTTGAACAGAAGCATTTATTTCCATGTCATCAAATCATTAAGTTTTTAAATGTTATGGATAGTGCTTTTTGTGTCTTATAAAATCATTTTCAACTTTAGGGTAGAAAATACACATATTCAATAGTTTCTTCCAATAGTTTTATAATTCTGCTTTTGACATTTAAGTTTATAATCCATCTGTGGTTGATGTATGCATGATATGAGATAGGGGTCTATTTTATTTTTTTCTATATGAAAAGCCAATTTGTTGAATAAATCCTCCTTTTCCCAGTTATCTGTCATGCTAATTTTGTCAGATATAAAAGTTTAATATAGGCCAGGTGTGGTTGCTCACGACTGTAATCCTAGCACTTTGGGAGGCCAAGGCTGGTGGATCACCTGAGGTCAGGAGTTCGAGACCAGCCTGACCAATATGGTGAAACACCCTCTCTACTAAAAATACAAAAATTAGCTGGGTGTGGTGGCGGGCACCTGTAGTCCCAGCTACTTGGGAGGCTGAGACAGGAGAATTGCTTGAACCCGGGAGGCAGAGGTTGCAGTGAGCTGAGATCACACCACTGCACTCCAGCCTGGGCAATAGAGTGGGACTCCATCTCAAATAAATAAATCATTTTTTAAAAGTTTGATATAGTCATACATAGGCTTTGGCACTTTCTTGTATTTCCTTGATCACTTACTCTGTCTCTGTACTGATACCATAAAGTCTTATCCACAAAAGCATTACCATAAGTCTTCACATGTGGGAGAACAACTCTAACCTTGTTATTCAACTCATTTAGAAGTGTTTTACCTATTCTTAGCCCTTTGCTCATTCATTTGTATTTTAGAATCAACTTGTCAAGTTCCTTGGAAAATGTTTGCTAGCATTTTGATTAGAATTGTATTGCCTATAAAACAACTTAGGGATAATTGACATCTCTATTAATTAAGTCTTTTTTGTTTTGTTTTGTTTTGAGGCAGAGTCTTGCTCTGTCACCCAGGCTGGAGTGCAGTGGTGTGATCTTGGCTCACTGCAGCCTCCGCCTCTCGGGTTCAAGTGATTCTCCTGCCTCAGCCTCCCAAGTAGCTGGGATTACAGGCGCCTGCCGCCACACCTGGCTAGTTTTTGTATTTTTAGTAGAGATGGGGTTTCTCCATGTTGGCCAGGCTGGTCTTGAACTTCTGACCTCAGGTGATCCACCTGCCTTGGCCTCCCGAAGTGCTGGGATTATAGGCATGAGCCACTGCACCAGGCCGATTAAGTCTTTCTTTCACTTTATTTATATCTTCTTTAATGTTGTGTAGAGTTTTAAGTTTTCTCCATACACATCTCAGAGATTTTGTGTTAGATGTATTTTTAGGGTAGCTTATATTTTTTCTTTTTTCTCAGAAGGTCCTTGTTGAATTGAGATATAATTTACCTACAGTAAAATTCACCCACGTTAAGTGTGTAAGTCAATGACTTTTAACACATGTCCGCCCCTGTGTAACTGCCACCACAGTCGAATAGGGAACATTTTTCACTCCCTTGACAGGCAATCCTCTCCACTCCAGACCCAGCGATTGATACATTGTTTGTCGTCAGTATATAATAATTTTGCATTTTTAAAAAAGAACTTCATGTAAATGGAATCACAAACTATTCCAGTTTATCTGTCTGGGTTCTTTTACTCAGTATGATGTTTCTGCAAGTCATCTGTGTGGTTTCATGTATTTTTATTGCTGAGTAGTAGCTTTTTCTTTGAAACTTTGAGAATCAGAGTTTCATTGTTTTTCTCTTTCCTCTACTCTTGCCCCACACCAATGAGCTTTTTGGTGAGCCCTTCTCCCACCCTCCCTTTCTTTCTTTCTTTCTTTTCTTTCCTTCCTTCCTTCCTTCTTTCCTTCTTTCTTCCTTCCTTTTTTCTTTCTTTCTTTTCTTTCTCTTTCTTTCTTTTTTCTTCATTCTTTCTTTCTTTTTCTTTCTTTCTCTTTCTTTCTCTTTTCCTTCATTCCTTCTTCTTCCTTCCTTCCTTTTCTCTTTCTTTCTTTCTTTTTCTCTTTCTTTCCTTCCTTCCTTTCTTTTCCTTCTTCCCTCCCTCCCTTCCTCCTTTCCTCCCTCCCTTTTCTTCTCTCTTTCTTTTCTTCCTTCTCTTCCCTTCTCTTCCCTTCCCTTCCCTCCCCACTCTCCTCTCCCCTCCCCTCCCGTCCCCTCCCCTCCCCTTCCTTTCCTTTGTTTCCTACTTGAAGTCTTGCCCTGTAGCCCAGGCTGCAGTGCAGTGGCACAATCTTGCAATCTCATCCTGTAGCCCAGGCTTGAGTGCAGTGGTGCAATCTCACAGCCTCGCCCTATAGCCCAGGCTGGAGTGCAGTGGCACAATCTCAGCTCACTGCAACCTCTGCCTCCCAGGTTTAAGCAATTCGCCTGCCTCAGCCTCCCGAGTAGCTGGAATTACAGGCATGCACCACCACACCCAGCTAATTTTTTTGTCTTTAGTAGAGACAGGTTTTCACTATGTTGGCCAGCTGGTCTCGAATTCCAGACCTCAAGTGATCCACCCACCTCAGCCTCCCACAGTGCTGGGATTATAGGGATGAGCCACCACACCCGGCCTAGCCCTTCACTTTCTACCCTCAGTGATTCCTGAGCACAAAGAGTATTCATGTGTTCTCTTGTCCTAAAAACCACAGCCAGTGGCCCTGTGCCCACCCTCCTGCTTTCAACTATGCTTTCTAGACCCCCTTCTAAGGATGGTGGTGGGTGACTGCCCTTAACCATTGGCTGGCAGCTTGATTCCAATCAAAAGAGGGAAATCCCACAACTAAACAGGGCCATAACTCCCTGTCCATTGGGGAACTCTGGGCAGCCGGGACTTTAGGAACTGCTGAACTTTCTGTTGAGTGGTCTCCAGCTTCCTACAGGGGGCTACTGGGGCAGTAACTGGCCTTAGCAGTTGTTCCCAGAGGGTCCTTCACGGGTTGTCTTTGTCTTTCAGGACAATCCTGAGAAGACAGCTGCATCAGAACAAGGGGACTTTTACATCACAGGGGACCGAGCTCGCATGGACAAGGATGGCTACTTTTGGTTCATGGGAAGAAACGACGATGTGATCAATTCTTCAAGGTCAAGCTGTCTGCACTTTCCTCCTTCCTTTGAAATTTCATGGGGGTTGAGGGAAGCCCACTTGGAAGAGTTTGTTTTTCCCTTCCAGCTACCGGATCGGGCCTGTTGAAGTGGAAAGTGCCCTGGCAGAGCATCCTGCTGTCCTGGAGTCGGCTGTGGTCAGCAGCCCAGACCCCATCAGGGGAGAGGTAACCAGTGCACCCAAGAACATGGCCTCCTGCTTCTGTACCTATTAGCACCCAGCAGAACAAGCAGGAAGGCTCAGATTGTCCTGTATTTCACCTCCATCCTTGTGCCACAAAGTTGAAATGCCACCATCAGACACACGTTGCCTTCATGTCTTTAGAGATACAATTACTCTCTAAAGGGACATAATGGGAAAACACCAACACTTTGCTTTTAAATGGACACAACTACATCCCAGAGAGGCTGGCTATGGGGCAGGAGATCTTGGGGGAGGTGCAGGCTCTGTTATCCATCCTGTCTAATAAAAAGTCTTTTCTATTTGCAGATGAGGACATAGCAAGCACACCAGTAATAGTTGCTGATGGCTGTAACCTAAGAGGGATAGAATATGTATCCAAAATGACCTACATATACCAGAAAGATGGGCCAAATTTAATAAGCTGGGCTTTCATAGGAGAAATCCTTTTTTTTTTTTGAGATGGAGTCTTGCTGTGTTGTCCAGGCTGAAGTGCAGTGGCATGATCTTGGCTCACTGCAACCTCCGCCTCCCAGGTTCAAGTGATCTTCCTGCCCCAGCACCCCCCCCAGTAGCTGGGATTACAGGCACATGTCACCACACCTGGCTAATTTTTGTATTTTTAGTAGAGACAGGGTTTTGCCTTGTTGGCCAGGCTGGAGGTCTTAAACTCCTGACCTTAGGTGATCCACCCACCCCGGCTCCCAAAGTGCTGGGATTACAGGCGTGAGTCACCGTGCCCGGCTAGGAGAAATCTTTCTGTGGGTCCCAGAGGAATGCATATTATGGGAAAGATCAGCTAACAGGCAGACTTAGGTACTTTTCACTGGCTTACATCCAACATAATCCTAAAGCACAACAGTTACCTTTTGAAAGTTAGTGCAACATTAGCCTGCATTCTCAGAAGCATCAAGACCACAGGAGAGATTCTCAAAGTCTGGTTCTTGGACTGCTTGCAACTGTATCATCTGAGATTCTTGTTTAAAATATAGATTTGTAGACCTAAAGTCAGACTTACCAAATCATGATTACTGGGAATGCAGCCCAGAGAATCTGCATTTTAGCCAGCCATTCTTGGCCAAGTGATTCCCCTCTAAAATCCAAAGCCATTAATGTATAATAAGGGAGGTGTGGAGTCCCATTGATGTGCTGAAGAAATCATACCTCAAACGTATGCCTAGTTCTGCATGCCGTGAGTTAACTGGGACTGTGACAAATGGCTGTGTGCTCAAACTTAATCCATGTATGGTGCTTAGAACTGAGTCTGGTGTGTAGAAAGTGCCCAACACATAAGCCGGACACGGTGGCTCATGTCTGTAATCCCAGCACTTTGGGAGGCCGAGGCGGGTGGATCACGAGGTCAGGAGATCGAGATCATCCTGGCTAACACAGTGAAACCCCATCTCTACTAAAAATACTAAAAATTAGCCAGGCGTGGCGGTGGGCGCCTATAATCCCAGCTACTCGGGAGGCTGAGGCAGGAGAATGGCGTGAACCCAGGAGGCAGAGCTTGCAGTGAGCCGAGATCACCTCACTGAGCTCCAGCCTGGGCGACAGGGTGAGACTCTGTCTTAAAAAAAAAAAAAAAAAAAAAAAAGTGTCCAACAAATGTTTCGTAGTTACAGTAGTAAGAGTAAGAGGAAGCTCTTTCTAAAAGCATATCTGTCTGAACATGAAATGATAGTGGCCTTCCTCCCTGTGGGAAGTATGCAAGGACAGTGAGCTACCCCTTTAATAGAATACTGTTAACAGATAGGAATGCTGGAATTAATAAGCATCCAAGTGACCTTCCATTCCTAACAGAAACTATGTTTGTTGTGCTTGAGTCTGGGACACTTCCTCCTGCCTGGCATAAGACAGCCTGCAGGAAAGTTGTGGGCAGAGAGACCCAAGATGCAGAATGTCCCTCGGGATGTCTGGAACAGAAGTGGTGCAGTTCAGGGTCTGCTGATTGCAAATGTTCATCCACGCAGACCCCCAAAGACCTAGTTCCCCTTGCAAGTGCCTGCATTTTCCTCAATCCCACCTGTTCAAACTCATGCCTACCTACCTTTCTCATTAGGAAAATCTGGAAGAAAATGGCCCTAGGAGTTTATGAACCTCTTTTCTCCAAAATATTTGCTTCTTAAGAGAAGCGATGTTGGCTTCAAATGGTGTCATTCCAAGTATGGGGAGTAATTTGAGAAAGAGGTAGGAGTTTGAAATCATCCCAGAAAGGTCAATCCTCCTAATAGTCACACCTGGAAGGGCCAGCAAAAGAAAAATTGATGTTGTTTGTGTCATTGGCTGTGCCCAAAAAAAACTAGTAGAACTTTCATGGTGCAAAGGTAAATGTAGGCACTTATTCAAGCCTCACTTAAGGAGAAAAGAGTTGTTATACGAGGCCTGATCTTTTCTGGGTATTTTGTTTTCCTGCAGGTGGTAAAGGCATTTATAGTCCTTACTCCAGCCTACTCCTCTCATGACCCAGAGGCACTAACGCGGGAACTCCAGGAGCATGTGAAAAGGGTGACTGCTCCATACAAATACCCCAGGAAGGTAAATATCAGGGTTTCCAGGGCACAGTGATCTGGGAATCAGATGGGCACGCTCTGCCTGGGCTCCCACTCAGAGCCAGGCCCTGTGCCAGGCACTGGGGATATGGAGAAACTTGTAACCCTGGCTGCTGCTTCAGCTTTTTTCTGTATTTCTTCACTTGGATTCTCCCCAAAGCACATTTTGTTCCTACTCTAAGAACAGCCTGATCCCTACCACAAATCAGATACAAGAGGTAGTGCTCAAATGCTGTCAAAATGATCCTGTGCTCCAGGCTCCAGCTGTTTTGCTTCTGGCCATTTAGGGGGAAACCCTGAATCAGGGACGCTTTCCAAGGACAGGCAGACAGTATTGTCTCTTTCAAAACAAAAGTCTTTTTGAGAAATGATGATTTCCAAGTGTTTTTTGTTTTGTGTTTGGTCACTAGGTGGCCTTTGTTTCAGAACTGCCAAAGACGGTTTCTGGAAAGATCCAAAGGAGTAAATTGCGAAGTCAGGAGTGGGGGAAATGAGGTGCACCCCAGGAAGGCCCCGTAGACCTCCGAAGACTCCACAAGAAACTAATGGATCACTGGTCAGTCCCCATGGGGAGCATCATCTCTTCGACCCTAAAGATGTCAAAGGTGTGCAGCTTCCAAACGGCATCCCCAGGATCACTGGGCAATGCTGGAAAGAGCAAAAGAATATCATTGGCCCTGATCACATAGATGCTGCGCCGCCTAGCAAATGCTTGGTGGTTCGACTTCTCCCTCTGTCTGGGGGCAGGCTCAGCATCTGCCCACTGGTCTCACTAAGAGCTTTCAGATTTCCCTCCATAGGACAGGTTACCATAGACTTGGGGCACTTGTGGGTACTCATTTTCTGCCAGTGGGAATGTAAAGGCTTCATCCTTTGTATGTAACCATTTGGCAAAAGTATGCAGGAACATAAAATAAAATATCCTTTAGCTCAGAAATTCTATCTTCGGGAGTCACCACAAAAGAAAAAAATCAAAATGCAGAAAATGTGTGGTGCACTAAGATGATCACACAGCATTAAAACTAAAAAAAAAAAAGAAAAAATTAACAATTAACATCCAAACAACAAGGAAATGATTAACAAAATTGTAGTAGATTAACTCAATTACATATGATGTAGCCACTAAAATATTTGAGAGCAGTTTAGTATGTCTTGGGAAAAGTGTAAGCTATATTAATTTTAAAAATCAGAGCAAAAATATTCATACTGGAGAATCCCAACTCTGAAAAATAAAGGGAAAACTGTGGTTAATTGTAATCCTCCTGGAGATTGAGGAGGGAGGGAGAGAAAATAATGGATGGTAGTTTTTCTTCTTCCTTTTTCCATTACATTTCTGTATTTTCCAAGTTTTTGTACGAAGCACATACAACTATTTTAATGAAAAAGTTATGTTAAAGAAAGCACACTCTGCTTCATGTCTAGTTCTTCCTCCACATACTCATACATCATCCCCAAAGACTGCTGTATTATGTCTGTATTAGTCAGCATTCTCCAGAGAAAGAGAAGCAATAGGACATATTTAGACACAGGAGAGGGGATTTATGATGGGAATTGGCTCACTCGATTTTGGAGGCTGAGAAGTTCCACAATCTGCCATCTGCATGCTGGAGACCCAGGAAACCCCGTGGTATAATTCCATCTGAGTCCAAAGACCTGAAAACCAGAAGAGCCAATGTTATAACTCCCTGTCCGAGTGCAAAGGATCGAGAACCAGGAGCTTCACCGTCTGAGGACAAGAAAACACAGATGTTCTAGCCCAAAAGGAAGGAGCAAATTCCTCTTTTCTCCTTTTTCTCCTCTTCATGCCCTAATGGATTGGATGATGCCTGCCCACGTGGGTGAGGGCAGATTTTCTTAGTCTATGGCTCTATCTCTAATATCACCTGGAAACACCTCCCAGAGACACCCAAAAGTAATGTTCACAGCTATCTGGGGACTCTTAACCCAGTCAAGTTGACACCTAACATTAACCGTCACAATGTCTTATCCAGGAGGGGCATAAAGACGTGCAGCCACAGCTCAGGCCTGCAAACAGGAAAGGGTGGTTCTGGGAGCAACCCTGGAGGAAAAGCAGCAGATGGAAACTGAAGCAATCCCAGTGCTGCTGACCCCACCCCCAGCACCTCCACACCCTCCAGGGAAAATTCAGTGAGCACCTACTCAGTACTGAGCTCTGAGACTGCAGTGATACACCAAAGCCAGCCTAGTCCCTACCTATGTGAGTTTTCTGGGGCTGCCATAACAAAGTACAACAGACTGCGCCATTTAAACAACAGAAATTAATGTCCTCACCGTTGTGGAGGCTGGAGGTCTAGGATCAGGGGTTGGCAAGGTTGGTTTCATTCTGAGGATGTTTCCTTGGTTTGTAGATCGCCGTCTTCTCCCTCTGTCTTCACGTGGTCTTTCTTCTGTGCATGTGTGTCTGGGGCCCAATCTCCTCTTCTTCTAAGGACACCTATCATGTCAGATTGGATTAGGGCCCACCCTCATGACCTCACTTTAACTTAATCACCTCTTTAAAAACCTTGTCTCCAAAGACAGTCACAATCTGAGGTACTGGGAGGAACTGGGGTATCTGGGGTTAGGACTTCAACATAAGAATTTGGGGAAACACATTTCAGCCCAAATCCTTGTGGAGTTTAGTCTAGTAGGAAGGTCATTATTACTTATCACAGAATAATGCAAGTAAATGTACAATTGTAATGCCATGAAGAAAAGAATACATTTAAGACACAGACTGGAGGAACTGATCAAGACTCAGGGGACTGAGGGTATCAGGGAGGCTTCTATAAGAAAGTCCCTGGACTGGGTGCAGTGGCTGATGTCTGTAATCCCAGCACTTTGGGAGGCTGAGGCGGGTGGATCACCAGAGGTCAGGAGTTCGAGACCTGCCTGGCCAACATGGTGAAACCTCGTCTCTACTAAAAATACAAAAATTAGTCGGGTGTGGTGGTGTGCACCTGTAATTCCAGCTGCTCGGGAGGCTGAGGCAAGAGAATTGCTTGAACCCGGGAGGCAGAGATTGCAGTGAGCTGAGATCACGCCACTGCACTCCAGCCTAGGTGACAGAATGAGACTTCATAAATCGGCTCTGTCTAGGCAGTGGGCAAGGCGAACCCACTGAGCAGTTACAATTCCCTTCCATCAAGCCCACCTGCTGGCTTTATCAGCAGCCTTTTGTCATACACAGGCTGGAGGTGAGTGAAGCTCCAAAGTCAAGTTGGGATTACTTCTGAGCATGTCATGTAACACCCTCTCATTAAACGGTGGTTATCTGTTACCCTGGTCTCCACTTGGAGCTTCAGCCAAGATTCTGAGACAACAGAGGAAGTCCCATTTAACATTCTCTTTCATGGGTGTCATAGCTCATTGCTATTGCTTATTATTTTAGGTTTGTTTTGCCTGTCTTTCCTAGTAGATTGTGGACTCTTCTAGATCATAGGCTAGATGATAGTCTTGTCCGTCTTCCCAGTGCCAATATCAGGACCTGCTGCCTAGTAGGTATCAGTAAATAGTCATTGAATGAATGAATGAATGAATGAATGAATGAAAAATAAGATACTAATTGAGGGGAATAAGCAGCTGAAGAGGCGTCAAGCAAGAATTACACCTGAAGACCGTTCACCTCTTTTTTCTTTCCAAATGAATATATCTGTTTATTTTCTTGAGTGCTGAAAAATTCTTAATAGAAACCTAACAGTTCTATCTTGTACACAGGCAGGTGACTTTCCCTCTCTAGGCCTCTTTTTCCACATCTCTATATTGGGGGCTGGAGTGTAATACTAGACCTACTTTCCCCAGCCTTTCCATTGCTGTGGACTCCTTTCTATCATTCTGCCATCATGTTTGGAAAGATTTTCTCTCAAAGTTCATACTTCTTCCAATCCACTATGTCCATCAGAATTTGAGGTGGTGTCAGCTTTTATTGGGTAATGACGCTTGTATGTTAGCTATTAATTTTATTTTATTTTTCTTGTTTCAGTTTTTATCTTGGTTTTGATAAATAATCCTTAGCTAGAAAGGGCCCAACCTCCTATTGTGCAATGTGGTAAATCACAGCAACAACTTTTGGTTTTTTTCTTTTTAGAGGGAGTCTCACTCTGTCACTCAGGTTGGAGTGAAGTGACATGGTCTCGGCTCACTGCAACCTCCTCCTCCCGGGTTCAAGTGATTCTCCTGCCTCAGCCTCCCGAGTAGCTGGGACTACAGGCATGCGCCACCATGCCCAGCTAATTTTTTTATTTTTAGTAGAGATGGGGTTTCACCATGTTGGCCAGACTGGTCTCAAACTCCTGATCTCAAGTGATCCACCCACCTAGGCTTCCCAAAGTGCTGGGATTACAGGCGTGAGCCACCGTGTCCAGCCTCACAAGCAACATCTTTAAGGTAAGGAGAGAATCAAGGAAGTCCAAGATATGCCAAGATGGGAACACTGATCCTTTCATTTCAGGGTTTCTGCCTGAGAATCCACAGCTCACCTTATACACTTCCAGTAATGAAGAGGATTATGAGGGTGGTGGTGGTGATGATGATGATAGTAAACCACTACCACTGGTTGAGCTCTTTCTTAACTGTTGAACTTCAGTGTGGGCTTACTAGACATTATCTCATTTAAGCCCCGCAAAAAGCAATAAAGTAGGTATCTTTCATTCATCCCTTCATTTAGCAAAAAATGATTCTATTCCTACTCTGTACCCAGCACAGTTCTAGGCACTGAGGATACAGCAGTGAATGAAAGAGACAGAAACCCCTGACTTCTGGAAATGGCAACCTTGTGAAAAGAGGGATAACAAACAAAGAACTATTAGGTTGGTACAAAAGCAATTGCGGTTTTTGCCATTCCTTTTGATGGTAAAAACCGCAATTACTTTTGCACAAATCTAATTTTAAAAATTAGAGTATGTCGGACAGTGTCAGTGCTAAGGAGGAAAATAAAGTACAAGTAGTGAATAGGGACTACGGAATGGTGGTGCAGGATTTTAAATAGGGTAGCCAGGAAGGGGTTTGCGAGGACCACGTTTGAGCAAACCGAAAGGTGAGGGAGCGAGCTGTGCAGATGTGGGGGTCGGGGAGGACACTGTCCCAGAGACAGAAGAGCAGGTTCAAAGGCCCTGAGACAGAAACAATCGCCTGGTGATCCCCATTTTACAGAAGAGAGATCTGAGGCTCAGAAAGATGGAGTCACTCATCCAAACTTGCACAGCTGTAAGTGGCAGAGCTGGGATTCGAATGCCAGGCCCGATACCACCAAAACCTGCATTTGTTTCTCATTTTCTCATATTTTTCAATTCAGACACTGAGGATGTAGGTGTTGGGGCATCGGCAGAGTGCTTAAGAGCTAGACGTGATGTGAACCAGACCTGGGTTCAGGTTTTGTGGTGCCACTTACCTCCTTGGGTGGCTGACTTGAACTGTCTGAGCCTCAGTTTCCACATGCTGAATTGGGGATAATAATAGATAACTGCTAGGGTTATAGAGGTGGTTGAACGAAACACCTGCACAGTTTGTGGCACACTAAATGCTCTCTCAATAAATGTGTTTTTGTTGTTGTTTGTTTTTTTTGTTGTTTGTTTTTTTTTTTTGAGATTGAGTTTCCCTCTTGTCCCCCAGGCTGGAGTGCAATGGCGCTGTCTCAGCTCACTGCAACCTCCACCTCCCAGGTTCAAGCGATTCTCCTGCCTCAGGTTCCTGAGTAGCTGGGATTACAGGTGCCCACCACCACACCCAGTTAATTTTTAAATTTTTTTTAGTAGAGAAGGGGTTTCACTATGTTGGCCAGGCTGGTCTCGAACTCCTGACCTCAGATGATTCACTCACCTTGGCCTCCCAAAGTGCTGGGATTACAGGTGTGAGTCACTGCGCCCAACCAATAAATGTTATTCCTAGTTACTATTACTCAGTCTACAGCCCCATTTTCTGGAGGGGACATTAAGATTCTGCACCCCAGAAGACTGGTGAGTTTCCCACCTTCATGCAAGGGGTCTCTGGGTGAGTTGCCTCGTGAAAGCTCCTAATAACCATTGAAATAGCAGTTTCTTTCCAAAGCACTAATTATGTACCTGGTATTTATCATATGCCTCGGCTCCTCAAACTGCAGCAAACAAACTCCATGGAAGAGAAAAAAATGGGACTCCAGAGACTTGAAACCACGGCCACTTGTCAGATGCAGCCCCCAACTCTGAAAGTGAGAAGCAGAGACAAAGTTATCTCCTGAAGCACATGGATACTTTTGAGCAGGTTTTTCAGATCAAACATAAGGCTTTGCAGAAGTCTAGCACTTTGCATTGTTCTCCACATCTAAGAGTCTTAGGGGAGCAGCATCCCACCCCTCTGGCAGCCGGACAACTGAGAAGCCTCCAGAATTGTCTTACTCAGGCTTTACCATGACCCTACCAGATAGATGCTATTTTTATCTCCATTTTGTACAGGAGGAAACTGAGGCACAGTGGGTCAGTGTGTGTGTTCTTTTGGTAAGTGGTACAGCCGAGATTTAAAATGGGTCCTCTGATGGCAATTCTCAGGCATTGTCTCTTGCTCCAGGCTGCCTCCAAAACCTTGGCTCCATCCAGCCAGACCACCAAAGACTTCCTGAGACAATCAGAGGTGGAATGTGATAAAGAAAATCTGTTTTTCCCGCGATGATTCCTGACTGAAAACCCCCTGCCCTGGGAAATTCTGAGCCCCCACCACGGAGTTCTGCTCCCAGCATTTCCCCAGCAACTCCAGCACTTTTTCTATTTTCCCCCAACATTGAATCCCCACTGTGGGTCAGATTCTAGGGACACAAAGGTGGCCAGCTGATTGTGCACAGCCTCCAACAGTGACCATTTCAAACCATTTTCTTTTAAAATGGCTCTTTGCCGAAACACGGTGTTCCCTATGAGAAGGACACTGGACTTTGAAGTTAGATTTGAGTCCTGTTGTAGCACTTACCAGCTGCAGGAGCTTAGCCAAATTTCTAGTCCTCTCTGAGCCTCAATTTCCTTATCTATAAAATGTGGCTCTGGATACCTCTCTTGTAGAGTTCTTGTTTAGATTACATGTGAGCACTTCTATAAAACACTGAAGACATGAGCTAGCCGTTATTCTTTATAAACAGTCATCAGGAGAATTTTGATTTTCCACCTCACAGATTTCCCACAGGAATGTGCTGTCCTGAAATGTGTCTAAAGGTCAACATTTGAAAAACAGAAAGAATGGAAAAGAAAGTCAGCAAAGTCCAGCATCATGACTTGGCAGTGTCCCCAGTGGCCAGGTGCAAAGGAGCACCCAGAGAGGTGTTTTCAGACCACTGTAAATAGTGTGAGTGCTATTTAGGACTTACACACACTCAGACACATGCACACACACACAAATATAGATACAGCCACACACATCTGCAGTTTCACTGCCACACATAGACACTCACACATGCAAGCACACACAAATATCTAGTCACACTTCTAGACACTCACACACATGAATACACACAGTTACACTTACAATCTTATGCACATGCCAAACTCATAAACAGATACATAGACATACACTTAACTACAGAGCTACATATACATGACAGTCACACACATAGTTACATACACAGTCTCACACATACATTCACACACATCCAAATCTACCAACACACATGCATGCATGTAAGTATACATAAACACCTGTACACCTGCGCATACAGCTCTACACACACTTGCACACATGTACACATACACAGTCTCACATACATCCATGTACTGACACATAGGCACACATGGGCACAAACATGCACAACCTTACACACATGTCTTTACACACAGAACCGCACACACATAACAGCTATACATACATCCCACAGTCACATGTGCACACACAAAAACATACATGCATGCACTTAGGCTATCTCACATACACAGCTATGTACTTCACACAGGCACACACATTATAACAACATGTTTTCTTTTCTTTACAGCCCTTATTCATTCTCTCAGCTATTTACTGAATGTTTACTGTGTGCTAGCTACCGTTAAAAGTCCTTGAGCTAAATCATTGAACAAAATGAGCAAAAATATCTGCCCTCATGAAGCTTAGATTCTAATGGAAGGAGAGAGAGGCAAAAATAGTAAGTAAGTATGTTAGCAGGTAGTGAGTATTAGAGACAATAGTGCCTAGTAATGAGGAGGAGGAAGAACCAACTTGGAGGTGGGTTGCCGTTTTGAGAAGGTGGTCAAGGTAAGCTTCATTGAGAAGTTGACAAAAATATTTAGCAAGGAAATAAAGTAGGAGAGGGAGTTATCCATGTAGATATCTATGAAAAATCAGTCTGAGAAGAGGAAACAGCAAGTGCAGATACCCTAAAGGCAGAGTGTGACTTCAAGGAACAGGAAGAAAGCCCTTGTAGTTGACATGCAGTGAATAAGGGGGTAAAGGAACAGGACATCAAACCAGAGATGAAGAGAGTGTGTGAAAATCTTACCAGACCTTGAATAATGAGGTAAAAACTCTGAAGTTAATTTTGCATGAAACTGAGATTCACCGGTAGGTTGTGAGCAGAGGTGTGACATGATCTGACCTCTGACTTATCCTTTACAGTATATAAAATGAACTTCATTACTTTACATGTTATTATCTGTGTCACTTCTGAACAGGAATGAATCTGTCATGGTCACCTCTGTGTCTACCTGAGAGTAACACTCAGTCAATATTTGTTGACTACTTGATAAGGACAGACATTTCCAAGGAGAAAAGTGTTCTGAGGTGCTCCAGTTTGGATGTTTGCTCTCAATAAAACTCATATTGAAATTTGAGATGGAACCTTACAGGAGGTATTTGAGTCATGAGGGAGAATCCCTCATGAATAAATTAATGCCCTCCCTAGGGAGTGAGTGAGTCCTAATCCTATTATTCCCCACAAGAGCTGGTTGTTGCAAAGAGCCTGGCATCTCCCCACTATCTCTCTTGCTTCCTCTCTCACCATGTCATCCATGCACACGCCAGCTCCCTTTCACCTTCTACCATGAATAGAAGCATCCCGAGGCCCTTGCCAGCTGCAGATGCCCAATCTTGAAATTTCCAGCTATCAGAATCATGGGCCTAATAAACATTTCTGAAATAAATTACCCAGCCTCAGATATTTCTTTATAGCAATGAAAAATGGACTACAACAGGAAATTGTTGCCAGGGAGTAGGGTATTGCTATAAAGATACCTGAAAATATGACAGCAGCTTTGGAACTGGGCAATGGAAAAGGTTGGAAGAGTTTGGATGGCTCAGAAGAAGACAAAGAGTTGAGGGAAAGTTTGAAACTTCTTAGAGATTGGTTAAATGGTTGTGACCAAAATGCTGTCAACGTAAAATAGTCAAAAGAGTCAGCATCTAGTTAAAAGAGCTCATTCAAGCACAAAGTATGAGTGCGGCCATCCAGGGAGCACAGCTATTCCAAAGAATGGTGAGCAGTGTTGTGCTCCTGGTGTAGGGGAAAATGAGGATTGCTTATACCAGCAAAATGAAGTTGCTGAACAAAATTACAACATTTTCCATAAAAAAGGTTAACATACAGATATAAGATTTCATTGGCTACTTTTGATTACATGCTAAAGGGATAGTTTTACATTCTATTAAAAGGAGACAGTCACAAGGGTCTCTATCTTCACTTTGTTTAGCGCAGTTTTGAATAAAGAAGAGTCTGGTTAATGTATAACATCTCAACACAAAGGTCAGAAAGCAACGGTCATGCACCAGAATCAGGGGAAGTTGTGTTACCTCAGTCAGCTTTCAGGCCTTAAGTTTTCCCTTTTGCATGATAAATTTGGAAGGTCCTAAATTTAAATTTTTTACAATGCTGATAGAAATATAGACAGTACAGGCCATGCCAAAAAATCTCAGATAGAAATGAGAAACTCATTGGAAGCTGGAGCAAAATTCACCCATGTTACTCTGTAGCAAAGAACTTGGGTGCACTGTGTCCATGCCCTAAGGCTTTGTGGAAGGCTGAACTAAGAGTGATGACCTACGGTGTCAGATGCAAGAGATATCTAAGCAGCAAAGTGCTCAAGAAGTGATGTGGTTACTTTTAACAGCTTATGTTAAATTGTGACAGCAAAGGAATGACCTAAAGCCTGTGTTTATAATTAAAGGGGAAGAAGAGCATTAAAATTTGGATAATTATCAGCCTGCACATAGTGGTAGAGAAGAAAAGAGAATTTTCAGGAGAGGAGTCCAAGAAAGTGTCAGAACAACTCTGCTAAAGCATGACCAAAAGGGGGCCTGGTGCTAATAGGATAATAGGAAGAAGGTTCCAAAGGCATTTCAGAAATCTTTGGGGCTGCTCCTCCCATCACAGGCCCAGAAGACTAACAAAGACAGAATGGTATTAATTCTGCAGGCACCCAGAATGTAGGGGCCATAGATGCTTGGTGGTAAGATCCTCTACAAAGAATTCCCTCTAGGGAAATGCCTCATGAAGCCATGGGAGTGGGGCCACCCCCAAGACACAGAACTGTAGGATCACCAATTTGCAACTCTAGCCTGAGAGAGCTGAAGCATGGGCTGATACCAGCTATAAGACAATGTTGGCCATGCATGGTGGCTCATGCCTGTAATCTTTGGGAGGCCATGATGGGAGGATCACTTAAGTTCAGGAGTTCAAGACCAGCCTGGAGAACATAGTGAGACCACGTCTCTATAAAACGTTAAAAAATTAGCTGGGCATAATGGCATGTGCCTGTAATCCCAGCTGCTCAGGAGGCTGAGGTGGGATGGTTGCTTGAGCACGATAGATTGAGGTTGCAATAAGCTGTGATCAGACTACTGCACTCCAGCCTGGGCAATAAAGTGAGACGCTATTTCAAAATAAAATAAATATGAAGAGATATAAAGAGTTTTTTTCCCTGTTGAGTTTTGGGCTTACTTGGACAGTGTTGGGTTGGGTTGGAACAGGGAAGAGAATGGGTCAGACTCTGAGTGTAGCCTGCAGGTGGATCTGATGGCTTTTTCACATCCATGTGAGAAAGAAAAGAGTCAGGGCAATCTCTAAGATTTGATGTTGGAAGAACTAGAGGAATAGGGGTGACATTTGCTGAGATGGATAAAACCATACCTGGAATGAGAGTGGCCAGGGAAGGATGTGATCAACCTCTTAGCTTTGGACAAAGTATGTTTGAGATGCCTGTTAGATATCCAGGTGGAGAAGTCAGGAAGATGAGGATGCAGGAGAGAAAACCAGGTTGGATACACACGTGTGGGGGCCATTGGCAAGCCACATGGTATCCAAGCTATGACATTTGATGAGATAATGTACAGAGTGAACGTGGATAAAGATGAGGAGGAATCAGCAAAAGAGAAGGAAAGCAAGAGGAAAACCAGGCAAAAGTGGTATGCTGGAACCAAGCAAAACAAAGAATTAAAGGAGTGTTCATCAAGCCTATGTGAGCTCCATTTCTCTCTCTTGGGTTGAAGCAATAATTTTCTGTCAGTCCTGGGCATAAACCTGCTTCATGCCCCTTGGATTGAAAGTGCAAGTCCAGTTGACCTCAAATGCTCTAATGTTGTAATGTCCATAAACTTGGCTAGGAGGACTGCTGTTACCCTTTGTAAGACTCCAAAGTTATCCACTGTCAATGATTAGCTGAGCTCTCTTTCTGACAGTGCAGGGATTCTGAAGCTGTCTGCTTGAGTTACTGTGCTCTCTTCCAAGGCTGTAGGAGTTCTGGAGCTGCTGGCTGGAGAGGAGGGTGGACGAAGCTCTCTCTAGAAAGACATCCTGAGAGGACTTGGCAGGTGAGCACTGTTTCAAGGAATGGGCTGATGGGGTCATAATCCATGATAACCTCACCAATCTTTTAGAGTCACAGCTGGTGAGAAGAGCAAAAATCCTCACAGAAAAGCAGAAATTCCTAGGGACCATGAAAGACAGTACCTGCCAAGTCTTAGGAGGAAACACTGGGCAGAGGAAAAGGCACCTTTATGGCAGCAACAGGGAGAGACGAGGGCAGCTGGAAAAAGGTGGTAACAGGGGGCTGGTAGTTGGGTGGTGGTCAGAGAAGGATGAATCTCAGAGGAGGTGAGACCAGAAGAATGAAGAAGAGCTTATTATGGAAAAAGAGAGGGACCAGCAGGTACAAAGGCAATGTGTAGTTCTGCTCAGGAGCTGGTACAGTAATCTTCAATTCTTATTCCATAGAAAAAAAGGAGACAGAAATGTCAGACACTGTGATGGTTAATACTGAGTGTCAATTGATTGAATTGAAGGATACAAAGTGTTGATCCTGGATGTGTCTGTGAGGGTGTTGTCAAAAGAGATTAACATTTGAGTCGGTGGGCTGGGAGAGGCAGACCCACCCTTAATCTGGGTAGGAACCACCTAATCCAGCATGACTAGAATATAAGCAGGCAGAAAAATATGAAAAGAGAGACTGGCCTAGCTTCCCAGCCTAGATCTTTCTTCCGTACTGGATGCTTCCTGCACTTGAACATCAGACTCCAGGTTCTTCAGTTTTGGAACTCAAACTGGCTCTCCTTGCACCTCAGCCTGCAGATGGCCTATTGTGGGACCTTGTGATCATGTGAGTTAATACTGAATAAACTGTATATATATATACAGTTGTGTATATATATATACACACATACATATGTTAATACTTAGTAAACTCATATATATGCTTATATATATGAGTTTATAAGTATTACTTATACATATGAGTTTATAAAATATATATATTCCATTAGTTCTGTTTCTCTAGAGAACCCTGACTAATACAGATTTTGGTACCAGAAGTGGTTCTAGAGGAAAAGAATATTAAGGATGGAGTTCTTTTGTTGGTTTTGGGGTTTCTGGAGTTGGTGCCTTAATATGATTAGACCCCAAAATACTAAGGACTCTACTTCTAATAGTATGGAGAAGACTGATAGCCCTTGGTGTGAACTGTTTAAAGAGTTATACAAAATAAATGCATTTGACACTCCTGATTCATTGCTCATGAGAGGCAAGGAGTTTAGTGACCCTATACATCATACCTTTGACCATATGTGGAGAACCAAGGAACATAATGAAGCTGGTTGGTTGCTCCTAAGTTCAGTGGATAAAGTGATGAAAGAAAATGATGAACTCGGGGATTCTATCTCACCGCTTCAGAAGCAGATACTGAGCCTCAAATCTGCCAAGATTGCCCTGAGTGAGAGTCTAATCTCCTGTAGAGAAAGAACTGAAATTGTGGAAAAATAGACATAAGCTCTTATCATGTTAGTGGCTGACCTGCAATGAAAGGTGCATGCACAGCCTCACCATGCACAGCCTCACCAAGTATCTACTGTTAAAGTGAGGGCATTGATTGTTTTGCAGGAAGTCAGGGACCCTGAATGGAGGGATCGGCCAGAGCTGAGGCAGAAGAACATAAATTGTGAAGATTTCATGGATATTTATCACTTCCCAAAATTAATACTTTTATAATTTCTTATGCCTGTCTTTACTGCAATCTCTGAACATAAATTGTGAAGATTTCATGGACATTTATCACGTCCCCAATTAACACTCTTATAGTTTCTTATGCCTATCTTTACTTTAATCTCTTAATCCTGTTATCTTCATAAGCTCAGAATGTAATTCACCTCAGGACTACTATTGCACAAATGGATTGTAAAACATGTGTGTTTGAACAATATGAAATCAGTATACCTGGAAAAAGAACAGAATATCAGTGATTTTCAGGGAACAATGGAAGATAACTATAAGGTCTGACTGCCTGCGGGGTCGGGCAGAATAGAGCCATATTTTTCTTCTTGCAGAAAGCCTATAGAAGGATGTGCAAGTAGGAGAAATATTGCTGAATTCTTTTCCCAGCATGGAAGAACCCTGGGGAAGGAATGCATTCCTGGGGGTAGGTCTATAGATGGCCTCTCTGGGAGTGTTTGTCTTATGCGGTTGAGATAAGGACTGAAATACGCCCTGGTGTCCTGCAGTACCCTCAGGCTTACTAGGATTGGGAAATTCCAGCCGGGTAAATTCTAGTCAGAGTGGTTCTCTGTTCTCAAACCCTGTTTCCTGTGAAGATGTTTATCAAGACAATGTGTGCACAGCAGGACATAGACCCTCATCAGTAATTCTAATTTTGCCTTTGCCTTGTGATCTTTACTGCCCTTTGAAGCATGTGATCCTTGTGACCTACTCCCTGTTCATACACCCTCTCCTCTTTTAAAATCCCTAATAAAAACTTGCTGGTTTTGCTGCTCGGGGTCACCATCATAGTCCTACCACTATGTGATGACAGCCCCAGAGGCCCAGCTGTAAAATTTCTGTCTTTGTACTCGTTCTCTTTATTTCTCAGACCGGCCGACACTTAGGAAAAATAGAAAGAACCTATGTTCAAATATTGTGGGCTGGTTCCCCTGATAGATTGGAAAAGAATGAGACCCTGCAACTTGGAATGGGGAGGTATGGGAGGACACTGGTGAAGCTGGGGTCACTGACTTTGTAAACTCCAATGAACTTTTTTTGCCAGAAGAAACAACTTCCTCCCCACCCAGTAGTGGCAGCATTCCCTCCCTAACCCATGCTGCCATCAGCCTTTCCACCTTTGTCTGAGGAGGTAAACTCTGTGCTGCCTGAGGCAATAGTGATGGCCTCCCCTGAGGCAGTTGCCAAGCAAGATAATGAGAAATAACAATCAGTACAGTTTGGCTCTCAGAAAGCCACATCCCTAGGAAAAGGGAAAGAGTACTACATCAGGGGAACATCCCATGGGAAAAAAGAATCTGAACAATAGCCTTGAGCCCCAGATCTTCCCTCTAACATAGCCTACCCAAATGAGAAGGAACCAGGAAAACGATTCTGGGAATATGACAAAACAAGGCTGTTTAACACCTCCCCCCAAAAATCACACTAGCTCACCAGCAATGGATCCAAACCAAGAAGAAACTCCTAATTTACCTGAGAAAGTATTCAGAAGGGCAATTATTAAGCTAATCAAAGAGGCACCAGAAAAGCTGAAGTCCAATTTAAGGAAAAAAAAAAATACAAGTTATGAGGGGAGAAATCTTCAGTGAAATAGATAGCATACATAAAACAATCATAACTTTAGGAAATAAAGAACACAGAGAAAAACACACTGAAAAGCCTCAACAATAGAATTGAACAAGCAGAAGAAATAACTTCAGAGCTTGAAGACAAGATTTTGACTTAGCCAAATCCAACAAAGACAAAGAAAAAAAAAATTTTCAATGAACAAAGCCTCCAAGAAGTTTGGGATTGTGTTAAATGATCAAATCTAAGAATAATTGGCATCCTTGAGATAGAAGAGACATCTAAAAGTTTGGGAAATGTATTCAAGGAAATAATCAAGGAAAACTTTCCCAGCCTTGCTAAAGACCTAGACATCCAAATATAAGAAGCTCAAAGAACACCTGGGAAATTCATTGCAAAAAGATCATTGCCTAGGCACATTGTCATCAGGTTATCTAAAGCCAAGATGAAGGAAAGAATCTTAAGAGCTGTGAGGCAAAAGCACCAGGTAATCTATAAAGGAAAACCTGTCAGATTAACAGCAGATTTCTCAGCAGAAATCCTACAAGCTAGAAGGGATTGGGGCCCTATCTTCACACTCCTTAAAAACAAATTATCAGCCAAGAATTTTGTATCCAGTGAAACTAAGCTTCATAAATGAAGGAAAGATGCAGTCTTTTTCAGACAGAGAAATACTGAGAGAATTCACTACTAGAAAGCCAGCACTACAAGAACTGCTAAAAGGAGCTTTAAATCTTGAAACAAATCCTGGAAACACATCAAAATAGAACCTTTTTAAAGCATAAACCTCACATGACCTATAAAACAAAAATACAATAAAAAAAAAACCCAAGCTACACAGGCAACAAATAGCACAATGAATGGAATAGTACCTGACATCTCAATACTAATGTTGAATGTAAACGGCCTAAGTACTCCATTTAAAAGATACAGAATTGCATTATTGATAAGAATATGCCAACCAAGTATCTACTGCTTTCAAGAGACTCATCTAACACAAGAACTCACATAAACTTAAGGTAAGGGGGTGGAAAAAGACATTCCATGCAAATGGACACCATAAACAAGCAGGAGTAGCTATATTTATAACAGACAAAACAAACTTTAAAGCCACAGCAGTTAGAAAAGACAAAGAGGGACATTATGTAATGATAAAAGGTCTTGTCCAACAGGAAGACATCACAATTCTAAATATATATGCACCTAATACTGGAGCTCCCAAATTTATGAAACAGTTACTACTAGACCTAAGAAATAATATAAACAGCAACACAATAATAGTGGGGGACTTCAATACTCCACTGACAGAACTAAACAGGTCATCAAGACATAAAGTCAACAAAGAAACAATTGATTTAAACTGTACCGTAAAACAGATGAATTTAACAGATATTTACAGAACATTCTACCCAACAACCATGGAATACACATTTTATTCATCAGTGCATGGAACTTTCTCCAAGATAGACCATATGATAGGCCACAAAACAAGTCTCAATAAATCTGAGAAAAGTGAAATTATATCAAGTACTCTCTCAGACCGCCTTGGAATAAAATTGGAAATCAACTCCAAAAGGAATCTTCAAAATCACGTGAATACGTGGAAATTAAATAACCTGTTCCTGAATGATCATTGGATCAACAATGAAATCAAGATGGAAATTTAAAAATTTCTCACACTGAAGGATAATAGTGACACAAGCTATCAAAACTTCTAGGATACAGCAAAGATGGTACTAAGAGGTAAGTTCATAGCCTTAAATGCCTTCATCAAAAAGTCTGAAAGAGCACAAATAGACAATCTAAGGCCACACCTCAAGGAACTAGACAAACAAGAACAAATCAAACCCAAACCCAGCATAAGAAAGGAAATAACCAAGATCAGAGCAGAACTAAATGAAATTGAGATAAAAAAATACAAAAGATAAATGAAACAAAATCTGGTTCTTTGAAAAGATAAATAAGATTGGTAGACCATTAGGAAGATTAACCAAAAAAAAAAAAAGAACAAAGAAAATCCAAATAAGCTCAATTAGAAAGGAAATGGGAGATATTACAACCGACACCACAGAAATACAAAAGATCATTCAAGGCACTACAAACAGCTTTATGCACATAAGCTAAAAAACTTGGAGGAGATGGATAAATTCTTGGGAAGATACAACCCTCCTAGCTTAAGTCAGGAAGAATTAGAAAGCCTGAACAGACCAATAACAAGCAGCGAGATTAAAATGGTAATACAAAAATTATCAACAACAACAACAACGACAACAAAAAAGCCATGACCAGATGAATTCACAGCTGAATTCTACCAGACATTCAAAGAAGAATTGGTACCAATCCTATCGACGCTATTCCACAAGATAAAGAGGGAATCCTCCCTAAATCATTCTATGAAGCCAGTATTACCCTCATACCCAAACCAGAAAAGGATGTAACAAAGAAAGAAAACTACAGACCAATATCCTTGATGAACATAGATGCAAAAATTCTTAATTAGCTGCCAGCTAACTGAATCCAACAGCATATCAAAAAGATAATCCACCATGATGAAGTGGGTTTCATACCAGGGATGCAGGAATGGTTTAACGTACACAGGTCAATAAATGTGATACACCACATAAACAGAATTAAAAACAAAAATCAAATTATTATCTCAATAGATGTAGAAAAAGCATTTGACAAAAATCCAGCATCCTCTTATGATTAAAACCCTCAGCAAAATCAGCATACCATGGATATACCTTAATGTAATAAAAGCCATCTATGATAAACCCACAGGCAACATAATAGTGAATGGGGAAAAGTTGAAAGCATTCCCTCTGAGAACTAGAACAAGACATGAATGCTTACTCTCACCACTTGTATCCAGTATAGTACTGGAAGTCCTAGCCAGATCAATCAGACAAGAGAAAGAAATAAATGTCCTCCAAATTGGTAAAGAGGAAGTCATACAGTAGCTGTTTGCTGTTAATATGATTGTATACCTAGAAGACCTTAAAGACTCCTCCAAAGAACTCCTACAACTAATAAATGAATTCAGCAAAGTTTCAGGACACAAAATTAATGTACAAAAACCAGTAGCTCTGCCATACTTTAATAGCAACCAAGCTGAGAATTAAATCAAGAACTCAACCCCTTTTATAATAGCTGCAAAAAAAAAATACTTAGGAATATACCTAACCAAAGACCTATTCAAGGAAAACTACAAAACCCTGCTGAAAGAAATCATAGATGACACAAACAAATGGAAACACATCCTATGCTCATGGATGGGTAGAATAAATATTGTAAAAATGACTATATTGCCAAAAGCAATATACAAATTCAGTGCAATTCCCATCAAAATACCACCATCATTCTTCACAGAACTAGAAAAAAAATCCAAAAATATTGTATCTATATATCTATATATACTATATATTATATATCTAATATATCTAGATATATATGTATTATATATTTATGGATAACATATCTCCATATATACTATATATAGTATATGCAGTTATGTAGTATATATAACTATTTATAATATAATATATGGATATAGTATATGTATTATTATATAATACATAATATTACATTATATATTATATAATGTGTTATATACAATATAAATGTATAATACCCATATATTATATATAATATATCCATATAATATAGTATATATATTTTTTATATATATATATATGTATTTTTTGCCACACTCCTGTGCCTTTCTTCATTCCAAGCTCATGGATATATAATATATCTATATATCTCTATATCTGTCTATATATATATCATCTTCCATGAAGTCCGTATGGTATGGGAGGGAGACAGCATGAGCTTGGAAGGAAGAAAGGCACAGGAGTGTGGCAATGTATATTACATATATATAATATATATATTATATAAACATAAATATATATAAAAAAGAATTTTTTATATTTTTTAGGTATATACTATATAATACATACATAGTATATATTATATATATATGCATATATATATATATATATATATATATACATATATATATATAATGAAATACTACTCAGCCATGAAAAAGAATGACTTAGTGGCATTCGCAGCAACCTGGATGGGATTGGAGACCATCGTTCAAAGTGAAGTAATTCAGGAATGGAAACCCAAGCATCATATGTTCTCAGCCATAAGTGGGAGCTAGGGTATACATTGGTGCAAAGGCATGAGAATGATACAATAAACTTTGAGGACTTGGGGGAAATGATGGGAAGGAGGTGAGGAATAAAAGGGTACAAAGTGGGTTAAGTGTATACTGTAAGTGTTAAGTGTATACTCCTCGGGTGATGGGTGCACAACAATGTCACAAATCACCAATAAAGAACTTATATAGAAACAACAATTATGACAGCTGTAATTTCTAAAGTGATTGTGTTAGGTCCTGTGCACTAGATGGATAGGACCTGGGATTTAGGATTTATCAGTCCAGATTCACTTTAAAGAAAAGGATGCTACTTGTATTAGTTAGCATTTGCTACAGTAACAAACACCCTATACATCTTAGTAGCTTTTAGTCATGCATATTTTCCCCTATGGGTCTGTGTGTTGCTAGTGGCCATGCTAGGCTCAGCTCAACTCCACATTTCTTGTTGTTCTGGGTCCCAGTCTGAAGGTACAGCATGATCTGGGTTATGCAAGTCTCATGCAGAGGGGAGAAATGTGAGAATTTCTGATGAACCGTAGAATCCCAGACACTCACATCTCGTTGACCAAAGCATATCTCATGAGCAAGCCAAAGTCAATGAGAGGTGGATACATATTCTTCCTCCTAAATGCACTGGGAAGTCACTTGAAAATGAATGGGGATTTATAATCCTAGAATGGAAAGGGAGTGAATTGCTGGGAACAACTATCCCATCTATGACCCACTGTATTTTAAGCACAAGGGGATTTATTACATGGAAATGGGCGTTCACAAAACTGTCAGAAGTGTTGAAGATGTGGGATCTAGGACTGGGTCTGTATCCTCTTATGCCTTTAGAAAACAGCACCCCACAAGGAGACTGAAACAGATGCTGAGTGCCAATTTACTCATAACTACAGCAAATTAATTCCTGGGAAGAATCCTATAAGGTTGGGATGAATCTCCTGAAGCTGCTGATGATCAGTAGAGCAATCTGTTAAAGAAGCTCTCACCTGTGTCTCTTCTTTCTTTTACAGGCCTGAATATGCATTGGCTGCGAAAAGTTCAGGGACTTTGCACCCTGTGGGGTACTCAGATGTCCAGCCGCACTCTCTACATTAATAGTAGGCAACTGGTGTCCCTGCAGTGGGGCCACCAGGAAGTGCCGGCCAAGTTTAACTTTGCTAGTGATGTGTTGGATCACTGGGCTGACATGGAGAAGGTAATGGGGTGGAAAAGAGGCACAGAGTGAGACAATTTTGTTGACTTTTAAAATTCATCCATTAATTCAGTAAATATTTGTTAAGTACTTATTACATGTAAGGCACTGTAATAAGCTATGGACAAGACACTCGTCTTCCATGAAGGCAGTATGGTATGGGAGAGAGACAGCATGAGCTTGGAAGGAAGAAAGGCACAGGAATGTGGCAACCTGGTAACTCCCAGGCAGCCAACACACAGTTTGTTTACACTATATGTAGACTGCACATGCTCTGTTGTGACCTCCCAGGGTGAAATGAGGACTTTTGGTCTGGGGTCGTAGAAGAGGCGGGTTTGAATCTAATAATAGCAAATCAAGCCTGGGCAACACAGCGAGACTCTGTCTCTACCAAAAATGTTTAAAACAAAATTAGCCAGGCATGGTGGCACATACCTGCAGTCCTAGCTACTCAGGAGATTGAGGTGGCAAGATTGCTTGAGCCCAGGAGTTGGAGGCTGCAGTGAACTGTGATCACACCACCACACTCCACAGAGTGAGATTCTCTCTCAAAAAAGTGGGGGGCAAATCAGCACTGAACAAAGACTGAGTCTTCCCAGAAAGTTAGGTCACGTGTCCCTGTCAATAGAGGTGTGCAAGTAAGATAGCTACGAGGTGACAGTTATCAAAAGGGCTTCAATATGAGACATCCAAGAAAGAAAAAGATGAAGAAATTTCTGAGTTTCCTTCCCAGCCCTGAGCGTCTAGAATTTTAATCCATTCACTGCTGATCCATCAATTGCCTTCACCTGAAGTCCTATGACTCTTTCTGTAGGATGGAAGGATTCATTCTGGCTAGGGTAGGGGAAGGGGTGGAGCTACCAGCGTGAACTTAATACATTGGTGCTCAAAAAGAGTCACGATTATGACATGATGTCCTAAGTTCCCTACACTATGAAACAGTCTTAGTGTGGAGATTGCAAATGCCTTGCCTCTAGGCTGAAGACGGCCCTAGGTGTGGGTACTCTTAAAAAAAATAAGGTTCAACATTTTAAAATTGAAAATTTTCAAACAGAAATTTAGATTTCTGGATTTTTTAAAGTTATACTTCCTTTAAATATTGAGGAAGGCCCTTTAAATATTCAGGAAGGCCCTTACTACCATGACTCACCATTCTGAATCCATAAAAGTAAATTTGCTATATAAACATCAAAAAATATTTCCATTCACAAATAACACCATTAGCAAAATAAATGACTAATGAAAACCATGGAGAAAATATTCAACTCATATAACAGCAAAAAAGTTAATAATATAAAGTGAGCTTGTAGAAACCAAGAATAAAAAGGTGCAACTCATTATAAAACCAGGCAAAGTATATGAACAGATAGTTCACAAAAAAGTGAACTCAAATGGCCATTAAATATAAAAATTTCTCACCCTCCCTCATAATAAAAGTAATGCAAGTGATAATTTTGCTGAAATAACTTTTATGCACCTGTCTTGTTAGTCAAATACAAAAGGTTGTTTTTTTCTTTCAGAAAAAATAGTTTAATTATCACAAGACATCTTAGTGGAAGGATGGGAAATATTTCTCAAATCTGCCCCCTTGAAAGCTCAGAGACTAGGGTTTTCAAAGATAATTTGGAGGGCAGGGGGCTAAGGAATGGGTGCTACTGATTGCTTAGGAATGAAATTATAGAGATGTGAGAAATGTCTTCAAGTGCTGAGTTTGTTTCTGGGTGAGGCAGACACAGGACAGGTAAAGTCAGTTCCTTGCTGTAGAATCACAGGTCTAGGTAGTGTCAGTAACTTTTCCAGAATGCAAATGTCTGAAAAATATCTCAAAGGTCAGTCTTAGATTTTACAATAGTGATGTTAACTACAGGAGCAACTGGTGAAGTTACAAAGTGTGACTTCTGGTTACATGACTCCTAAGCAGTAAGCAAGCTAGGGAACAATGGCTGGTTATTGCTTAACTATGCTTATAGCTTAGCAGAATTGAGACCCCTACCATCTACCATAATTCTAATGCTGTGGAATTGCATTAATTTCACAAAGGGGTTTAGGTCCCTGAACAAGAAGGGAGTTGGTTTCAGGAAGAGACTGTTGTCATCCTTGCTTTAAAGTTAAATTATAAACTAAATTCCTCCTATAGTTAGCTTGGTCTATGCCCAGGAATGAGCAAGAACAAAATACAAATCTTTAACAACTCTATTAGCAAGGCTGTGAGGAAACAGACACTCTCATGTGTTACCAAAAAGTGCTATAACTCTGATGGAGGCAAATTTTGAAATATCTAATAAAATTGCTGACATGTTTTGTTTTTGATTTTGCATCATTACTCTCAAACTATGATCTGAGAACCCCTGAGGATACATGAGACTCTTTCAGGGGATATGCGAAGGGTCTATTTTACAATAAAACAGAGAAATTAGAACCCTTATGCATCATGATGGGTATGTAAAATGTTACAGCTATTATGGAAAGCAATATAACATTTTCTCAAAAAATTAAAAAATAGAATTCCCATTCAGCAATTCCAACTCTGGGTATACACCAAAAAAAACTTAAAATCAGGGTTTCTGAGGAATATGTGTACACTCATGTTCACAGTAGCTTTATTCACAGTAGTTGGAAGGTCAAACAGCCCAAATATCTATCAACAAATAGACAAAAAATAAACCATCATTCTCAGCAAACTATCGCAAGGACAAAAAAACCAAACACAGCATGTTCTCACTCATAGGTGGGAATTGAACAATGAGAACACATGGACACAGGAAGGGGAACATCACACACTGGGCCTGTTATGGGGTGGGGGGAGGGGGGAGGGATAACATTAGGCGATATACCTAATGTTAAATGACGAGTTAAGCTGTGCAGCACACCAACATGGCACATGTATACATATGTGACAAACGTGCACGTTGTGCACATGTACCCTAAAACTTAAAGTATAATAATAAAAAAAGAAATATCAGGCAAATCCAACCAAAAAAAAAAGAGAATATTGTATTTTTCAATGTGAGAAGGACATGAGAATTGGAAGGGCAGGAGCAAAGTGACATAGTTTGGATATTTGTTTTCTCTAAATCTCATGTTGAAATGTAATCCACAGAGTTGGAGGTAGGGCCTGGTGGAAGACATTTGGATCATACGGGCAGGTCCCACACGAATGACTTAGCACCATCCCCTTCGTTATGAGTGAGTTCATGAGAGATCTTGTTGTTTTAACATACATGGCACTTCCCCACGCTCTCTCTCTTGTTCCTGCTTTTGCCATGTGATGCACCTGCTCCCCCTTCACCTTCTTCCATGGCTGTAATCTTCCTGAGGCCCTCACCAGAAGCAGATGCCAGCACCATGCTTCCTGTACACCCTGCATAACTGTGAGCCAATTAAACTTTTTTCTTTATAAATTACCCAGTGTCAGATATTCCTTTATAGCAATGCAAGAACAGCCTAATATAGTACCTTATATAAATGAAATCACACAGTATTTGGTTTTTTGTGTCTGGCTAATTTCACTTGGCATGTCTTCAAGGTTTATCCATGTAATATATGTCAGAATTTCCTTCCTTTTTAAGGCTGAAATAATATTCCATTGTTATGTATATGCAACATTATCTATTCATCAAACATTCAGGTCAAATCTTGAATGCTCTGTTGCTTAAAAATTTCTTCTCTCAGATTCCCTAAGTCATTACTCTTACGTTAAAACTTCCACAGATCACTAGGCTATGAACACAATGCAGCCAAGTTCTTTGCTAAAATATAGGAAGGAGGACCTTTGCTTCAGTTCCCGAAAAGTTCCTTATTTGCATTTGAAATCTGGTCAGCCTGCATTTCATTGTCCATAATTCTATCAGCATTTTGGTCACAACTATTTAACCAGTGCCTAAGACGTTCCGAACTTTTCCTCATCTTTCTGTCTCTTCTAAGCCCTCCAAACTCTTCGATTTCTTCCCATGACCTAGTTCCAGAGTTAGTTCTACATTTTCAGGTATCTTTACAGCAATATCCCACTTCTGGTACCAATTTTCGGTCTCAGACTGTTCTTGTGTTGCTGTAAAGGAATACCTGAGACTAGGTAACTTACAAAGAAAAGAGATTTAATTGGCCCAAAGTTCTGCACAGTGTATAGGAAGTGTGGTGCTGGCATCTGCTTCTGATGAGGGCCTCAAGAAATTTACAGTAATGGTGGAAGATGAAGAAAGAGCAGGCACAATAAAGGGCAAGATGAGGAGCAAGACAGAGAGTGAGAAGGTGCCACTCACTTTTAAACAACCAGATCTTATGATCTCATTTATCACCAAGGGGATGGTGCTAAGCCATTCATGAGGGTCCCACCCCCATGATCCAATCACCTCCCACCAAGCCCCACCTCTGACATTGGGGATTGCATTTCAACATGAGACTTGGAGAGGACAAATATTCAGACAATATCATGTATCTAGAATAGTCAAATTCATAGAGTCGGAAAGTAGAATGGTGTTTATCAGGGCCTAAAGGGAGAGGGGATGACGGGTGATTGTGTAACGGGGACAGAGTTTTCATTTTGGATGATGAAAAACTCGGGAGATGGATGGTGGTGATTGTTGCATAACAATGAGAATGTACTTAATGCCACTGAACTGTACACTCAAAAATAGTTAAAATTGGAAATGTTATGTGTATTTTTACTACAAAATTAAAAAAAGTAAATAGATAGAGATACATATATAAATAAATCTAAAGTGATATTTGCCTTTTTATTCTAATTCTTTCACGAGTATACAATAGCATTTTCCAGAAGGTACATGTTGGTACTCACAACAGAGTGAATGCAGAATCAGATGAGAGGATCCAATGTTTTTCTACTAAGACGTTAAAGGGAATTGCAGAATAAATAGACGCAATAAATAAATAAAATAATGCCACTTTCCTCATTATTTTTTCATTTTGAAAAGTTTACTTTATCATTATAAAAAAATTATGCATGCTAATATATAATGGGTTTATTACAGTTATTTCTAAAAGCATACATTTACAAAAATTCTGTTTTAATATCTACTATGGTAGATATTGACAGATATAACTCATATAAATAACAAGTCTTTAGAATTTTCAATACCTTTTAAGATTGTATGGAGGTGCTGAGATAAAAAACCTTACTAAGCACCAACTTGGCAATCCCAAGACTTGGAATTTATCCTACCTGCTTGTGTACCAATGCCCCCTGATCAACAGGGCTTCTCTTTCCTCAGGCTGGCAAGCGACTCCCAAGCCCAGCCCTGTGGTGGGTGAATGGGAAGGGGAAGGAATTAATGTGGAATTTCAGAGAACTGAGTGAAAACAGCCAGCAGGCAGCCAACGTCCTCTCGGGAGCCTGTGGCCTGCAGCGTGGGGATCGTGTGGCAGTGGTGCTGCCCCGAGTGCCTGAGTGGTGGCTGGTGATCCTGGGCTGCATTCGAGCAGGTTGGTAACTGACTACCTGGACAGAGAACTGTCTTCCTTGTGAAGAAAACTGATAGCAGAGAAATGCAGCCACCTCTCTCAAAAGAAGTCTCCTCCTTGGAGCATGCTGTCCTGTATCATATGAAGAAAGACATCTCCCTACTTCCACTTATTTAAGCAAACTATGTGCCAAGCACTTATGCAGGGTGAACAACAACAATGACATAGTTTACATATTCATGGGACTTACAGAACTTTGGAGAAAGCTCTTAAACTATTAATTGCACATGTAAGTATTTAATCAGAATTATGATAATTGGTATGAGAATTCTATTAAAATCTATAAAAATAAATTTGGCAGACTGTGACCTGCAGGCCAAATCCTGCCCAAAGCTTGTTTTTGTAAATAAAGTTTTATTATAACACAGTATTATATGTGGCTGCAGTTGCACTACAGTGGCAACTTGAGTAGTTGGAACAAGAGAGTGTCTTATCCACAAAACCTAAAATATTTACTATTTGGCCCTTTGCAGAAAAAGTTTGCCAATGCTTTTCTAAAAGAAGACTTGAATTAACCAATATGAGGAGCAACTAAGTCTCAATGGAAGTGATATTTGAGCTGAGATCTGCAGGATGAGTAGGATTTTGCCAAGAGATAGAGAGGCTTGTGCCAAGCAAAGGGAACAGCATATGTGAAGATGTAATTATCTGATGATTTCTTCTTGTCCACTTCCCAGAAAAGCCAAACACTGAAAACAGTAGGAGTTGTGGTAGAGAAGAGTTTAATAATTGCATAGACAGCCAAGTTGAAGGATGGAGGATGTTTCTTAAATCCACCTCCCCAGGAAATCAGAGACTAGAGTTTTTCAAGGATGCTTTGGCTTCCAAGGGGCTAAGGAATAGTAAATGCTGATTGGTTTGGCTGGGGATGAAAACATGGGTTGAAGCTGTCTTCTTGTGTTGAGTCAACTCCTCAGAGATCACAGAACTAGTTGAGTTAGTTTCTTGGTATCAGTTACTGATCTGGGTAGTGCAAGCTGGTCCATCAGAATGCAAGGTCTGAAGAACACCTCAAATACCAGACTTAGGGTTTACCATAATGATGTAATCTATAGGAGAAATTGGGGAGGTTACAAATCTTGTGACCTCTGGCTCCATGACTCCTGAACTATAATTCTAACCTTGTGACAAATTTGTTATTTTTCTAAAGGCAGTTTCAATCTCCAAGCACGGACACAGTTAGTTTCAGGAAAGAGCTATTATCATTTTTATTTTAAAGTTAGACTATAAGTTAGATTTCTCCCATAGTTAGCTTGGACTATGTCCAGGGATGAGCAAAGATAGATAGCTTGTGAGGTTGGAAACAAGATGAAGTCAGCTATGTCAGATTTCCCTCAGTGTCATAATTTTTCCAAAGGCAGTTTCAAAGCCACAGAGGAGGGAAACTTGAAAATTATAAAAGAACCTAAAAGGATATCTATGTGCCTGAAGTCCAGGCCATAAAAGAAAGTAGTGGCAATAGAATGAACATGTAGAGGTGGCCAGGTGCTAAACTGGCAGTGCCTTGTGGTCCTTGGTAAGAGTTGTGGACATTTATCCAGTGGTGAATGGGAAATGATTGATGGATTGAGTGACACTCAAACCATTGATGCATTGAGTGACACTCAAACCATTGATGCACTGAGTGACATGATCCTCCTCTGTTTGGATGGTCATATTGGATGCTCAATAGGGAATGGGATGAAGAAGACAATAGTGGGGTTGGAAATCTCAGATAAGAGGTGAAGCGATGGTGATGGCTTCAGTTTCGTTGAGGTAGTAGAGATGGAGATAAGTGGATTTAACAGGCAATTGGGGGGTGAACTAATAACAGGGTTATTCAAAGGAGATGCGAGGGAGAGAGAGAGAAGTACAGACATTTCAGCAAGTGGGTGGATGGTGCTTTCTTTCACTGGAGTGAAGAACACAGATATAGAAAGAGGTATTAGTGTGTTAGGAAAATATCACAAGTTCAATTTGGGCATGTTGAGTCCAGGATGTCCATGTGATGTTCAAGAAGTGATAACAAGTTGGATTTAAGGCTCTAAAATTTGACATGGAGACAGAAATTTGAGAATCATCAACTTTTACATTAAAAGGATGAGAAGTACAGTGGTATCAAAAAGAACCCCAAGAAACTCCAGCAACCTCCTTCACAAACTGCCCTTTCCACCTCTGCTTGCACACAGCCTAATCCCAACTAAAAGCTCCAACCCACCTCATATTCTGGGGACAATGGGCTGAGCATGAGAAAGCAATGGGTAAAGAGAAAGACATGAATGCAGCCAGGAATTAGAAACTATCAGAGGCGACCAAACCAACTGCAGGAACTTGGAAGCCTGTGGAAAGAGAGAACAAGCCAGAGAGAAAGGTGACATACTGAAATTATAGCCAGAAGGAAAGGAGAACCCAGAGGAAGAGATGTGTCTATTGTTCTGTGTCTGACTCAATTGGCCACCATGGTAGAGAAACATTTGAGGATATTTACAGGTATGCAGTGAGAATCCCAAAGTGTTGAGAGTGGGAAGAAAGTGAGCTAAGGTTAAAAGCTATTTAACAGGACAGGCATGTGGTTTAAGCTTCACAAAAAATGAAACCTGTGTAGTTATTCTGTTCTTTTCTTTCTTTCTTTTATTTTTTTGAGACGGAGTCTCCCTCTGTAGTCCAGGCTGGAGTTCAGTGGTGCAATTTTGGCTCACTGCCTCCCAGGTTCAAGCAATCCTCCTGCCTCAGCCTCCTGAGTAGCTGGGATTACAGGCGTGTGCCATCAAGCCCAGATAATTTTTGTATTTTTAGTAAAGCTGGGGTTTCGCCATGTTGGCCAGGCTGGTCTTGAACTCTTGACCTCTAATAATCCACCCTCCTTGGCCTCCCAAAATGCTAGGATTACAGGCATGAGCCACCATACCTGGCCCTAAGTCTAGTTATTCTACAGAATATTTTAATAATCAAAGGAGTCTCATTAAAATAGGAAACAAGAACAAGAATTTAGGAAAGTGATAATCATGGGGTATAAAACCTCATTTATGTGCAAGGAATAAGTCTAATGTTTTAAGATAAATTGTACAGCATGCTAAACACAGCTAATAATTCAGTACTGTAAATTTCAGTATCATTAAGAGCAAAACTTTCTAATGTTCTCATCACAAAAAAATGTTAAATACTTGAGGTGATGGATATGTGAATTAGCTTAATTTAATCATCTCACATTGTCTTCAAAAATTATAATACCACTTTGTACCCAATAAATATATACAACTATACTTTGTGTGTACATAGATATGTAAAACTGAAGGCACTCTCATCTAAGAAAAATGCATTTAATGTCCCAGGGATGAAATAAATTGCCAGGACCTAGAGCTATTGGTGTTTCAAGACCATGGACAGTTCCAAGTGCCTTTCCTCATGATTCTTTAATTATCATATGAGAGTTTTGAATACAGCAAACTCCTGTAGAAAATTTTTTTTGAGGGGTGAGAGTGGGTGAGGAGAATTGTATGTGTCTTAGACTATCAACAATGTGACATTAGCAATTCAATTTCTTTTCTTTGTCTCAGTAGGGCCCTTAAGACTCTGACAACCCAGGGAATCCTAGGTTTCATTCACTCCCTTGTCCTTAGTTCCCTTTTTTATTGACACTCTCTATTGGTCATTACTTCCTCATCCTCTCCTTCCCCACTTGCTCGCTGCTTGATGTTTATCTCAGGCTTCTCTAGGGACAAAGAAAATCATCCTTTCCAATTCTCTAAATTGTTGGCTTCTTTAGGTCTCATCTTTATGCCTGGAACCATCCAGATGAAATCCACTGACATACTGTATAGGTTGCAGATGTCTAAGGCCAAGGCTATTGTTGCTGGGGATGAAGTCATCCAAGAAGTGGACACAGTGGCATCTGAATGTCCTTCTCTGAGAATTAAGCTACTGGTGTCTGAGAAAAGCTGTGATGGGTGGCTGAACTTCAAGAAACTACTAAAGTGAGTATCTACATGTCTCAGCCTGGGTTTTAACTAAAACTGGAAACAGAGCCAAGCACTTAGGTGCAGGTGCTTTATTGAGGAGGTGCAGAAAGAACAGCATGGGACTAGGAAGAGTGAAGCTGGGAAGAAATAAAAGCTAACACAAGGGTATTTTTTTTTTTTTTTTTTTTTTTTCAAATCATTGCAAGGACTAAATGGGGCTTGATCTGCCTGGACCTTCTGAGCAGCATATAGAATGCCTCCCAGGATTGTCCTCTAAAGGATTGAAAAGCACTGATCCATTAGCATCTGGTCCCCACAGGTTCAGGGTTGTCCTGGGGGTGTTATTGCCTCCACACTTCTGGGCTGCGCACTCATGCGTGAAGAGTGGCTCAGAGTTCCATGCTATGGTAAAACAGAGAAACTATGGGGCACAAAGTGAATCACTTGTGATGCACACTGGAAACAACATGATGTTAACACCAAGTGGGTTGAAACCCACCCAGAACAATTTACTGGAACTATGACTCAAATCAGGGGTGAGGCCAAGGTCATGAGGGAAAACCCAAGAGATGGCTGATATACCAAGTTTCTGGGCTCTTCTTTCCACCTCTTGTATCTCTAAGAGAGGCTGATCAAGGGCAGAGGACTTTCCATGTGTTGATAGCATGGAAAGACCTTGATAGTCCTTCCAAAAGCCGATAGCAAGACTGGCTGGATTAATGATTTTCTCTGTCAACATGTCTGAAATCCCTCTAGCAGGGGCACATATGATAGGAAACTTGAAGGGATAACTTCAGCTTTTCCTTTCTAATGCCATGGTCTTTAAGGTAGCTGTCATGGAAATAAACACCATCATGCCTGCTTTTAAAGGCTCAAAATCAGGACACTGGAGATGTCCAAGAGATATGTAGGTGCTTCCAGGGAATAGAAGAGAATGCCAAGAAAGTACTTGGAAAACTTGTATTAATTCCACCCCTCCTGTCCACTTGGTGTCATGCCAGAGCTCTTCACAACAATTAGATTAGCATTTATTGAGTTCTTACTAAGCAATTTGCTCATTTCTTTGGTGGTAGAGATAACTCTATAAGACTTGATCTCACTTTTTTTGCAGATATAAAGTCAGACACAGAGACGTTAAATAAGTAGTTTAAGGTTGCATTGATAACAAAGTGTGAAACTTCAGTAGTTTTCAAACCCAACTCTGATTGACTCAGACTCCCATGATCTTAATCACTCAGCAGCCTCTCTTGTGAGGTGGGTCCATCAACTTGCCCTTTTCAGCACAGTGGGTGGTGGGAAAAGATGGGTCACTTTGATATCTGGTGTCCAGTCTAGCTCTGAAAAAATGACAATCTGTGTCTCTGTCAGTGAGGCATCCACCACTCATCACTGTGTGGAGACTGGAAGCCAGGAAGCATCTGCCATCTACTTCACTAGTGGGACCAGTGGTCTTCCCAAGATGGCAGAACATTCCTACTCGAGCCTGGGCCTCAAGGCCAAGATGGATGCTGGGTAAGCTGAGCTCTTTCTCTCTACAGAGAATTACATGAGTTTTGGAGTTAGAAGGAGAATGAGACCCAATTATATATTAAGTCAGGTCAACCGGGGTCCCACCTTCTGAACATTCATCTCCTGTTGATACAGGATGTGTGGATAGAACAACTTTTCTTCCCCCTTCCTACTTATACATAGACATATGCCTATAAACCTGCAGGCAGATACACACACACCTCTGCACACACACCTCCCTTTCCTCCCCTACACCTTAGTGTCCCACGCATCCTAAGCATGCACCCACCTATATGTACATGTGTTTTGTCTGTGTTTTCAGTTGGACAGGCCTGCAAGCCTCTGATATAATGTGGACCATATCAGACACAGGTTGGATACTGAACATCTTGTGCTCACTTATGGAACCTTGGGCATTAGGAGCATGCACATTTGTTCATCTCTTGCCAAAGTTTGACCCACTGGTTATTCTAAAGGTAAGAGAGGATCCAGTTTGCAGCAGTTATTCAGAGTGAGCCCGAGGTTTGCACACTTCAATTTATTGTAGTTTGTTTCAATTCATCTAATTTTTGCTAAACCCCTGCCATGTGGTGAACAGTGTTCAGTAAACGAGATGGAAATGGTCCCTGACCTCACAGAGCTCATGTTCTGGGGTAGGAGAGAGGCACATATATAGATAAAAGGAGTATGTTCAGGAGAAAGATATTGTAGGTCATTTGTTCACTCAACAAATGTAACGGGCTCTTCCGCTGGTGTCACCTATCAGATAGATGCTGGTGAACCACGTGTAAAAGGGAAAGCTGGAGTATTGGAGGGGATGCCATCTCGCTCTCATGAGTGTGTGTGTGTGTTTGTGAGTGCACATTTCATTTCCTTTTTTATTTGCAGCATAACACACAAACTGAAGGTAAAGTACACAGAGTGCCACCATCCTATGTGTACAGTTTGAAAATAATTTAGCTGTGTTAGATACTGTCTTAGTCAGCTTGGGCTACTATAATAAAATACCATAGTCTAGGTGGCTTAAATAACAGACATTTACTTCTCATAGCTCTGGAGGCTGTAAGTCTGAGATCAGGGTGCCAGCATAATTGGATTCCTGGGGAAGCCCTCTCTTCCTGGCTTGCTGATGGCTCCCTTACTGCTATATTCTCACATGGTTGAGAGAGACAGTGCTGGTATATCTTCCTTTTTACAAATAAAGGCACTCATGCTATCACTGGGGCACCTGCTTCATTACCTTGCATAATTACCCCTAAAAGCCCTGCCTCCAAATACCATCAAGTTGAGGGTTAGAGCTTTAATATAGGGATTTAGGTGGGGACACAACATCCAATTCATATCAGACACCCCTGTAAACACCACCAGATAAAGACATGAAACATTCCCACCACTGCAGAAGGTGTTCATACCCCTTCTCTGACAGCATCTGCCCCCCATAAGTTAATCATTCATTTGATACCTATCACCATAGATTAATTTTATCTCTTCTTGGAATTTCATGTAAATGGAGCCAAATTATATGTAATCTTTTGCATTTGGCTTCTTTTACTCAAAATATTCTCTGTGAGATTAGTCCACGTGTTGCATGTATCAGATGTTTGTTGTTTTAGCTGGCTGCAAAGTATTTCATTATGTGAATCTGTAAAAATGTTCCCCCATCCTATTGTTAATGAACTTTGGGTTATTTCCAATTTAAGATGGTTTTCTAGAAGCAATTCAGAAGAATAAATGGAATTTTTTCCTGTAGAACTTGATGGTACAGCCATTAAGTAAGACCCACAGACTGCAGCTATGCATTATCCTGTAGCAACAAAGCAATGAAAATGACCTCATTTTGCTTATGAAGATACACCCTATGTTGGACTCTATGATAGAGGGATTGGGTTATTTCCCTGCTGTGCCCCCAGATCTCTAATGGCCCATCCAGACATCTATTTGGCTGCAGCAAAGGTTCAAGCTAAGGCATAGATGACATCTTCAAAAGTCAAAAAGTCAGGTGTGATCTGGATTTTCATAGGAAATTATCTTCAAATAATACTGTCATTCTCTGTTTTAAGCAAATTCTTACTCTGTGTCCTTCTCAAAAGGACTTGAACTGGTTTTTATTAAGTTCCACCATTAAAAAAATGAAAACAGACATAAAATTATAAAGCCCATTGGGAAAATTTAGGTTGGAGGTGTAGGGTGGAAAAGACTAAGGAAATTAAGGAGAAATATAGCAAATGAGTATGTAGTTACAAGCTGAGCTTCTAGTAAGGCAAAGCAATAAGGAATATGGGATCATTTTCATAGCTTATATCTGTGTATCAAGCACACTTGAAGGAAATTATTGCATGATACTCACATTTGTCATTTTTTCTAGACCTTTTGCTTAAACCATTGCCATGGTTTGAATATTTGTGCCCCCCAAAACTCATGATGAAACTTGTAAACCAAAAATAAAATCCTAAGGCCCCATCCCGCCAGCCATCTGAATGGACTTCCTCCTTAGCCAGGGTTCTTTTAAAATTTAACCTGAGAGACTGTTTCAGGCCATGATAGGAAGTGGGAGTGGGACATGCCTCATTATACCTCTCTGGTATTAACATCAATACAGACTTTAAGTCTGATTAAAAAAAAAAGATTACAACCTGTTCTGTCTAAAGCCTAGTGCCAGTACCTAAAAGCTTCCTCTGCAAATAAGAACTTGGGTCTCCACAATTATTTATCTTAACTAAGGCATTCCTTTCTATTGATCCCAGGTCTTTAGATAAACTCAACCAATTGTCAACCAGAAAAATTTAAATCTACCTATAAGCTGGAAGCCCCCGCTTCAAGTTGCCCCACCTTTCTGGACCAAACCAATGTATTTTTTAAATGTGTTTGATTGATGTCTTATGTCTCCCTAAAATGTATAAAACCAAGGTGCACCCTGACCAATTTGGGCACGTGTTCTCAGGACATCCTGAGGGCTCTGTCATGGCCATGGTCACTCATGTTTGGCTCAGAATAAATCTCTTCAAATGTTTTACAGAGTTTGGCTCCTTTCATCAACAAACTCAATCCCCAGTGTAACAGTAGTAAGCGGTGGGGCATTTAAGAGATGATTGGGCCTCATGAGGGATTAATGGATTAATGGGTTATCCTGTTAGTGGGTTAGTTTTGGAGAGTGGGTCTGTTATATAAAAAGCCAGTTTTGCTCTACCTCGTGAGCCCCTTTACAATGTGATGCCCCGACCCTCCTTGGGACTCTGCGGAGTCCCCAACAGCAAGAAGGCTCTCACCAGATGCAGCTTCTTGACCTTGGACTTTCCAGCCCCTAGAACTGCAAGAAATAAATTTATTTTCTTCATAAATTACTCAGTCTCCGGTACTCAGTTACAGCAAAAGAAAACAGATTAAGACAATACTCTATTACATTCTGCATAAAGAAAAGCATGGGATGGAGATGGTGTTATACGACAGGAATACATGCTGCAAATAATGATCCCACTACTTGCTGACTAGGTGACCTTGGAGCAGCTACTTAACCTTGTACATCATGGGTTTCCCCTCTGTATCATGAGGATGATAGCACACACTCCGTGAGGTTATTGTAAAAATTAAATGAGATAACACAGGACATGGCAAGTATTCAGTACTAGGTCTTTTTGCAGCACTTGTTTTGAAATGTCTATAGATGTCTTTAGCTTTTCAAAGAACTTTTATATCTAAAATATATTCCAAAAATATTTTCAGGAAAATAAGGCTGGAAACAATCTATTATAAAGCTGGCTACAGAAAGTTAAGGAACTTAACCAAGACAGCTGCTGTGCTCAGGCAGCTGATCTTCCCTTAGTTGCTGGGGGGTGATCTACTCCTAGGGGTGTGTTAACGAGGGCAAGTCTTAAACTGGCAGGAACAGACATCCAGGATTTGACAAAAATGTTTCAAATTAGCCTTAGACTTTTTCACTACAATAATATGTATTCATTTCCCTGTTATTTGTGTCTTCAGGGTGCATGAGAGTTGTGGGGCTCATTTAACCTGAATCAGACATAGTAAACAAGCTAGGGTTTTCATCCAGACCTCTACAACTCCATAGCTCACAATTGTAACCACTGTGCATAGCCATAAGTTGGCATTTGACCTGGTGACCAATGTCTCACCTGGCTCTTGTCTTCCAGACACTCTCCAGTTATCCAATCAAGAGTATGATGGGTGCCCCCATTGTTTACCGGATGTTGCTACAGCAGGATCTTTCCAGGTGATGGGGCTTTGAGGATTGGTAAGAGAGTCTGGCCCCATCCCCCTGACTCCCTCACATACATTCATGCCTATCTATCTGAATCTCTCGCACACAGAGAGCCCCATGAAGCCATTTGCATCATCAAAGCACCCAGAAACCCAGTCTAGGCCTGAGTGGACTTTGGTTCCAGGGAGGCTGAGGGCAAACATTTATTTCTCTTCTTCAGTTACAAGTTCCCCCATCTACAGAACTGCGTCACTGTAGGGGAGTCCCTTCTTCCAGAAACTCTGGAGAACTGGAGGGCCCAGACAGGACTGGACATCCGAGAATCCTATGGCCAGACAGAAACGGTACCTGTTCCCAGGGGAACCATGGGCTGTGTGCACTTTTTGGGCTTCAAAATTCTCTTTGACAATAAAAATTGTTAGCCACCATGTATCATTCATCTATTCGAGAAGTATTTATTGAGCCTCTATGAAGGGACAGGTACTGAGTATTGAAAATTCCGCACAGAACAAAAAAGGCAAAGTTCCTGTTTTCTGGGAGATTACATTCCAGTGAGATTTGGGGAGAGAGAAAATAAACTAAGAAATATCTAGCATGGCAGGTGGTGAGAAATGCGATGGAAAAAGTAAAGTAGATGACATGGGGTGAGAAGTTGGTAAATCAGATATGGTAGTCAGAAAATTCCTCTGTGATGGGGAAACATTTTAGCAGAGACCAAAGTTTATCAAACATGTCAAGCACTGTACAAAGCTACTTAGACTGAAGTGAGGAATGGGAAGAAGAACCCACCATGACTTTACTGCACCTCCTGACATATCTTCTTGGAACTCTTGAGGTCTCATGTGCACAATGTGGATTTATGCTATTCTATACTATTTTACTTATCAAAACTACATGGGGAATACTTTTCCCCAACTCTTCTTCTCCTTTTTCCAGTGCCTCTTACTTGTGACTCTCAGCACTTCTTGCCTCTTCCTCTCCACTCTCTTACCCTGCATCCTTCTTTGGCTAATGAGTACCCTTGGAAGAACTTTTGCAGAAGGTTGACGGCAGCTCTGTGGTATGAAAGAGCCAGGAAGAGCTCTGCAAATATGAATAAGGACAATGGAGTTGTGGCAAGCATACCCTGGCAGGGGCCTCCCACCATTCAGAGGAGGACATGTTTAGGATATGCTTACAAGGACACTCAGGTTCCCATGATCTTAATCACTCAGCAGCCTCTCTTCTGAGGTGGGTGGATAAACTTGCCCTTTCCAGCACAGTGGGTGGCGGGAAAAGATGGGTCATTGTGATATCTTTTGTCCAGGCTAGATCTGAGAAAATGACAATCTATGTCTCTGTCAGTGAGGCATCCACCACTCATTTGTTATTCTGTTGGGAAGGTTCATTTCAGGGTTCAAGCAGAACTGGTGCTGCCATGGGAGATACTTTAAAAAGTATATTTTACTGCTTGAGGAAATGGATACTTCATTCTTCATGATGTGATTATTTCACATTGCATGCCTGTATCAAAACATCTCATATATTCCATAAATAGATACACCTATGTACCCACAAAAATTCAAAATAAAAATAAAAGTAGTATATTTTAGGCCTTACAGATTGCATATTGGTGATCCCATATAGTTTGAAAGGGCTTTGGGTATCCATAGTGTCGTATTAAAATGTGGTTCCCCCTAAAAGAGATTATAATGTGATTGTTAGGTCCTCTTCCTGGGGAGTGGTAGATGGGTTGCTTCCTGAACTAACAATTTAGCGAAGCCCCTAGGATTGTGGTTCCAGTAATGGGGAGAGAGCCAGGGAATGAGGAGCAGGGGGAGCCACCAAGTGCAGGCCAAGTTCAGGACAGTGTCAGGACCTGCTCTGCAGAAATTTTTTCTTTTTCTGTGACCTTGTACCTCCTCCTGAGGTTTGCTGATCTGTCTGCTTCTTTCCACAGGGATTAACTTGCATGGTTTCCAAGACAATGAAAATCAAACCAGGATACATGGGAACGGCTGCTTCCTGTTATGATGTACAGGTTTGCTCGGGACACTGAGGAGGGAGGAAGTTAGGGGAAACACTGATTTTCAGTGATTTATGTTTTCCATTGTTTATTGAGTCAAAAATAATAGAAAGTACTGATATTAAGATAACATAAGAAAAAAAGGAGGTAGGGAGGTTGGGGGAAGGAAAGAGTGAGGGAAGGAAGGAGGAAAAGGGGAAATGATTTATATTCTTACCATCCAGAAGGACCCACTTTGAATAGCTAGCAAATTAGCTAGACAGTACACAAGTATATATGCTTTAAAAACAGAAATGGGGTGAATCTTGACATAATATTTTGTAACTAGCTTTTATCATTTAACAATTTAGGTAAGGATCTTTTCAGTTCAATTAATGCCAACCTGCAGCATGATTTTTAATGATGTAGTAAATAGTATATATCCACTGCTGTTTATGCCTTTTATTGGACCAAGGGATGATGTCCCAGTTTTCACTAGTAAAAATACACTATAATGAATGTGTAGTAGCTAAAGTTTTATTGCTTTCTCTTGTTGTTTTTTGAGAACTAGAATTTGTGTTTGTGTATCTGTGTTATGTGTATAGTTCTGTATATCTAAAGTGTAACTTAGACTCTATTCAGTGTCATATCCAGTTACTTGCCATGCCATTCACTATGATAACCATTTGCTAAGCCCCTTTCTTAGTATCTTATTTCATTCCTATAAAAATCCTGTGAAATAAGCTGTCAGTATCTGTTTTATGGGCGAAAGCACTGAAGCCCAGAGTTTAAGTAGTTCAAAGTCAGCTAGTAAGGTAGCAGAGTAAATTTGAGTTTTGATCTGCCCGATTTCTAAGTCCACAGGTGAGGCAGGTCTCAAAGATAAGAGGAGGCTATTACTTTATCTGAGCTCCTAGAGCCAAAAGCATCTCCCCAGGCTCATCTGGGCCAGTCTCAATAAAAGGATTCACCTAAACTATTCCAGGCAGATAGATCAGAGATCTGAGTTTAAGACTCTTGGGTTCCCCTGGCTTCTGGTTGTTGTTTTCAGTCTCCACTAGAGCAAGAGGGTCTTTCATTTGACCAATTCAGCAATCTCATGATGCCATTGAAGCCATCTCCTGCTGTGTGCATCATTCTTCCAATCTGCTTCTTTCTCCAGATCATAGATGATAAGGGCAACGTCCTGCCCCCCGGCACAGAAGGAGACATTGGCATCAGGGTCAAACCCATCAGGCCTATAGGCATCTTCTCTGGCTATGTGGTGAGAAACTGTGCTCCTCCTCCTCTGTTCCCCAGTGAGGATGGGAGCACTAAACGGGATGAGGGAGGACAAATGTTCTGAAACTTCCAAGAGGCACTAGATGTGGAGACAAAGACTGTCCAGTTTTCAAGAATGTATGCTTTGCCAGTGGAAGAAAAGTGGCTATTCAGCCTTGCCATCCTCAGCCTATCACTGTGATCTCATTGGAAGACTTATTTTTCTTCAGTTAGCCCTTAGACTCCTCAAGAACTCTCTGTTTCATGCCCAAAATATTATTGACCCTGAACTATACACAGCACCATTCCCCCAAGGGCTGCCTTTCCCTCTCCCCTAGGTATCATCCCCATGCTCTATGCCATTGATCTTCTTTAGAGCCATGCCAGGCACTTTACAGTAAGACTTCACCATCTAGTTGGAGGAATCCCTATCTTCAGATCTTGGGAAGGTAAAGACAGATAATCCTTGAATCTGGCCACCTCACTTGACAGGTGAGGATGGTGGAGCCAGAGATTACAAGACTTGCTCAAGCTCACAACCATTAGAAAGTGGACAGAGAAGACCCCAAGGGCATGCCTTCTGATCCCTGAGAGAATTGATTAATAAACTAAATAAACAATAAATCAAATAATAATAGTTTCTACCATTTATTGAATGCATATCATGAGGCAAGCATTGTCCTATAAACACATTTAATCTTTAAACTTTAAACTCATTTAAACTTTAAACTCGTTTAATCCTCCCAGCCACCCTATAAAGTTTTTGGACTCAGTTTGCTCGAGTTCAAAACCCTGCTCTACTATGTATTGCATGATCTTAGGGAAGTTACCTATCTGTCATGTCTCAGTTTCCTCATCTGTAAGTTGTGTGTCGTGAGTGTGTTAAATAAAAGAATTGTTGTAGATCCAAATGATTATTCCTATTATACAGATGAGGAAAACTGAGCCTCAGTGATCAGGGCAGAGCCACACTGTCCCCTTCTCCAAGCATTTCCTTTGTGTGGTCCCACTCTATTCTCAAATGCCAGTGAAGTACTATGTCATGGGCTTCTCCCCATTTGACAGAAAAGGAAACAGACTCAGAAGCGTCTGTGGGGCAGACTCCTAAGGCCACAGAGGCTCCATGATGCCCATGAGAAAGTCAATCCAGTGGCCAAGAAACCTGGCTTCTGGTCTCAGTTCTACCTTCTGTAATGGCTGTTTAGCTTCAGACTAACCTCTTGATGTCTCTGGTCATCAGTATCCCTATATTCCCAATGATAGAGTGAGGCTAAGAATCCTTTATGCCACCATATATAATCCAGTAACTGAACTTCCAGTCTGGAGCCCATGCCCCTATACCTGAGTCAGATAGGAAGATGCACTGACAAGGGATAAACCTCAAGCCTTTTCATTGCTTATAAGCAAGTGCCTCAGCTGAATAGACGGACCCAGCTATTGTAGAAATATGCACATTAGCCAGGGTCCCAGGGGGCTTCCTGGCTAATGTCTCTAGAACTTTCAAATTTAACAAAGAAGCTAAGAAAATTACCTAATCAAAATGATAGCTTTGAGTGGTGCTATGGAGTGAGCAGAGATTAGGATATCTATGAAAGGAGAGATGGAATCAATTGGGGAAAATGCCCTAAGCATGGATGAATGAATACATCAATAATATCTATCAGACTGGACCTAGAGGAGTAGCTGAGAGACCCTGGGTGGAATAACTTCAATAAATGGGAAAGATCCAGTTCTGCCTGTGGCCTAGGGTTGGCTGGTTCAGGGCATGTCTGCCATGTTCAGGTTATACACTGCACACCTGCAGTTTTAATAAGACTCATAGCATTTGTTCATGGCAGCCCCAGGGCAGGGGATTTAGGCTTTGCAGGCACAATGACTCTGTCTTTCTGTGGTCACCAGGACAATCCCGACAAGACAGCAGCCAACATTCGAGGAGACTTTTGGCTCCTTGGAGACCGGGGAATCAAAGATGAAGATGGGTATTTCCAGTTTATGGGACGGGCAAATGATATCATTAACTCCAGCGGGTGAGCTTGGTTTCTGGGTTGGGAAGGGAAATCTGGGTCTTTACTCTGGCTGGTTCCAGACTTCTGGAATGGCCTAGAGGTTCGGTGTCCAGTGTTCTCTGAAGGACAGGTTCTTCTGCAGGTACCGGATTGGACCCTCGGAGGTAGAGAATGCACTGATGGAGCACCCTGCTGTGGTTGAGACGGCTGTGATCAGCAGCCCAGACCCCGTCCGAGGAGAGGTGATGGGGAAGCAGTAGCCTGGGGGTGAACACATATGAACACAAGGGCAGTGTAGTATGATGGTTTAAGAACAGGGACTGTGGGGCTGAACACTCTGAGACCCAATCTTGGCCCTGCCACTTACTAGCTATGTGACCTTGGGCAAGCTACTTGGCCTCTCTGTTTCTCAGTTTCCCCATCTGTAAGATGAGGGATTGTTATGAGGGTTAAATGTGCTAATATTTGTAAAGTACTTAAGTATGGTGATTTCTAAAAAAACTAAACAGAACTACCATACGATCCAGCAATCCCACTACTGGGTATTTATCCAAAGGAAAAGAAATCAGCATATCAAGAAGATGTCCACACTCCCATGGTAATTGCAGCACTATTCACAATACGAAGATATGGGATCAACCTAAGTATCCAGTGGATGAAAGGATAAATAATATGTGGTATATATACACAATGGAATACTATTTGGTGTTAAAAAAGAATGAAATCATGTCATCTGCAGCAACATGGAGAGAACTGGAGGTCATTATGTTAACTGAAGTAAGCCAGGCACAGAAAATAAATATCACGTGTTTGCACTCATGAGTAAGTGCTAAAATAGCTGATCTCATGGAGATAAAGAGTAGAGTGATAGATACCAGAGGCTGGGAAGGGTGTGTGGGTGGGGAAGTGGGGGATGAAGGGAGGTTGGTGAATGGGTAGAAGCATACAGTTAGCAGCAATAAGTTCGAATGTTCAATAGCAGAGTAGGGTGACTATAGTTAACAACCATGTATTGTATATTTCAAAATAGCTAGAAGAGAGGACTTGAAATGTTCTCAACACACACAAATTATAAATACTCAAGGTGATGGACACCCCAAGTATCCTAACTTGATAATTACCATATTTGCGTGTAACAAAATGTCACTTGTACCCAATACATATGTACAAATATTATGAAATGATAAAAACTTTTATAAAGTAAAGTGCTTGGTTGGGAGGCCGAGGCAGATGGATCACGAGGTCAGGAGTCCAAGACCAGCCTGGCCAAGATGGTGAAACCCCATCTCTACTAAAAATACAAAAATTGGCCAGGCATGGTGGCAGGCATCTGTAATCCCAGCTACTCAAGAGGCTGCGGCAGGAGAATCACATGAACCCGGGGGGCGGAGTTTGCAGTGAGCCGAGATCGTGCCCCTGCACTCTAGCCTGGGTGACAGAGTGAGACTCTGTCTCAAAAAAAAAAAAAAAAAAAAAGAAAGAAAAAAAAAGAAAAAAAGAAAGTGAAGTGCTTGGAACAAGGCCTAGCACATAGTAAGTACTATATAATGTCTATTTTGATGAGGCTGGAAGGATTCTATCCTGCTGTTTGGTATTTGAATCAGAGTCTGATTCCCGACCAGAAGAACAGAGGAGGGATTTGAGCCAAAGGACAGAGCCCGTGTGCCACAGAGTTCGCAGTGAAAATAAAGGGAAAAAGAAAGACCCCTATAAAGCCAGGCTTATAGAAATAGGCTCAGATGGGGTCTAGTGGACTTTGATGTGTGTGTAGGAAAATATTAAGGTGGGATGTGTGGATCAGTGTCCTAGCACATTCCCGCAGGGTGTAAGCCTGGCACTATCATACCTCTGGTACGTACAGAATACATCATACAGAAAATTATGGGAACCACTGAGCAGTGAGGCCATGGGGGATCCCCTGCTGAGAAAATCCTGTGTGCCCAGCTCTGAGCTAGCCCTGCTGTATATGATTTCATTTTATTTACCGTAAGTTAAATTTGGCAATTTTATCCCCACTTTACAGATGGGAACACTGAAGTTTGGAGAAGTTAACACATTGTTTAGGGTTATGGTTTTCAGTCTATTTTTCTCTTTTCTCCCCCTGTATCTTCTTTCTCCTTATCTGTCTCTATTGTTATTGGAGTATGAGGTGAGCCTAGTCTCAATCTTTTGTCCACCTGCTCCTCCAATAAATGACTTCAGAGAGAGCTGTAACCTCATTCATGTCCCCAGTTTTCTCCTTTTCCCTTGACCTGGATCACCGGGGGTGCAAATGAGGAGATACAAGGGTGATGGAAGTCTTAATGCCAATTTCACATTATTCCAGGAGATGACTACACACTCTAATCCCTTCTCTCTGGCCTTCATCTTTTTTGCAGGTGGTGAAGGCATTTGTGGTCCTGGCCTCGCAGTTCCTGTCCCATGACCCAGAACAGCTCACCAAGGAGCTGCAGCAGCATGTGAAGTCAGTGACAGCCCCATACAAGTACCCAAGAAAGGTAAGGCCTTTGAGCTCCCAAGTCACTCAAACTTGAGAAATAGATTGTTTTCCTGTTATATTTATCTTCTTCAGGAGGAGGACAGTCCTCTAATTTTAAAAAGTCTTCCTGGCTGGGCGCGGCAGCTCACGCCTGTAATCCCAGCACTTTGGGAGGCTGAGGCGGGTGGATCACCTGAGGTCAGGAGTTCAAGATCAGCCTGGCCAACATGGTGAAACCCCATCTCTACCCAAAATGCAAAAATTAGCCCGGTGTAGTGGCATGTGCCTGTAATCCCAGCTACTCAGGAGGCTGAGGCATGAGAATCACTTGAATCTGGGAGGTGGAGGTTACAGTGAGCCGAGATTGTGCCACTGCACTGCAGCCCAGGTGACAGAGTGAGACTCTGTCTCAAAAAAAAAAAAAAAAAAAAAAAAAAAAAAAAAGTCTTTCTATGATCAAGAAAGCCCAGAAAGACAATCTAGCTTGATGCCTGAAAAATGACCTCAGCTTTTGACTCACTCTGAATTAAAAGCCAAATGCTATCAAGGGAATAAGTTCTAGCCAGTATCTTACCTGTATTCCCATTCTCTGCACTGGGTTCTTGCTATAGTATTCAGGGTTGTGCAACGCTCAGTTGCAAGTGACAGAAATCTAGCTTGACATTTATTGCTCATGCAATTGAAAAGTCCAGGGGTGGGGAAAGCTTTCATTATGGCTAGTCCCAGGCATTCCTAGGATGTGGTCAGGTGTCTCTCTTTCACCCTTTGACTCTCTTTCCTTTGTAGTGGTTTGATTTCTTGGAATGCTTTTTCTTTGTGGCTCTATCAGCTCCAAACATATATTCTCAGCAGCTTAGAAAACTCCAGTAGAAAATGAGCATGTTTTTCTCCAAAGGCCTCAACAAAATTCTCTGGGTTGACTCTCACTGGACCAACTTGGGCCATGTGTCCATTGCTAAATGAATCCCTGTAGCCAGGCCAATGTCACACTGATTAGCCAAGTCATCCTCAGAGAAAGTGCAGGGGGGATGGGGGAGAGAGCTGCCCTACCCCATGACATGGACTGAGAGGGAGGGGTGGCTCCCCACAGGAAAAGGGAAGTGTTCTTACGAGAAAAGACAAAAGCATAGTTTTCAGCTTCTTTCATTCTGGGACAGAGAACTGAGGCACAGAGGTTGACAAGGCAGGAGAACCCAGTTATTGGATTTGGGTCCCAGATAGGAGCTTGTCCCAGAGAAAGAAAAAAAATTGAGTCTAGGGTAGAAGGTGAGAGCAACTATGCTGAGCTTAGAGTCCCTTAGATTCTTATGTAGCCCAGATGCCACCTGCCTTTCCTCAGCACAGGCTAATTGTCATAGGTCTTCTGAGAAGCAGGCCATGGGGAAAGAGGTTACCACGCAAGAGGCTTATTAGGGAGTGTTTTGGAATCAACCCCTGGGGGAAGGGAGAGGAAGGGAAAGAAAGGAGCAGAACTGAGCAGACGGTGAGGTTGCACTGTGACTTAGTCTCAATGGGAACTCCAGCCAATCCCATGGGAGTTCTGGAGCTAGTATAACCTTTCAGTGTTGTCCTAAGGCAAGGTGAGGAAGGGAAGGGGGTCTTTACAGTCACAGGTGGATCAGGTATAGATGTGTAGGCTGCCCTGGGAAGGAGTGTGACCTTGGACAAGACAGCTGTCTCTGGCTGAGGCAATCCTCATATTGGTCTGGCAGTGGGGTGGGACTTCTTTGTCCCTGGAGGAGGATCTCAGCTGCATATCAGAGTCCACCACATGGACTTGCAGCCTCTGAGAATGAGGCAGCATAGCACAGTCTCAGGAATCAGACTGTTGGGTTCAACGTTCACCTCCACCAGTTACTCAATAACCTCTGTGATCCTCAGTTTCCTTATTTGCAAAATGAGAATAATGCTGTTACCCCTTCACAGATTGTTAAGGATGAGTTCATTTAAGAAGGCATCAGACACTTAGAAGAGTGACTGGCACATAATAAACATTTAATAAGTATTTACAAAGGAGTTTAGAAATCCAGGCACACCAAAGATATTACGAATGTTTAAGTATAACTGAATATTGTAGAAGGCTGAGTCAAGGAGTCCTACCACACAGTGTGCAGTGTCTTACTCAAATATCTCAATAGATGTGTCTCTTTCTGCAAGTCTCTCCTCTAGAATTCTCAAGGCAGCGGATTATTTGCACCTTCCCCCTCCTTCCACCAACTACATCCAGTCCTTTCTACTTCTCTCTTCATGACAAGCAGAGTAGCTTCCTTCTTAGCATTAAATCTGGATACCTCCTGTGGCTTTCATCCACTCTCTATCTACCCTTCGGGGCCCAAATAGTAAATATTTTAGGCTATGTGGTCTTTGTTGCAACTACTCAACTTTGCCCATGCAATGCTAAAGGTTGACAGTTTCTAAATGCATGGGTATGAGTGTTTCAATGAAACTTTATTGATAAAAACAGGAAGTGGGCTGTATTTTGCCTGCAGGCCATAGTTTGCTGACCTCTCCTCCATTTCATTGTGTTTTGAACAAACTCTTCTCAACAAAGTCAGTCTTGACTTATAGAAGAATTCTTATATCAGCCACTAAGAAGATACTTTTTCCATCTCAGTATCCCTATTATTAAATTAAAGTTAATAAAGGGTTAATTTTTATTAATTCAAGACCATCTAACACTTAAACCAATGGCATGGCAACTGAGCCATATCACTGGAAGCCTCAATGAGGCATCTTCACCATCCATATCTTTGGATTTGGGAATATAAGAGATAGAGGATCCTCAACTTCAAACATTCCTTTTAACAAGATCAAATAGTGAAATTGGAGAGATTTTATAGTTTTGCTTAGGGTACATTGATAGGAAATGATTGATGTGGAATTCAAAATGAGGTATCCTAATTCTTAGATGTCTAAAGACCTCAGATTAACCCAGATTAATAACCACAGCTAATATTTTTCAGTGGTTACTCCATGCCAGTAACTTAGCCTTCATAATCTCCTTTTGTCCATGTAATCACCCAATGAAGTTACTATTATCCTCCATCTTACTCAGTGGGAAAACTGAGTCTTAGCAAAGCCAAGGACCTGGCTAAAGCCAGATGATTGGTAGAGGAGGAGCTGGGGTCCAGAGAGACTGATGTCAAGGCTCAGCTGGCTGACTGCTGTGCCATGTTGTGTCTGTTATGCTGTTCCTTCTCTGTCTGAGAATATGTCAAAGACCTTTATGCCCAATTCTAGCCATCCTCTTATTGTCCTCATCCCAGAGCACTTTCTGAAGCTTCTTATTGCACAGGGCAGCTGCCCTGAAGTGGCTCCAGCCTGAAGAACTTCCCCTCACCCTACAGCAGTTCTGAAAAATGCAACCCACTGTCGTCACAGATCACCCACCCTGGACTGATTTGTTTTTCAACAGATAGAGTTTGTCTTGAACCTGCCCAAGACTGTCACAGGGAAAATTCAACGAGCCAAGCTTCGAGACAAGGAGTGGAAGATGTCCGGAAAAGCCCGTGCGCAGTGAGACATCTAAGAGACATTCATTTGGATTCCCCTCTTCTTTCTCTTTCTTTTCCCTTTGGGCCCTTGGCCTTCCTATGATTATATGAGATTCTTTATGGAAGAACATGAATATAAGTTTTGTCTTGCCTTGGTTATTAGCACAAAACTTTACCATGTTAGATGTTGAAAGAAGAAAGGGAAGGAATGAGAGAGAGTGAAAAGGAGAGGGTAACAGAAAAAAAGGAAAGAAAAGTAAGTCAGGGAAATATTAAAACTGCAAGGGAAAGCAATTGAAAAAGAAATAAAGTAGGGAAAGAAGGAGAGAGGAAGCAAGGGAAGGAGGAAGAAAGGAAAGAGGAGATGAAAGGGGGAGAAAAGATAGAAGAAAAATAATTGAAGGGAGAATCAGAAAAATAAAGAGCAGAAAGGAAAGAAATAAAGAGAGAAAGAGAAAGAAGAAAGAGCAAAAGAACACAAGAAAGAAAGAGAGGGAGAAAGAGAGGGAGAAAGGGAGAGAAAAAAATTGTAAAAATAAAAATAGTAAAAGAAACTGATAAAGAAAAGTAATGGAAGACAGGAAGAAAAGAAGAGAAGGAAGTAAAGAGGAAAACTTATAAATATTCCCACAGATAGACAAAGTCAAGCATAAAACTGGAGCTTGAGAAGGAAATGAAAGGCCGTGGCACCTTCTTATACCCTAGAAGAAGACCTCCATACAGGAAGACTTGTGTGTGGGGTTGGGACATTAGAATCATCCACAAGTCACCCCAAACCTTGGAACTGTCAGGGTCAGAGGGGAACCACCATTTATTAAGCATTTGCCATGTGCCAGGCACTAACCCAGATGCATTATAAATACCACGTTGTTTCACCTGTGTGTGGCATCTACAGACCTTAGATCATAGCTGTGAGAACAACGTAAGCACTGCCAAAGTTATCAGCTACCCATATCTCATGTTTTTGATGTTATCTACTCTTCCTAGAATCAAATATTAAAATAATTTTAAAACCAAGATCCTGACAATAGTCTTTGGGAAAAACAAAGAAAGGCAGGGATGAGGTAAGTGTACGCTTCCAAAAGCTTGTGAGTTGGGGAATCCATGAAGAGAGACTGGGGAGGTGGTTTTGTTGAAAGAACAACCAGCACCTCAATTCCTGGGGCTTCTGGGACACCAGATCTATGGTCCAGGAGATGGAGAGAGGTGAGCACTATGAGGATTTCACCTACAACCCAGAGATGGAGGATGAATGTTCCTAGCAATTTCAAGTAAGTAGGAGAAGAAAGCAAAGGTTCTCTGAGAGCCCATGACTCTTCTTAAGAAGACTTAGTAATAATAACAACAATAGTAATAATAATATTGATCATTCATCAAGCACTTGCCAAGAGTCAGGTGCTGAGCAACTGACAAAGCAAACGCCCATATTAATCCTACTTAAGGTTCACAATTACCCTTTGGTTCAGGCACTATTATTTTTTCCATTTTCCAAAGGAGCAAATTAAGACTCAGAGATATTAAATGACAGAGCCGGGTTCTAACACAGGCCAAGCTGCATGCAACACCTATGCTTTCAGTTTCTATACTCCATCAATTTGCTTGTCTTGGCTTCTGGACCTTCACAAAGCCACTCTCTCAGTCTGTACTTGTTAGGGTCCTCCAGAGAAATAGAACCAATATATACATATATGTACTCCGCAACTTAGGATGGGGTTACATCCCGATAAATGTATCACAATGTCAAAAAAATTGTAAGTTGAACCATTATAAGTCAAGAATCCTCTGTACACACACACACACACACACACATACAGAGAATGAGAGAGAGAGCGAGAGAGAGACAGAGAGAGAGAGAGAGAGAGAGAGAGATTGGCTCAAAGAATTATGTAGTTTGAGAATTCCCAAGATCTACAGCTTGGAAGCTGAAGACCCAGGAAAGCCAATGTGTATATCCAGTCTTAGTCTGAAGACCTGAGAACCAGAAGAACCAATGGTGTAAGTCCCAGTCTGAGGGCAGCAGAAGACCAATGTTCCAGCTCAAGAAGTCAGGCAGGAGGATTTCCCTTTTACTCAGCCTTTCTGTTCTACCTAGGTCTCTAATTGCTTGGATGAGCACCCCACCCCCACACTAGGGAGGGCAATATTCTTTATACAGTCTGATTCAAATATTAATCTCATCCAGAAATATAGACATACCCAGAATAATGTTTGGCCAAAAGTCTGAGATCCCCGTGGCCCAGTCAACTTGACACATAAAGTTAACCATCACACAGTCGTCTTACAAAATATACACTGGAAGGCAGATATACTGTGATATGCTCCCCCTATAGTTCACTGAAATACAGCAGATATTTGTTGCCCATAGCAGAGAAATGCAATCTGCTAATCAAATACAAAACTTTGTTTTTCTCAATCTGAATTTATCAGTGTTTGAGGGAGTCTCATTTAACTGAAAGCTTCCAAGAATTTAAAATGAGGCAGATTGCTCATTCTGACACTTGGATTCATGTTTAGTTTTCTCTGTCCACTGCATGCTTGCATAGGCAGCAAGAGGTCTCACCATCACTCTTCATGCTGGATGATGATCTGCTGATAAGGCCTCACATTTCATCCCCATTTTCCCAGTGTCAATAGCCCCTCAATCTCCCAACCTTAAGAGATGTGAAAAAGAATTATACTTTATAGATGCCTCTGTGGACAGCAAGGAAGAAAGGGGTATACCCAGCTGGGAGATCTTGGTGCTGCCTTAGAAACACCTGATGTGGCTTCATGAGGTGACTTCTGTTTTGGAGGTGAAGTGGAAGACAGCAGCAGTGGAAAATGATGATGGGTAGAGATATGTAGGGCCAATGAGTTGGAGACATTTTAGAGTATGCCATAACTGAGAAACTATGGATATAGAGGGAAACTAACCAATTTTTAAAGGAAGATTTCCAATTAAAATCAGTGTGAACACCCAACCCATTACCATGTTGTCTAAATAAACTTCACTGGTTTCTGTTTTAGCAAACATTATTGAGTTTTGAGGATTTGAACTCTAGTTTCTACGACTGCCAAATTATGCAAAGACTAGACTACATAGGCTCCTAGTATTTATTGGGATTATACATTGGTGAGCATATCATGTGAGGATCACATAAAGGTGTCGTTAGTAAGAATGGAAACTTCTAAGTAAGCAAGTGAGATTTGGGAGTAAATCCTGGCCCATCGTCTGTCATAAATGTTGTCTTAAATAAGCTTCATTAAGTTGCAAGATGTATAAACCTATTCAGACTAGCAAAAAGTATTCTATTTCAAGGACCCGTGGATAATTTCACAGGATTGAGGAATATGGCAATCAACCAGCTCTCATAAGGGCATAACCAGCTACTTGTTAGAAAACCAAAAAAAAAAAAAAAAAAAGCAAAAACAAACAAACAAAAAACCATCAGGAGCCCAGGAAGCCACTCTATCCAGCTCCGTGGGAACAGATTACAATGTATCTATCTCTTTTTCCCCTTCAACTATGTGTATCCTTTTTTTTCCTTGTAAGTATTGAGACTAATGTCATAAAGTGGCTTCTCCCACCCTCTGGCTTCATCACCCTCCAGCTTCAGTGCCACTACCTAAATTCCAGAGAGAATGAATCTGATTGATCCAGCTCATGTGAGTTGCCCACATGTACTCTGATTATCACAGAGTACAAATATGGCTACAGGGGCCCAATTTCTTTGGACTGGGAAAAACTTTCAGAGAAAAGGGACAAAGGGTGGCATGAGACACCTCCTAATTTGACTACCCATTTAGACACAAACTAGCAAGTTTTTGCAAAGATTGAGCCTACCTTCCAACATTCCTCAATGCCTCTTTCCTCCTTCTTGCTAAAAGCCTTTCTCTCCATATATAGACCTTCTGCCCATTCAGTCTCATTGAAATCTTGATAAAGGCTGAGACTTCACCTGATTGTTCCCAGGACCCTGTCTAATGAGAGCCCAGTTGCTGGAGAAAATATCTGTCTAGTCAGGCTCTCTCTCACTGTGAAAGGCACTGAGAGGATTTAATTCGTAGAGTGATTAGAATCTGATTTCCTAGATACTAATTATCTGCGTGCCATGCCCCTTGAAGGAGGTTTCCTGCTAACTCTGGCTGTCTTTCCTTTTAACCTATGGCCTGCTATTTTTATCTGTACTGAGAATATATTTTTGATCACATCTCCTTACTCACCACCCAATCCATGAGTTCATTAACTTCTCCAGGCTCAGGGATGATTGATGATGGAAACACATCACTTTTAAAGGAAAGCTATACCCTACCCACAGTATAAAATCTGCCTCCCTTCCCTCCTCACCCCCAACTTTAATCTCCTTCTGCCTATGACTTTGACAAAGCAATCGTAATATTCAACCTGTATCTTTCACAAAGACTGGTTTGCTATGACTACTATGAAATCACCAACTCGCCTTTCTCAGGATGAGGCAAAGCTAGACCACTTTATCCTTTCTGCTCATTTTCTGGTCTTTACTTCCAAACAATATCTTTTGAGTCGCTCTGAAAACATAGACTCATCCACACCTACATACACACATATATCCACCTATTCTGATCACACAGTGCTGTACAACAAGTTACACTAAAATATGGCAGTTTAAAATAACCACTTCTTTATGTTCACAAATTCTGTGGGTAAAGAATATGGAAGGGGAATAGTGGAAATGGTTTCATTCTGCTCCAAGGTCTAGGGCCCCTGCTGGGAGGACTTGAAACCTGTGGTGACTTGATGGCCTAAGGCAGTGCCTTTCCCTCAAATTCATATGTTGAAGCCCTGACCTCCAGTGTGATGAAATTTGGGGATGGGACCTTTGGAAGGTGGGATAGAATGAGGTCATGAGGCTAGGTCCCTCATGATGGCATTGTGGCTTTATAAGAAGGAGAGAGAGAAAGAGATGATCCTCTCTTCACCATGTGACTGATGGCAGCGGCAGGCGGTCTGGGGCGGTTGCTGCTGCTACTACTGCACCGGCTGCAGTGGGGAGGTGCCAGCAGTGGTGGCAGGGGCAGCTGCGGGAGCAGCCGTGGCAGCAGGGGGACCCTTGTACCTCATGTCTCCTGTGCCGCGTCCCCAAGGCAGCCGACTGCACTGCCCTCACCCTTGCATGGCTGGGCAAGACCCACCCTAGGCCTGGAGCCTACACAGCTCCGGACCCTGGCCCCGTGTCGCCTTTCTCGCCTTTTGCCACTGCAGGGAGGCTGTGCGGAGGAGGCAGACAGTCCCCGAGCGGACCCTTTGGAGCTCCCCAGAGCCCGTCGCCCTGGGGGCTGCTGCAATGGGTCCGAGTCGAGTTGGAGGGGAAGCAGAGAACTCGGGCAGAGAGGGGCCCCAAGGTGGAGCTGCGACCGGGGCGGTGCCACGCTTGCACATGGGGCCTGGGCGCTGGGCCAGGGGCCTAGGGCTGGGGTCGTGGTTCAGGGGCCCAGGGCAGGAAATGGGAGTGGTGCCGGCTTCGGGGACTCAGCCAGCAGTGCGGCTGCCCCGCCCACCCCACCGAGGGCCCTAGGTTCCTGAACCTAGGGAGGAGGCTGTAAGTGGGGCCACCAGGGGCAGTGTCCCTGGGGTCAACTGTGCATCAGGGGGACCGCCAAGCCTGACACTCCCAACGGCCAGGCCTGGGAACCAGCGATCCACTCCCAGAGGCGTCCCCGCAGGCAGGGCCACTTAAGGGGGAACCACGGGCAATCCCTGAGCACTGGGGCCACTGGAGGGGCTCACGGCGACATTACCCCTGCCCTGGACACCAGCCCAGGCCCAGCAAGAACCTGGAGCCCCGGCCCAGGCTGCGAGGAGGCGCGACCCAGGCTAGACGATCCACAGAGCTGGTGGAAGCCAGGGACAAGCAGGAACCCTGTCCCTTCTGAGTTGGTGGGGTGGGAGCCACCTCCCCATCTCGTGCAACTGCAGCTGACCTGCCGGGGCTTCTGAGCCAGAAGTCTCTTCACTCCGCACCCTCGGGGGCCTGGGAAGATCTCCCTTCCTCCACAGGCTTGGGGGTGTCTGCCCTCGTTGCCTGGCCTCTCCCGGGCCTGGGAAGATCTCCCTTCCTCCACAGGCTTGGGGGTGTCTGCCCTCGTTGCCTGGCCTCTCCCCATCCCAGTGCCCACAAAGTTGGGGCTGAGCCTGGGCACTGTTTTCGCACGCTTGGGGCAGCACTGACACTCCAGTCCCCTACCACCTCAGCACCCTGTGGCCTTTGGGCCCCAACGAACTTGGTGGGGGGAAGGCCGAGACTAGGGCTGAGGGCAGCTTGCCACTGGTCTGCAGGTGCCCCTTGGTGCTAGCCAAGGTGCCCATTTGAGCCTGGCGCCCATGCCAGCACCTGGAGCTGTCCGCCCTGCTGCAGCAGGGGCACAAAAGATTCCTGCCAGAATAGCAACACCCCCAAGATCTTGTAACATTTGGGGGGCTTGTCTGGAATCCGCAGAAGGGTGAGTAAAAATGGATCTGTTCTTTCCATCCTTTCTTGGAGTCCCTAAATGCCACAATAATGAAGATGAAAGAAAAATACTGGGTCTCAGTCAGTTAAAAGTGCCTAGTGTGGCTGCCAGACTTACAACACGGAGGACAGGCTTGCTGGGGAGGATGCTGTCAATCCCCCATCATCCTCAGATGTTGGGAATGTTGGCTTTGTTCCAATCCAGTTTCCCTTCATGGCGGTCTAGCCCTCAGGTGGGACCGGAAGGAGGTCCTGGGTCAACTGAGGGTATCTGGCCGAGGCTACACCTGTGTTATCCAAAGGCCCATGGACCTGGTCCCTGACCACCTGTTAAGGTGTCCAGTCTTTTCTATTGTTTTTTCTTTCATGATTGTCATAGTTCGTATCTCTTCTTTATGTACAATGTTAAATGTTAAGCATGTTGCAAACCACAGAGATAATATTACTGGGTAGAATGAGCATTTGGCTTAGTGGTCAAACGTATAAAATTGAAGGCTAAGATTAGCACAGATGAAACAAAATGTGCCTTAGTATCTGTACGTAAATTTGTGGCAGAAATGTTCTTGTCATTTCCTTCATTGCCAACTTAGTGCCAAGCACCCGAGACACAGAAAAGAAGTATGGCCTCACGAGGGAAGCATTAATTTCAATACCATCCTACAGCTGGTCCTTTTCTGTAAACACAGGGACAAATGTTCTGAGGTCCCATATATGCAGGCCTTCTTTGCTTTGCAGGATAATCTGGACCTTGGCCAACATTGTAGTATTGATTCAACTCTCCTAGTGGCCACCTTGGGAGAGGCTGGAAGGGTCAATCCCAGGGAACTAGGAAAGCAAACCTCAGAGGTACCTCCCACAGGGGAATCAATTCCCTTTGCTCCTCCCTATCTGGGTTGTCTCTCAATCTTGACTTAGCCTAGAAATTTTGGTTTTAGGCAAGATCCAATCTCAACTGTCCCCATAACACATGCCTGGTGAATATGGCCCCATTAAGTTCCAGGTCCCCTTTTCTTTTCAGGACTTAGGGCAAATTAAAAGGGATCTTGACAAGTATTCAGAAGGCCCTGACAGGTATATAGAGACTTTCCAAGTATTTGAACTCTTCTGGAAGGATGTCATATTACTTTTAAATCAAACCCTGACTACCGTTGAAAAGCAGGCCACCCTGCAAGCAGCAGGCAATTTGGGGGATGAGCTTTCTATCTCATATTGGGCCAGGGAAGGGAATGAGTCTTATCTGATTGGAAGAATAGCAATATCATTGGAGGACTCTAAATGGGACCCCAATGATGAAATAGGAGAGTGGAAGAGGAAACATTTTCAGATGTGGATACTGGAGAGCTTATGAAGGACTAGGACTAAGCCTCTCAATTACACCAAGCTATCCGTGGTGGATATCCAGGGATTAGATGAGAATCCCACTGCCATCATGGGAAGGCTAAGAAGGGGCTTGGTAAAATACACCTCTCTATCTCCCAATTTAGTAGAGGGACAGCTGGTCCCAGGGGATGAATTTATTACACAGGTGGCCCCTGAAGTCAGGAGGGGGCTGCAGAAATGGGCTGCGGGACCAGATGGTACTTTTGAGGGCCTCCTGGGAGTGGCCACCTCCATCTTTTGCAGTAGGAATTGGGAGGAAGTCCAGAAAAGAGAGGAGAGTTACAGGAAAAAGGCAGAGGTTCTAAGAGCGGTCTTGTGGGCTCATGGACTCCAGAGTCCCTGAGATGCACCTGCTGACTGCTGCAAATATGGTAGCCTAGGGCACTTTAGGACAGCAGGGGGAAGCCACTTTGACCCTGTCAAGTTTGCAGTGAGGACCATTGGAAAGCGAACTGTCCCCAGAGATGTGGGTCACTGGGTCCAGGGCCAGTATTCCAAATGGTGCAGTAGTACTGATGGGTCCCAGGGTTCCTCTCCCCAGCTCTGGTAGTTCAGAAGGCCAGTGCCACCCAGGAGCCCCAGGTGATTCTAGGGGTCAAAGGAAAGAGGGTGGACCTCCTCCTGGACTCTGGAGTGGGCCTTTCAGTTCTCCTCTCCAATCTAGGACCCCCTCCTTTCTTGGCACAACCATGAGGGGCATCAGGTCTCCTTCCTCCACCATGTCCGGAGTCAACATAGTCCTGTAAATACATGGAGCTTTTCTATGTGAGGGATTAGCTGTTTTTCCTTTTGGGAGGAACCTTATTAGGCCAGGTGCCCAATTCTTGGGACTCCCTTTCTCTCCCTTGTTTGAGGAGGACCTGGTCCCACAGCTCCACCTGCTTATGATAGGGAAGCAACAGAGGAGCTGCCCCCTCCAGTTCCTAGCTGCAATTTGGTGAGGGCCACCTGGGACTAACTTAATGGGTCCATACACCTTCCTGAGGCACCTTTTGTTCCAAAGCTTTGGTTTGAAGTCCTGGAATGGAACACTAGACCAAAGGTTACTGACAGTGGGAATCAAGGGGCACAGCACAGGTGAGCACGACTATTGCTGTTGATTAGGCCCTCTCACTCCGTGGATGGAGGTCATGCTCACATCCATGACATAGATAAGATCTAGGAAACTCAAAGCTTACTGACAGTGGGAGGCTTCGGCACCGCCCAGGTGAGTGTGAATATTTCTGCCAGCTATGCTTCCCTATTTCGTGGGTGAAGGTCTTCTTGCCCCCAGGGTCGGCACCTTCACAGGTCACTGGGACTCAGGGATATAAGGTCAAAAGAAAGAAAGGAATGCCTTCTTTTCCCTCCCTTATGTACCCTGGGTGTTAGTTAGAAAGAAAAAGGAACAAAGGGATGCCTTTTTCCCCTCTTTCCAGATGAGTAACCAATCATCTTCAGCCTGCACTGCACTCCTCATGAGTGCATCCTAAATCATGGAAACTCCTTTGGACCTCAGACTCTGGAGAAAGGAAAAAAAACTTTTCTTTTCTTCCTCTGTCCTCTTTTCACAGATGGTTAATCATGTCTCTGTACCACAGGACACTCCCCTCAGATGCATCCTGGGGAGAGTTTAATTTTCTCAAATCTTAAACTGCTTGGCAATCTCTTGAGGAGGGACAACTGTTCTTTGTCTGTTCCCCTGCACAGGACTCCATGGCTCAGGGGAAGGGAACCCAGAAGCCTGACAACTGTTCTTTGTCTGTTCCCCTGCACAGGACTCCATGGCTCAGGGGAAGGGAACCCAGAAGCCTGACATGCAGGCAAAGGGTAAAAGTTCCTACCAGTCAGATTTCTGGCCTCTCCCTCTGTCTCTGTACAAAGTGGTTGCAAGAATGGTGAAAAATGACTGTATTCTCTGCCTCCCTATGAGTTCAAAAGCCAGAAGTATTGGCCATTTGGCACGGCTAAGGTTAGGTAATAAGAGATTTAAAAGGACTTCTTAAAAAGGAGAGCTATGGTTAAAAGTCAGCTTAATTAAAATGGATATCCAAGCTATAGGTATATTTAACAGGACTTGATGTCTCTTTGTGGATCTTGTTTTTCTGGAAAAAAAGGATTTTCTTCTCAGTTGACTGAATTATTTTCCCCCATTTTGTCTTGCCACTCTTACTGCACACATGAGAGGCCCTAGGATAACTTCGGATGGCCTGGGACTCCTTGGGAAAATGGAGGAGGCACCACTGACCCTGTTTTGGGAAAAACCTGTTACCCTCACAGAACCCCAGGAATCTCTCTCAAAATCTGTGCCTGTCTATTAGGCCTTAGAAACTGCATGTTTTCCTAGTTCTGTTTCTTGAAGGGCTCAACCCTGAGGCCAGTAATCCAATTAAGAGATTAGCACATGAAAAATCTGACAATTCCTGGATTTCCTTCTGTCTGTCTTTGTAGTTATATATGTGTTATGTGTGTGATGTTTATATAAAAGAGCTCTAATTGATTGGCTGAGGGAAAATAAGTGCTTATATCAAATATTCTTAACAAAAAATAGAAGCTGTAATGCCTTTTAGTTGACATGACTTTAATCTTTGAGAAATAAAAAGAGTTTTAAAGATTATTCATAAAATGAAAATGTCTTCAAAATGTACACATGTGATCCAAATTATGTAGACATGCAGTTCATATCTGAAATAATTCAGATATTAGGCTTGCTAAATGCTTTAAGGTCATAAACTGCTTCTTTGGCTTTTGAAAACTGTTCAACTTGCCTGCTTTACAGTTGGTAAGGCCTGGGGACATATGGAGTTAACCACACCACTAACTATGCTGGAAAAAGTCAGATCTTATCCACACCTAATACATAATTAAAATAACTTACCAGGTTTTAAACCAAAATTAAAATGGCTGAGAGTTAACTTTGTAATATATAGTGGAGACTAGTGAAAATAGATTTACATGCAAAGTTTGTAAGGAGAGTAAAATGTGGTTTTGGTAAAAGATTATAAGAAGGCATGGGAATGTAAATTTCTGCATAAGTTTAGAGGGTTAAAGAATTCCTGGCAAGTTAAAGGTTTGAACAAATTGTGGAAGGTATAAAGGGTTATAAAAGGTTTATAAGAATCTCACTTCATGGTCAAACTCAGATTGGATGGATTTTTCTGTAAGGTTTCATTACCAAAAAATGAGGTTGACATTAATAGTTGACTAATGCAAGGGTGAAATTTGGCTTTCTCTTGCTTGAACAAGATTTTAGTGTAATGGAAGATTTTTGTTTGCCTTGTGAATAAACTTCCAAAAAAAGAAGGGAAGGACAAAAGTTAGATTGCTTGGAAAACTTGGTCTTCTCTCTTAATGAGTAAAGGTTTTTGTTTTTCAAAATTTAAATGATCTATTTTAGCTAAATGGATGACTTATGGTAATCTGAAATTCTATTAAGTGTTTTAAGCTTTCAACATATTTGGTAGGCTTCCCAATATCAAGTTTCAGCTTTGAAATCATCTTTTCTAACCCTTAAATTTGGATGCTACAGAGGGTCCCTGGAGCATCCAAAGGAGAAGTAAACAGGATTATTAGACACGTTTAGTTACACAGGATTGTCCAAATAAGGTGGTGTTTAATTTTCAGGTTATATTTTAGTGAATAATGTTAATATGTGTTCTAAAATAGTATGGGATTTCTAAAATTCTGATGTCTGAGTATGTGTTATTAATCATAATTAGGGTTATTTTGTTGGGTTATTGTAGACCACAGAGGTGACTAAATTTCTTTGTCAATCGTGTTTTTGACTGTAACTACCCTAGGACATTTTGACATTCACAGACAATTGTCTTATTTTGATCCTCTTCAAAAGATGGATTATAGTCCTCAAGGGCAGGTTTTTGATAACTTTAGAGACTGCGAACAAGAGTTGACTGGGTGGACTGAACTAATGGAAGACTGAAGTAATATTTTTGACCTCTTGCTTAGAACATTGCTAATCCGTTGTTTTGCTTTTCAGAGTCAAAGAAGCTGTTCTTTTGAGTTATTTGCAGCTTTTGACAATTGAGTAAAGCATATTCTTGTGAACCAACCAGTGATTTATGACTGCAGCTGAGAAGAGACAAGAGGGATGGCCCATCAAACTCCAAGCGGTAATGCAACTGGAGCCTCACACAATAGCTCCCTTTTTACCAGGGATCCTTAGATAGGTCTCTGAGAGAGATCCAACTGCCGTTTTCCTCAAAACAACACCCCATGTCAGCATGAAGCAGTTAAGAGTGGTCATCATCCCTATCCTTACAGCAGTTAGATGTACGTCTTCAGAGGGGGGATTGATGGCAGTGGTGGGCCATCTGGAGTGGCCACTGCCACTTTGCCAGCCATAGTGGGGAGGTGCAAGCGGTGGTGGCAGAAGCAACTGTGAGAGCAGCAGTGGCAGTGGGGAGACCCCTGTGCCCTGCATCCCCAAGGCAGCCAACTGCACCAACCCCAGCTTTGTGTGGCCAGGCAAGACCTGCCCCCAGGACCAGAGCCTCCACCACTCCAGACCCTGACCCCGCATCACCACTCTTGCTCCCTGCCACTGCAAGAAGGGCATGGACAAGAGGTAGACAGGCCCTGAGCCTGCCCCTGGGAGCCCTGGGAGCCCTGGAAGCCCTGAAAGCTGCTGCAATGGGTCCAGGATGAGTTGCCCACTGGCGGAGGAGCAGTGAGGTCTGGCAGAAGGGGGCCCCAAGGTGGAACTGGGCCCAGGGTGGTGCAGTGCTTGCACATGGAACATGGGTGCCAGGCCTGGGGCATGGAGCTTTGGCAGCACTTCAGGAGCCCAGAGCAAGAGGTTGGAGCAGCATCCACTTCGGGGCCCTGGCCAGCAGTATGGCCACCATACCCACTTGTTGAGGGCACCAGGTTCCTGCACTTCGGGAAGAGGCTCTGCTTGGGGCCACCCAGGGCCACATCCCCAGGTTCCACCCCACATCAGGGTGACTACTAAGCCTGACACTCCTGATGGCCAGTCCTGGAACCTGCAATTCACTCCTGGAGGTGCCCCCACAAGGCAGGGCCATGAGCCAGGCAAGGTGGAGCCCCAGGCCAGCCCTGAGCACCAGGGCCATGGAGGGGAGCTCATGGCAATGTCGCCCCTGCCCCAGACACCAGCCCAGGGCCAGCAAGGACCTGGATTCCCCACCCCAGGCTGTGAGGAGGCACAGCTGAAGCTGCATGCTCCATGGAGCCAGCGGGAGCCAGGGACAAACAGGAGCCCCACCCCTTCTAAGTTGGTGAGGTGAGAGCCCCTTGGATGCAGCTGCAGCTGCCCTGCCGTGGCTCTACGCTGGAGCGTGTCTGCACTCTGTCCCTTCAGGGGCCCGGGAAGGTGCCTCCTGTCCCCACAGGTTTGGGGATGTCTACTCCTGCTGCCTGGCCTCTCCCCACTCCTGGTGCTCACTTTGATATCCAAGCATGGTTGGGGCTGAGCCCTGGCACTGTCACAGCCTGGCTAGGTGTGGACAGGCTGGGGCACTGCTGACCCACCAGCCCCCTGCCACCTTGGCCCCCTCTGGACAGGTGGGAATCCAAAGGGTATGCTGAGGACAGCTCACAGTGTGAAGGCAGATGTTTGCATGCCAGGAAGAGAACCCTCACCAGGAAATTAATCAGCCAGCACCTTAATCTTGCACTTCCCAGCCTCCAGAACTGTGAGAAATACATGTCTGGGGTTGAAGTCTTCCAATCTATGATATTTTGTTATAGTAACTCAAGCTGAAGTATTCTATCTGGGATGAGTGGAAGGAAGCTTCACTCATGGGGTTTCAGCTGGGGCTGTTGGCTGGAACACCTACAAGAGGCACCTGCATGTGGCCAGGACTTCCTCACAGCACAGTGGCCTCAGACTTTTACTAGGTGATTTGAACCTACAAATACAATTAAGGTTAAATCACCTATGAAGATTTAGTCTCAGAAATTACCTAATCAATGAGCCGCTAATGTCAATTCAGATTCCAGGAGAAGGGACAGATTCCAGCTCTGGATGGGAGGTATGTCAAAGAATTAGTGGATGTGATGTAAAACTACCACAATACCTCCTCAATGTAATCATGTCCTGAGGCAACACGTTCAAAATCCACATTTAGGATCCACCGCACTAATTCATCGACGGCATGGTCCTGTTGAGGAGGTATCCAACTTACACTAATAATGGAGCAATGACCATCTCAGTCTAAGGCAAGGTTTGTATGTTCAGAGGGCTGCATAGAAACTGCTATAGCAGCTTCCCAAAACATTAGAGAAAATCCATCCTGTAAGATCTTTAAGACAAAGGAGGCCACATGTTCCAATAACCCCCAAACCCAAGAGGTAATTCTTACAAGCTCTGTGATACAGAATGGTATGTTCTTGACATCCCCAATCAATCATTAGCTCTGGAGGATTCCCAGGCTCCAACCGGGAAAGTGCATTTGTAAATGTGTTGATGGCATGAGGTGCCCCAGACTTCACGCTATTATCTGTAGATAGAAGAGGAACTTGTACGTAAATAACTTGGAGGGGAGGAGCCAGCTCATTTACATTCAGTCTTATTTCAGTATCAGGTCCAACTTTACAGAAATGACAGAGGCAGTTGTCACTGTATTGCATGATATTGAGTTTGGACTTTATTTGGAAAGTAAGGTGACTCATGAAAGTATATTAAGCAGACCAATGAACTCAGTCAACTATGCATTTTTTGAGGGCATTTATTGTTCTACTAGCTTGGAATTTGACTTGGCTACAAGGGTGATGTGCTAAAGGATCAGTCCCTGAATCAAACGCATCTGTAACTTGGTGCATTATGTACATATTTTGTTTAGATTACTCAAGCAAGGTGTACTTTTCTTTTCTTTTTAGAACCAGCATCTTCCTCTGTCACCCAGGTTGGAATGCAGTTTTGATTTTGATTCTAGAATCAACATGTCAGAATTCCAGGAAGTGAAAATGCTCTGAGGCAGAATACAACTTAGCTTGAATCTCGAATACTGATTCCAATCCAAAATGCTCTCCTACATTGTCCTGAGAACTCTTAATATGTCTTATTAAAGACAAAAAAAGAAGAGGCGTATAAAAGACATATTAAGGGTTCCCAAGACAATGTAGGAGAGTATAAAAGTATAGCCAAGTTATAAAACAGGATGTCTTCATAAAAGAGGATGATTTTGGAGTATAAAAGTATAGAGTATGAAAGTACAGCCAACTAAAGCCAAGTTATCATAAAAGTATAGACAAGTTATCATGAAAGAGGATGATTTGGGAGTTGATTTTTCTAGGTAAGCTAAAATTCACATGCTCACAATGAGTATTGGTGGCACAGATAAATCAAATAATTCATAACTAGAATTTAATTATAGGGCTTTCACTTCAAGTATCATGATCTTCAAGTATCTTGAAGTGAAATGTACTATGTAGTATTTTCCATAGGATCAATCTTTTGATAGGTACCAACTATAAGCCCTGGACAAAATATAAATCGCAACTTCAGGGCTGGGTGTGGAGGCTCACCCCTGTAATCCCAGCACTTTGGGAGGCCAAGGTGGGCGGATCCCGAGGTCAGGAGATCGAGACCATCCTGGCTAACACGGTGAAACCCCATCTCTACTGAAAATACAAACAAATTAACCAGGCGTAGTGATGGGACCTGTAGTCCCAGCTACTCGGGAGGCTGAGGCAGGAGAATGGAGTAAACCAGGGAGGCAGAGCTTGCACTGAGCAGAGAGAGTGCCACTGCACTCCAGCCTTGGCGACAGAGCCAGACTCCATCTCAAAAACAAACAAACAATCACAAAAAAAAAAAAGAACAACTTCAGAATGCATTAGAGATTAGGCAGCACAAAAATAAATTAGGAAAAATCTACCTTTGAAGAAATAAATGGCATGGAGTGAGTTTTCAATTTTTATGGAAAAATTTCAGGAGAGAGAGTCAGAAAAGAGGAACTTCAAATTTTGTGTATAAATTCTTCCCAAATCCATGGCTGATCCCTGAAATACACAGAATCCATGCAGCCTCAGGCTAAAAGAAATGAATAAACAAAACAAAATCCAGAATCTCTACAGTATATTAATGACAATGGTCTATATAAAATCTAAAATTACTAGATACACAAAGACACAGGAACACATACTCATTTGCAAGAGAAAAACAACATCAATGGAGAAAACTAAAGACTCAGATGTTGGAATTAGTTGAGAAGGATTTCAATAACAGTGCTATAGCTGTAATGATTATGCTCAAGGACTAAAATAAATATGTTCAATATGAACAATAAAAAAGTTAGTGGAAAAATAGAAATGATTTTAAAATTGAGACTATTTAACTAAGAATGTATTACTCTAAATTAAAAATGAACTTAATGGACCTCATAGAATATTGGAGATCTAAGAAATTTAGCATACTTGAAATTAGTTCAAAGGAAGTTAGCAGTCTTAAGAATAGAGAGAAAAATATTTTTATAAAAAGTGAAGCCTCAGTGAATCATGGAACAATGTGTGTGTGTGTGCGTGTGTGTATATATATATAATTGTATATATATATAAATTGTATATATTATATATATAATTGTGTGTATATATATATATATAATTGGGGTTCCAGAAAAAGACAGAAAAAATATTTTAAGAAATAATGACCAAAAGTTTTCCAGATTTTGGTGAAAGATATAAATTTACAGATCCAAGAATATTAGAAAAATCTAAAATGGGAGAAATACAAAAAAGAACAATACTTAGGCATGTCATAATCAAGCTTCTTAAAATCAAAAAGAAGACAAAATTTTGAATGAAGACAGAGGAAAATGATACATTACACAAGTGGGACAATTGTTCAAATTACCACTGACTTCTCAACAGAAACAAAGGAAGCTAGGAAGCGATGTCAGCAAGATGGCAGAGTAGGTTGTCTCCCACTCACATTCCCCAATAGCAACAAAAATGTCTCATCCATTCACAGGCAAAAGTGCCTTTGTGAGAACCTGAGGATTTAGGCAGGAGTTGTAAAACCCCAGTGGAGCCCAAGACCTAGGAGAGTTGTTTTGAGAGGGTAGACCCACACCCAGGTGGCAAACTCATTGACTGTGGTCCTAACTCCAGATTTGGAAATGGCCCCATCTGCCTCATGTTTAGTGAAAGCCCTATTTGGACTTGATCCTGCTACCAAAACCACCTGCCTGGGGGTCTGACAGGAGGCAGTCATGCACAGTAGTACATCAGAAGACAGGCCCACTGAACTTGCTCTCAACTGAGGCCCTGAAACAACCATCTAACTCAACTCCAGCCCATCTCAGCTGCAGTAAGCAATCAGTCCTGCTTGCATAAGGACCCAGAGAGAGACATGCCCATATGAGTCCCTAGGGCAGGATTTTTGGATTTTAGTCCCCAAGGAGACCAGAAAGGGCCCTCAATCTTGCCTCCAAACCCTCTCAGCAGCAGCCCAAGAGCAATTTTGCCTGTACATGGAGCTGCTGAGAGACTTGCCCATCTGTGCCACTAGTACAGCCTTGCCAACTTCAGTCGCATTGCAAATCCTGAAATGACCCTGAATTTCAGCCCAAGGCTCCCTCAGCTGAGGTCTAAGAGCAGTTCTGCCCAGCCAGGGAATAGCTGGGAGACAAGTCCATGTGAGCCCCCAGGGTCATACTTGCCAACCTCAGTCCCCATAGCAGATCCTGAAAAGGCCCTGCATCTCAACTCCAACTTCACTTAGCTACAGATCGAGAGCATGGCTGCCTGCCCAGGGACCCACTGTGAGACATGCCCATCAGTGACACCAGAGGTAGGCCTGAATATTTCGATCTCAGTTGTAGACCTTGAAGCAGCCCTGCAACTTGGTTTCTGCCCCTCTCAGCTGCAGACTGGAGCAGTACTGCCTGTCCAAAGTCTCACCCAGTGGTCCAGCAAGAGCCTTCCTGGGGACCTGGAGGAGTCATACCCATTCACAAACTGGGCAACAGGCCTATTCCTGTGCACCTGAAGTAGACCATCAGCCCAGTACCAGCCCTTTGGACCAAGGTCGTGGAGACAGTAGAGACCACCCTGGGCCCAGACAGGATCCATGCCTGCTAGGGCCCCTGCTACTAGGCTCACCAACTGTGGACTCCACTGTGGACCCAGCAGCAGTCATGTTAATTGGTTCCAAAAGCATTTGGCTACAATCCCATAGGCAAACTCATCTGCCTGGGAACTTAGCAGAACACAAACCTGCCAAAACCAGTTTCTAGGGCCTGGAAGAAGTATTTGCTCTTTCAAATGCACAGATGCAAAGGTTACATGAATAACAAGAAATCAGACAAACATGAAACCACCAAAGAAAATTAACAAAGCCCTAGCAACCTACCACAAAAAATTGGATATCTATGAATTGTCTGAAAAAAATTCAAAATAATTATCTTAAAGAAGGTCAATGAGATGCAAGAAAACACACCTAAACAACTAAATGAAATTTGAAAAACAACAATGCCTAAAAGTTTTTCTTGCAGGGTATGGTGGCTCATGACTGTAATCCCAGCACTTTGGGAGGCCAAGACGGGTGGATCACTTGAGGTCAGGAGTTCGAGACCAGGCTCTCCAACAAGGTGAAACTTCAACTCTACTAAACATACAAAAATTAGCCATGTGTGATGGCACATGCCTGTAATCTCAGCTACTTGGGAGGCTGAGACAGGAGAATTTCTTGAACCCAGGGGGTGGAGGCTGTAGTGAGCTGAGATTGTGCCACTGCGCTTCAGCCTGGGTGACAGAGTAAAAGCCTGTCTTAAAAACAACAACAACAACAATAACACCTTTTGGCAGTGTACAATTATTTTTTAATGGAATCTTTAGAATTTTTCTACATATAAGATCCTATCATCTGCAAACAGAACTAATAAACAAATTCAGTAACTTTGCAGGACACAAAACCAACATACAAAAATTAATAGTGTTTCTATACACTAACAATGAACTATCTAAAAAAGTAATCAAGAAAACAATTCCATTTATAATAGTGAAAAAATAAAACACTTAGAAATAAATTTAACTAAGGAAAGTAAATTACCTGCAAACTGGAAACTATAAAACACTGATGTAAAAATTGAAGAAGACACAAATAAATGGAAAGATATCCTGTGTTCATGGATTGAAAGAATTAATATTGTTAAGGTGTCCATATTATTCAGTGTGATCTATGGACTCAATGTAATCCTTGTCAAAATTCCAATGATATTTTTAACAAAAATAGAAAAAACAATTCTAAAATTCATATGGAACCACGAAAGATCTCAAATACCCCAAATATGCTTGAACAAAAAGAGAAAAGCTGGAGGCAACACACTCCCTGACTTCAATATACTACAATATGCTGCAAAACTATAGTAATTAAAACAGCATATTATTGTCTTAAAAACAGACATATACATCAATGCAATAGAATAGAGCCCAGAAATAAACTCATGCATTTACAGTCAATTGATTTTTGGCAAACTTCCTCAGATAACATAATGAAGAAAGGACAGTCTCTTTAATAAATTGTGCTAGGCACCAACATGGCACATGTATACATATGTAACAAACCTGCACGTTATGCACATGTACCCTAGAACTTAAAGTATAATTTTAAAAAAGGTGCTAGGAAAGCTGAATATCTACATGCTGAATAATTAAATTGGATCTCTTATCTCACACCATATACAAAAATAGACTCAAAATGGATTACAAACGTGATATCTGAAACTGTAAAAGTATTAGAAGAAAACATAGGAGAAAATCTCCATAACCTTGGTCTGAGCAATGATTTCTTGAATATGAAACCAAAAGCACAGGCAGAAAAAGCAAAAATGGATGAATGAAATTTCATCAAACTGAAAAGTTTCTGTACAGCCATGAAAACAATCAACAGAACAAAGAGGCAATCTACGGAATTAGAGGATATATTTGCAAACCATACATCAGATGAAGAGTTAATATCCAATATATATAAAGAACTCAAACAACTCAATAGTGAGAAAACAAATAATCTGATTGTAAAATGGGCAAAAGATCTGAATAGACATTTCACAAAAGAGGACAAACAAATGGCCAACAGGTATATTTAAAATGCTCAAAATCGGTAATCATCAGAGAAATGTAAATAAAATTACACTGAGCTATTACCTCACACCTGTTAGAATGGCTATTATAAAAAAGATGAGAAATAATAAGCATTGGAGAGGATTGGAGAAAAGGGAACAACTTAAAGTGTATAAGAATATACTGTTGGTAGGAATTTAAATCAGTAAGCCAGTATGGAAAACATTTTGAAAGTTATTCAAAAAATTAAAAATAGAATTATCATATGATAGCTTTATTCCCACTACTGCATATATAATAGTATATATTCCCACTACTGGGTATGTAAATCTCATGCCCTCACATTTCAAAACCAATCATGCCTTCCCAACAGCCCAAAGTCTTAATTCATTTCAGCATTAACTCAAAAATCCAAGTCCAAAGTCTCATCTGAGACAAGGTGAGCGCCTTCCACTTATGAGCCAGTAAAATCAAAAGCAAGTTAGTTACTTCCTAGATACAATGAGGGTACAGGCACTGCATAAATACACACATTTCAAACTGGCCAGAACGAAGGGGATAAAAGCCCCATGCAAATCCATAATCCAATAGGGCAGTCATTAAATCTTAAAGTACCAAAATAATCTCCTTTGACTCCATGTCTCTCATTCAGGACACACTGATGCAAGAGGGGGGATCCCACAAACTTGGGCAGCTCCACCCTTGTGGCTTTGCACGATACAGCCCCCATCCCAGCTGCTTTCATGGCCTGGCATTGAATGTCTGTGTTTTTTCCAGGCACATGATACAAGCTGTCAATGGATCTACCATTCTGGGTTCTGCAGCATTGTAGTCCTCTTTTCATAACTCCACTAGGCAGTGCCCCAGTGGGAACTCTGTGTGGGGACTCTTACCCCACATTTCCCTTCTGCACTGACCTGGCAGAGGTTCTCCATGAGGGCTCCACCCCTGCAGCAGACTTCTGCCTGGACATCCAGATATTTCCATACATCCTCTGAAATCTAGGCGGGGCTTTCCAAACCTCAATTATTGACTTCTGTGCACCTGCAGGATGAACACCATGTGGAAGCTGCCAAGGCTTGAGGCTTGCACGCCCTGAAGCCATGACCTGAGCTGTACCTTAGCCCCATTTAGCCATGGCTGGAGTGACTGGGACACAGGGCACCAAATCTTGAGGCTGCACATAGCAGAGGGGCCCTGGATCTGGCCAAAGAAACCATTTTTTCCTCCTAGACTTTCAGGCCTGTGGTGGAAGGGGCTGCCATTAAGGTCTCCAACATGCCCTGGAGACATTTTCCCCATTATCTTGGAGATTAGTATTTGCCTCCTCTTTACTTATGTAAAATAACCAATTTCTTCCCAGAAAATGGGTTTTTCTTTTCTACTGCATCATCAGACTGCAAATTTTTCAAACTTTTATGCTCTGCTTCCTCTTGAATGCTTTGCTGCTTAGAAATTTCTTCCACCAGATACCCTAAATAATCTCTCTCAAGTTCAAAGTTCCACAGATATCTAGGGCAGGGGCAAAATGCCATCAGTCTCTTTGGGTAACAAGAACAACCTTTACTCCAGTTCCCAAGAAATTCCTCATCTACATCTGAGACCGCCTCAGCTTGGACCTTATTGTTCATTCCACTATCAGCATTTTGGTCAAAGCCATTCAATAAGTCTCTAGGAAGTTCCAAGCTTTCTCACGTCTTCCCGTCTTTGGAGCTTCCAAGTTTCTAGGAAGTTCCCAACTTTCCTACACTTTTCTGTCTTCTTCTGAGTCCTCCAAACTGTTCCAACCTCTGTGTGTTACTCAGTTCCAAAGTTGCTTTGACCTTTTTGGGTATCTTTAAAGCAGTGCCCCAATACCTGGTATCAACTTATTGTATTAGTCCATTTTCATGCTGCTAATAAAGACACACCTGACAATGAGAAATTTATAAAGGAAAGAGGTTTAATGGACTCACAGTTCCACATGGCTGGGGAAGCCTCACAATCATAGCAGAAGATGGAGAACAAAGGGACATCTTAGGGACATCTTAGGGACATCTGTCATTGTGGCAAGCAGGAGAGAGCGTCTGCAGGAGAACTCCCCTTTATCAAACCATCAGATCTTCTGAAACTTATTCACTATCATGAGAAGAGCACAGGAAAAACCCATTTCCATGATTCAATTACCTCCCACCAGCTTTCTCCCATGACACATGGGGATTATTAAAATTCAAGGTGAGATTTGGGTGGGGACACAGAACCAAACTGTATCACTGACTAATACAAATACTATTCAGGCTTTGAAAAGAAGGAAATCCTGCCATTTGCAACAACATGGATAAATCTGGAGGGCACTATGCTAAGTAAAATAAGTCAGGAACAGAAAGACAAATGTCACATGATCTAATGATCCAATTTATAAGTGAAACTTAAAAAAGTCAAACTCATAGAGCCAGGAAGTAGAATGTTGATTACCAGGGGGTTGGGTAGGGGTAACAGTGAGTTGGGGGAAATGGAGAGGCCTTTGTTAAAGAATGCAAAGACATGGGATCAACCTAAATGCCCATCAATAATGGCCTGGATAAAGACAATATGATACATATACACTGTGCAATACTATGCAGCCATAAAGAAGCATGAGATCACATCCTTTGCAGCAACGTGGATGGAACTAGAGGCTATTATCCTAAGCTAATTAACACGGGAACAGAAAACCAAATACTGCATGTTTTCACTTATAAGTGGGAGCTAAGCATTGAGTACATATGGACATACAAATAAGAACAATTGACACTGGGGCCTACTTGAGGGTGAAGGGTGACAGGAGGGTGAGGATCAAAAAACTACCTATTGGGTACTATGCTTATTATCTGGGTCATAAAACAATCAGTACACAAAACCCCCATAGCATCCAATTTGCTTATGTAATGAACCTGCACATGTATTCCCCAACCTAAAATAAAACAAAACAAAACCCTACAGTGGTTTCCAAATGCCCTTGGAGCAAATTTTGAACTCTGTAATTCAGTCTACACTGCCCTCTGACTAACTGTCCTGCCATTATCTCCTGGAGAGAAAGCCTTCATATCCTGCTTTAAGGCTGCCCTAACAGGATAGGTGGCTTAAACAACATAATTGATTTTCTCACAGTGCTGGAGGCTGGAAGTCCACAATCAAGATACTGGCAGAGTTTGTTCCTTCTGAGGGCTATGGAGAAAGAAAAGATCTGTTCCAGGCCTCTCTCCTTGGTTTGTGGATGCCTATCTTCATGTTCATGTGTTGTAAGCCTCATTAATGTGCATCTCTGTGTCCAGATTTCTTCTTTTTATAAGTGCACCAGTCATACTGAGTTAGGGCCCATCCCAATGACCTCAAGTTAACAAAGTTATCCTTGTAAAGACCCTATTTCCAAATAAGGTCACATTCTAAGGTATTCGGGGTTGGGACCTCAAAATATGAATTTGGGGAGGCGGAGGATACAATTCAACCCATAAAAAGTACAGCATATTCTTTCTTTCTCTCTCACTCCCTGTCTCCATCTTTTCTTACTCTCTCTCCTTTAGTCTTTTGACATTTTTTTTCAGGTGTTACTATTCACCACCATCTCTTTTCCTGGGGCTCACTCTAACCTCTTCCCTCTGCCTGGAACATTCACCAGATCTTCACAGGGCGGTTCCTTCTCTTCACTCTTATCTCTCAGAGAGGTCTTCTCTGGCCAACCTACCCAAGATCAGTCCCTCCTTCTGCTCCATCAAGGTATCAATTTTTCCTGTTTTATTTTCTTTGTCACATTATCCATCATCTAAAATAGTCGTTTAAAATTTGCCTACTTGATGTTGCACGTGTTGCTGTATAGAATGTTAACTTTCATGAAGACAGGGACTTGGACCCTTTTCATTCCAGCTGTGCCCCACCTCCTACTACAGAGCTTGGTGCTTAGTAAGTCCTTGTGGTGGATTTAAAGATGGCTGTAAATTCTTTGGCAACCTTCCCATTGAAAGATGGGGCTATTTCTGGCTGTCTACTCACCCTTGAATCTTGGCTGGCTTGTGATTTCTTTTCTGCAATAGAATGTCATAGACATAGCTATGCTGGTTTAGGCCTAACCTTTATCAAGACTGGCAATTTCTCCCATGGTCTTGGGGAGTCTGGACCACCATGAAAGAAGCCAGACTACCTATGAAGGGCCTTGATATGGTTTGGCTCTGTGTCCCCACCAAAATCCCGTGTTGAATTATAATTCCCAATGTTGGGGGAGGGACCTGGTGGGAGGTGATTGGCTCATGGAGGTGGATTTTCCCCTTGCTATTCTCTTAATAGTGAGTAAGCTCTCATGAGATCTGATGGTTTAAAAATGTGTAGCTAATTTAAAAATTATCTGGGAGTGATAGTGTGTGCCTGTAGTCCCAGCTACTTGGGAGGCTGAGGCAGGTGGATTGTTTGAGGCTAGGAGTCACACAATAAGTGGTGATTGCCCCACTGCACTCCAGCCCAGGTGACAAAGCAAGATCTTGTTTTAAAAAAAAAAAAAAAAAAAAAACTGTTAAAAGTACATGAATCCAGTTTCTCAATTGGAAAACACAAGACAGTACTCTATTTTATTATATTATTATATCCCAGAAATATTCTGTCCCTCAGAAAGAAAAAAATAGCAATTACTGATTCTTACTTGCTTAATTTTCTCCAAGCTACTTATCACAGCCTGTCCTATTTTATGTTTCGCTTATAAATCTTAATAATTGTCTGCCTCTGCCTCCCACACCCCCTACAAGTAGACTGAGTTCTGTGAGGTAGAAAACTCTTTTTTTTTTTTAATGGAGATACAGGTCTTGCTTGAGTTCAGTGGCACTGTGGCCTCAACCTCCTGGGCTCAAATGTACAGCACCATGCAAGGTTAATTTCATTTATTTTTTATTTTTCATAGAGATGGAGTCCCCCGTGTTGCCTAGGCTTGTCTCAAACTCCTAAACTCAAGTGATCCTACTGCTTCTACCTCCCAAAGTGCTGAGATTAGAGGTGAGCCACTATGCCTGGCCGGAAACTGTTGTTGTTTTTATTGTTTAAAAAGCTGTGTCCCAGGGCATAGGATAATACCAGGCACTAGCAGTAGTCGCTTGTCAGATAAATGAAAGCAAGACATTGGATGCCACCAGGTGGAAAAAGTAGCTATTAGCAATTGGGTTTTTCCTGTTTTTCTTTTGCGGCTATATCGGTTGGGCGAGTCTGGGAATCTTGGAGGAGTGGTGGGGGTATCGACCACGACACACCTTCGCCCAGGTGTGTCCTTGTCGCTACCTTTGGCTAATTGAGCTATATTTATCAGGTCTGGCTCTGCCAAAGAAACTTAATCTTTGGCTAGTACCATCCTTAGAAGGAAACAATTAACTTGAAAATCAGCTGGACCACTGCAAACAAGAAACTCTACAGTGTTAAGGCACTATGTACTAAGGTAGCTAAGGGCATTGGGATAAAGATTTCATTTTCAGAAAATAATAAAGTTGCTAAAGCTGAGATCTGTCCTAATGCCATTTAATCACATTATTACTAGATTGGCCCTGGAGCCACCCAGAACCAGCTCACTGTCTGGGCTGTTCTGTACCCCATACTGTGATTCAGGAAACCCAAGTCTGTTACAAAAGCCAATTATTGAGAGGTGAGAGTCCCTGGGCCTATCCCCTTCCAAGGTGACCATGCCCAGGCAGAGAGCCCCTGAACACCAAGACAGCATCTAGCTTCTAGGGTAATACCGGCTGAAATGCTGATCCATGTGCCCAGGTCAGAATCACAGTGATGGACATTCTTGAGGCTTTTCCTGTTCTGCTCAGACTGCTGGAGAGATGAAGAAAGGACCTGACAGCTAGCGAGTTCTCTCTTGCAGGGGAGGCCAGAGGGAGCTCCAAAGAGTGCTAACCATAGCACACATAAGTAAGAAGAGAGAAGATAACTAAGCTCTGCACCATCTGGCTCTCTCCAGATTCTCCCTCAGATATCACTGGAAAGATTCACAAATAGACAGCATTATTTACTGCTAGGGAGGAGAACTGTGATAGTGGTGGGTGAGTGTTTTTACTAAAATTCTTTAACAGCTTCCGAGCATCCTTTGGTATTAGGTATAGGCAAGGTAAACAAAATGACAAGAGAAGGCAATGATGGTTCTTTGAGGATGGTGCTATCACTTAGTAGGCCCCTTTGTGAACTACAAGTTTCAGATATCATGTTCTCTCATAAATTCTTCTGCTCAGCTCACTGGGTTGTCTAATCCTCCATCTGACACAAATCAATTGTGGGTCATTTGATTAGATGAGCTCTTCATCCAGCTCCCAGTCCCATAATCTCTGTTTCTCTTATTCCAGGATCCTCTTCTTTTTAGAGTATCCAGCTCCTGTATGGACATAGGAGATGGGAGGTCACCCAAGAGTGGATTAAAAAAATGACCAAAACAAAGTCTTGACTCCATCAAAAAGCTGGATCTTCATATCTGTGCATACCCTCCTCTCCCGACCCAACCTCCCATGTCTGCTAATTTCTCCCTTCACATCCTCTTCTGTGGGCAGGCAGCCTCTCTTGATTGACTGACCAAAGGTATACAAAATGAAGCAAAGGGTTATTCTGTTCATAGTCCACACAGCCCCTAGATTGCAGAGGCAGCTTGATTCACTTGCCCCAACCCGTCCTTCACACTCGCACCTCTTAAACATTCGTTTCTTCCTAGTTGTTTACCTGAACCCTGATAGGTGCTTCCACAGACATGGTCTGCAGCAATCTCTACTGCATCTTGGTGGTGATGCTGGATCATTCTTATCGACTGGATGGGGTACCCTAAGTTCAGTGTGGGCAGGCACTTCCCATTAGTAATAGAACTAGAACTCAGACTCATAGCCTTCAATTCTAAAAGTTAGCTACTTTTCCCATGGATCCTTGACTACTTCCTTTTAGGTAAAATGACACTACTTGCCCTGCCTTTTGGGTTTTCCTCGTGGTTCCATCCTTCCCTTCTCTTCCTATTCAAATGTTTCTCAAACTTCAGCCATCGATTCCTCACCTGCATTGATTTTTTTTTTTTGCTACAATCATACACTATTACCTCTGTTTTTATTTACTCCATATTTTTACATTGCTTCTCTTAAAAAACTTTTCAAAGAAAAAAATTAATGAAAATGCTGTGAATTCCTACTATAATTAAAACATAAGTTTTACATGCCACAAACAGGTAAAATGAAAGGTGAATACGATAAAATCACAAATGTTAGTGTTATTATGTCTCATTTGGGTATAGTTGCCTGCCAATTATTTGAGATTAGTCTTGTTCTCTTTTTGTTAAAGAAAAAACTAAGGTTTTATCAGTTACTTATCACTATCATATTGTTGGATAACAAACAACTCTCAAATCTCAGTGGCTTACACCAACGCATTTTTTCTCTCTCACGGGTCTGCAGGTTGTCTGGGGAGGCTCTGCTTTAGGCAAAGGGTCAGGTTTAAGTCTTTTCTGGAAGGCTTTCTTTGGGAGACTTCTGACTCTCCAAGGCATGCTGCTCTCATGAAGATGGCAGATGCCTCACAAATAAATTCAAACCATGTACACATGTTTAAAAAGTCCACTTGTGTTATGCTCACAAACATTCCAGTAGCCAAAAAGCTGTTGAACCAGCTCAACCTCAGAGGAACAGAGAACAATTTTCTTCCCATGGGGTGGGTTGCACAGTAAATAGAGATTAAATATTTGCTGAATAACAAATATACTCTACCACAAAGGAGGGAAAGGTATAGAAATATCAAAATAAACTTTCTGGCGTAATTGAAAAGAACTGGAAAAGGACTGCCTTTGACCAATCATAATTTATGTCCTAGTGGTGAGCTCATTGCTATTCTGACCAAAATTAGAGTCCTTTTAGCAAGAAACAAGGTGTAGTGCAGGTAGGTGGTTGTGGGGAGTGGCTGTTGGGTAGGAGAAAAATGAGTTTGCAGCAGTTTTTCAGTTTCCTCTCTTTCATAAGCTGCTTCCCTGATTCTGTACCTTTTCTTTTGTTCTTTCCCCTTCATGTTTATTAAAAGAGTGAACTACATTAGTGATTCCTATTTCTTTTCACTTTTCACTGATAAGCTCACAACTATCAGTCTCCTATCCATAATTACTCAATTTAACTATTTTTGTTTGGTTTTTGATAATAACTTATCTAATATTCTTGCTGCCAAGTGCAATAGATCCCTTTTGGCTCCTACTCATGGCGTTCTCAGCAGTTGATATGGTTTGACTCTTCCCCCACCACCAACAAATCTCATCTTGAATTGTAGCTTGCATAATCCCCATGTGTCATGAGAGGGACCAAGTTGGAGGTAATTGAATCATGAGGGTGGGTTTTTCCTGTGATGTTCTCATGACAGTAAATAAATCTCATGAGATCTGATGGTTTTATAAAGGGCAGATCCCCTGCACACACTCTCTTGCCTGCCACCATGTAAGATGTGCCTTTGCTCTTCCTTCACCTTCTGCCATGATTGTGAGGCCTCCCCAGCCATGTGGAACTGTGAATCTATTAAATCTCATTTTCTTTATAAATTACCCAGTCTTGGGTATTTCTCTATAGAAGTATAAAAATGGACTAATACAGCAGTGCTAATCAACTCTTCTTGAATTGCTGTCTTTCATCCTTTTGTCATCATGCCTGCCTTTTCTGATTCTTTGCTCTCAGTAGTGTCCATGAGATCATCTTCCTCTCAATATTGTTTAAATATTACTGTTCTCCAAAGGCTCATCTTCAACCAACAGTTCTCCTTCCAAATGCGCTCTTTGTTTGTCTCATTCTCTCCTGTTATGTAGCTAATTCCCTAAAACACATTTAAAGCCTTGACCTCTCTCTGATTTCAAATTAAATATCTAACCAATTACCAATGAAATATATATCATATTGGCTTTATATAGATACTCTAAGTTAGCCTGACCACAAATGAACTCAATGCTTCTGCCTTAAAACCTGTTCTACTGAGAAAGGGCTATAAGGAAAGACCTGAGTGTACTTAATAAAAACCCTAGACATCATCCTTCCTTCCATGCCCCCTTTCCCTTTACACCATCTCCCATATTGAGTCATTAAGTCACCAATTTATAAGAGGAAGGAATTGTTCTTCTAAGCATTTATCAAATTCCCCTTTAATAAATGACTGCTCAGCTACCAGGGTAACCATTTAAAATACATAGTTGATTAAGTGCATTGCTCTCCTTAAGATACTTTCATGACTCAGCATTACTTTCCAGATAAAGTCCAAACTCTTTATCATATGACCATTTCCTCTGTCATTCTACAAGCTGAATCTGATGCTGAAATAAAATTGAGTGTAACTGAAGTTACTCCCCTCCTCCAGGATATTTATGTACAAGTTCCTTTTCTATCTACAGATAACAGCATGAAGTCTGGGACACCTCATGCCATCAACACATCCACAAATGCACTTTGCTCTGTGCATTTGTGGAATGCACAGAGTCTGGAAAAGGAGTCTGGAAATCCTTTAGACCTAATGATTAACTGGAGATGTTGAGAATATACCATACTTGGCCACAGAGCTTGTAATCATTACTTCTTGGGTTTGGGGGTTATTGGGGCTTGTGGTCCCCTTTGTCTTAAATATTTTATTGGGGTGATCTTTCTCCAATGTTTTGGAGAGTTGCTAGACCACTGAATCCTATGGCCCATAGTATTGGAGTTTGCTGTCTTCCCTGCCCAGAAGAGGAAGCCTGGTCTTTTGTGTACAGAGGAAATGATGTGGGAGCAAATTAACACCTCCTGAGTCAGGAATACTCCTCATGTTGTTGAGTTTCCTGCCAGTTAGGCTGTATAGTCCCCTGCAGTGACTATAGGACAGAGGGCATAAATTGCTGGTAGAAAGAAGAACTGAAGATGCCAGGTACAGAAATTCAATAGCAGAGACTGGGTTCTTGGTTCCACTCCTCCTACCCCCTGTCCCACAGCCTCCATGACTTCGCTGAACAGTTGTTTGTAGAGTTTACTGGCACAGATTGCTCCCCAACCCTAGACAGCTTTTTCACTCTTATTTTATCGACTATAGGACTAATAGAAAGGCAAAATATTTCTTCAATCTACCTTGCTATCAAAGTGCAAAACTAAAAGTAGACTAAGACGAGCTCAGTCTTCAGCCTGGATCCCAGAATATTTACGCCATAGATGGAGCTGATCTGAGTCTAGCATGACCATTTCCAATGCAGAGACCCACAGTGGGGTGAAAATATATATGGTTAGAAGCTACTGAGATGTTCGGGATGTTTGTAACTGTAGTGAATGCTGACTAATGCAAGTAACATCTATTTCTTTAAATTGAGTCTTGGCTAATACATCTTGAATACTATGTACCTAGAGAACGGGGCTAATGCAACCACTTTATAAATTACAGCTGCTGTACTTGTTGTTTCCACATACATTGGTTCCAGGGAGTGTAGTTCTAAGGCTGTGTAGGCTGGTCTTTCAATTTCACCAAAGGTACCATAAGGAGGTTGCAGAACCTGGGAGTTTGAGACCAGCTTGGGCAACATAGTGAGACCCCATCTCTACAAAAATAAAATTAATTATTTGGGCTTGGTGGTGTGCACCTGTAGTCCCAGCTACTCAGTAGGTTGAGACCAGAGTATCACTTAAGCACAGGAAGTTGAGGCTGCGGTGATCAGGCCACTGCACTCCAGGCTAGGTAACAGAACAAGACCCTATCTCAGAAAAAAAACAATGAGGTGGAAAATAGAGAGGAAAAAAGTAAGAATTGGGAGTAAAGAGTGGATACAGAGATGCCACAATGCTGGGTCAGACAGACCTGAGCTCAAATCCGAGCTAGATTACAGCTATTGCCTAACCTTGCTGGGCAGAGCTCCCATTTCTCTTATCTGTCTTTGAGGCTGGCTCACATCACCTCTCTTGAGATAAATATCTATCTAACCATCTTTATACATTATCTGTATCTTATACACACACATACATCTATATATACATACAAACACATACATACACATATATAGATACAGATATAGATCGCTTTATCTTGACTGCATGGTTCCTCTATTGGCTTTCCTCCCCAAACTGTGACCTACCACCCACTGTCCTCTAAAAATAGAATAAAATTCTTTCAATGTCTCTGCTCCCTGCACAAAAATTTTACTGCTAAAAACTATTAATACAAGTAACAATGGATTTTTTTAAACTTTATTTTAGGTTCAAGAGTACATATGCAGGTTTCTCACATAAATAAGCTTGTGTCATGAGGGTTTGTTGTACAGATTATTTCATCACCCAGGTATTAAGCTTAGTGCCCATTATTTACTTTTTCCTGATCCTCTCCCTTCTCTCACCCTCTACCCTCCATAGTCCCTCGTGTATATTATTTCCCTTTATGCATCCATGTGGTCTCATCATTTAGCTCACACTTACAAGTGAGAACATGTGGTATTTGGTTTTCTGATTCTGAATTAGTTTGCTAAGGATAATGGCCTCCAGCTCCATCCATGTCCCTGCAAAGGCCAGGAAGTCATTCTTTTCTATGGCTGCATAGTATTCCATGGTGTATAACAGAAATTCCAAACACTAGAGAAATTATGTCATTTCAAAATTCTGTAGACTCTTTGGGTCACTGAAAGCCAGTGAGCCTGAGGTGTGGTCTTTTGAGCCAGTCCTGGACTACCTTATTAACATTTCTGTGGAACTCTTTTTCTCAGTCACATCTTCATTTCATCCTTTTTGATTTGCTCTGTTTTTACTTCTAGGGACAGATGTCCTGTTTATTATGTTAGAGCATAGACGGAGAATTAAAGATGGAGGGAGGAGTGAGGAAGCTAAGAGGCAGGCTTAGGAGTGTGGACGATGTAGTCAGCATGTTTGAGTTCAAATCCTGGCTCTACTGCTCACTTGCTCTGTGATCTTAGGCAGGTTACTTTGCCTTTGAGAGCCTCAGGCTTCTCAAAAGTAAAATGGAGTATGAAAAATACATCCTTTTATAGAACTGTGATATTGATTAAAGGAGATAGCATATTTAAGGTACTTTTTGCAGATTCCAGTTCATGATAAGCACTCTAAAAGCTACTGTTGCTAACATGTATTGAGCACTCAGTGTGTGCCAGGCAGTTAGCTAAGCAGTGGACAAAAATTAAGTCCTTTTGTTCTTATAACCCCAAGATACATACTGTCATTGTCTCCTTTTTATACATGAGAAACTGAGGCTGAGAACAGCAAAATTAACTTTCCTAAAGCAATTCATTCAGGTAGTTGCAGAAGTGGGTTTTGAAATTATTTCTGCCTGGCTCCAAAGCTAAGGCCTGTATCGCTACCAGAGGGAGAGTTGTTTTATAAGCCTCTTGCTTCCATTAGGTAGGATGGATAACCTCCAAGCTATAGCCTCACTCTCAGCTTTCTCCCAGCTTTAACATGTGAAATGTTGCCCAGAGAATTCCCTAATGGAGAGGCCTCAGTCTTCGCACCATGTGGTTGAGGATTTGCAAGAATAAGGCCTGCATCTGTGGATCAATTGTCATCAAAGATCCATTTATGCCTCCAAAATTGAAATGCAGAAAGTCGACAGGGGTAGCCCAGTTTTCCTCCAGATTTTGGTCTTAATTAACCTCTAGTTTGACTTTTGAAATGTACGTGTTTGACAACCTTTTCAAAGGTACCTCTGATTCCCAGAGACAGGATCCAGAGTACCGAAGTGTTCTAACAGAGGCCCTTCCCACTTTCTGCTGCTCCTGATTTCCTCCAGGGCCTAGAACAACGATATTTCTTGATTGTCCAGCTGAACATCACAGAGATCCTACACCCTAGCTCATTTACACTACAAAATCCAAAGCATTTCTTCAAAGCTATGTGATTTTTCAGGGGACCACAAATGATATCTATTTTAGCCAATAAGATATCATGACCAGAGCACGTGATTCTGCTGACAAAGCTCAATCAGTGGGGACACTGTGGATGCAAACGTGAGGACCATCCACATCTCATCTAAGAACAGTCATCCCTTTCATCCATGCACAGGAATGCCTCCTTCATAGCTCTTTTTCAAGATCACTTACCTACCCCAATTCCTCTCAGAGCAGGGAAAAGGGAAGCAACAACCCAATCTTAAATGTTGTAAAGCCTACTTACTAACAAATTTCTTGGTTGAAAAGCCTTCAAACTCACTGGTTGGGAAGCAACTTCTGGAGATTGCTCTCAGTCCTGAGCTACCAAGAAAATTAAGTGCCTGCCAAGCTAATTCTTGCATCACAGCCTTTGCATTCACCTTTTTCTCAGCCTAGAATATTATCTGTCCATTTTTAAAACCCTGGGTCCTGCTTATCTTCTAGGTCTGGCTCTTACCACTGGGGCACATGTCTTTTCAAGCTTGTGCTTCCCTACATTCTCTGATTCCAGCCATCCTTTGTCCTAACAGAGAGTATCACAATGCAGTTCCTTAGAAGGGGAAGCAGATAAACCAAGAAACAGGAAAGAGGAGAGGCCCGCCTTCTTTGGAAAGGCACACCAAACATCACTGTTCAGAGCTTGGCATTCTTTGAGAAATTTACCTTCAATAGCAATGCAAAATAGAAGATCAGAAGATCAGATAAGCTTGCAACAGCCCAGACCTTGCCTGCAGGAGCAAACTGTCCTTGTTGACAACCCATCCCATGTGACAACCAATGCTGTAAATATTGGATGGAGCCAGAGAAGTTTATCCTGGAGAAGGAAGGGAGGAATGAAGGAAAAAGGAAGGAAGGAAAAAAGGAAGGAGGGAAGGAAAAAAGGAAAGAAAGAAAAAAGGAAGGAAGAAAGGAAGGAAAAATGAAACAAGGAAGGAAGGAAAAAAGGAAGGAAGAAAGGAAAGAAGCAGAAAAGGAAGGAAGGAAGGAAGGAGCCTATCTTTCTTGTTCCTGCTCAGCTAATAATCACTGTGAAGAATTTGGACAATTTCTCATCTGTGAACTGAAGGAGTTGAACTAGAATAGAGTGTCTCAATATCGCACTAGTCATGTGCTGGGTCCAGTAGTTCTTAGTTGTGGGGGCTGCCCAGTGTGCTGTAGGATGTTAGTAGCATCTACCCACTAGATGCAAGTAACGCCTATCCTCATTGGAGACAACCTAAAATATGTCAGTGTCCCTAGGGGTCAGTTTTCTCCCAAATGAAATTCATGGGATTACATTATCTCTTCCATTCTGAAAGTTATTAGTCCTAGTTTTCTGATCTATTAAAGGAGAATTTTTAAAGTGCATTTTGGCTGACTTCTTAAGACCACCTAGAGAGCCAAATGAATGAATGACTTAAAAAGATGAAAAATTAGAGACAGCAGGTCAGATTATAACTAAGGATGCCCTTGAAAGGGAGCTGAGTTCAAATTCCAGTTCTGCCACTTACTGGCTGTTGGTATCCCTCTGGGCGTCAGGACGCATGAACTGGTAAATGGGTTAGTAATGAAATCAGGTTATATATGAAGAAATCCTGGAATACAACAAAGGCTCACTAAATCTCAGCTCTTGTTCTTTTATTGAAAAATCATCTGGTACTAGAATTGTTTGAAGCCCCTGGAAATACCTACCATTGTTCTTCCTACTCTTCTATAAGTTTCTTTAAAGTCAGAGTCTCTCCCTGGGTTCCCCAGAACACGGACCCCAAGGCAGAGGCTTAGGTGGCATTATTTTATTAAGAAGCATGATCTTGGGGAGCAAAAATGGATGCTAAACAGTGAGAGAGCCAATATGAAAAGAGAGAGAGCCAATATGAAAAAGTATTATCAAGCTGGCCGCTGCTACATGTGACAGATGGCTTGATCACAGAGAATGAATTTCCAAGAAGCTGTAGCAACCATGTCTGCCAGATAAAGGGGAGGCATTCACTGGCTTTCACTTCCCATTAGTCAAAGGTTTGACCAATTGGAGCAATACCTTCCCTGTACCCCCAGGTGATGCATGCATGGTGCTAAGTGGGATTATGCAGCATCCCACACCCTGGTCTCAACAGGGGGACCTATGTGTAGGTAACAAGAGGTCCATGGTGCATGCATGATGAAAGGTACTGTCAGGGTTGGTTGGACATATTTGCTGTGGCAAACCTCAGAATGGGGTTTCTTAACTTTGGCACTATTAACTGTTTGGCCAGATAATTCTCCATTATTGGTGGTTGTCCTATGATATTAAGATGTTTAGCAGCAACCCTAGCCTCTACCTCTAGATACCAATCATACAACCCCTCCCCCGGACATGATAAAAAATGTCTCCAAACATTACCAAATGTCTTGGAGGCAGGGAAGAGGACACAAAGCCCCCAGGTGAGACCCACTGGTCTAGGACAAGGGGCACATGATGCAACACTCTGAAGTGTGTATTAAAGGTGTCTTCTTCAGACAGAGCAGCCTCTTGTCCTCCTCTGCTCCTCTGCACCTGGCAGAGTGACAGGTGCTCACTCAGTTCCCCATGCACGGTGAATGAATGCATGCACATTTTCAAGAGATTCCTCCTCAGTTTTCTAGTTTTATTCACTCTATGATTTCCCCTATAAAATCTGTATGTGACTGACTGTAATGACTATCTCATATGCCCAGTACAAAAGTACACCTTAAGGTGGGGGGGCGCAGTGACTCATACCTATAATCCCAGCATTTTCGTAGGCCAAGGTGGGAGGATTGCTTGAGGCCAGGAATTTGAAACCAGCCTGAGCAACATACTGAGACTCTCAGCTCTACAAAAAATAAAATAAAATAAAATAAAATAAAATAAAATAAAATAAAATTATCAAGTGTAGTTGCATGTGCGTGTAGTCCTAGCTACAATGGAGGCTGAGGTAGAATTGCTGGATCCCAAGGCTGCAGTGAGTTTTGATTGTACCACTGCATTCCAACCTGGGTGACAGGAAGATGCTGGTTCTAAAAAGAAAAGAAAAGTACACCTTGCTTGAGTAATCTAAACAAAATATGTACATAATGCACCAAGTTACAGATGCGTTTGATTCAGGGACTGATCCTTTAGCACATCACCCTTGTAGCCAAGTCAAATTCCAAGCTAGTAGAACAATAAATGCCCTCAAAAAATGCATAGTTGACTGAGTTCATTGGTCTGCTTAATATACTTTCATGAGTCACCTTACTTTCCAAATAAAGTCCAAACTCAATATCATGCAATACAGTGACAACTGCCTCTGTCATTTCTGTAAAGTTGGACCTGATACTGAAATAAGACTGAATGTAAATGAGCTGGCTCCTCCCCTCCAAGTTATTTACGTACAAGTTCCTCTTCTATCTACAGATAATAGCGTGAAGTCTGGGGCACCTCATGCCATCAACACATTTACAAATGCACTTTCCCGGTTGGAGCCTGGGAATCCTCCAGAGCTAATGATTGATTGGGGATGTCAAGAACATACCATTCTGTATCACAGAGCTTGTAAGAATTACCTCTTGGGTTTGGGGGTTATTGGAACATGTGGCCTCCTTTGTCTTAAAGATCTTACAGGATGGATTTTCTCTAATGTTTTGGGAAGCTGCTATAGCAGTTTCTATGCAGCCCTCTGAACATACAAACCTTGCCTTAGACTGAGATGGTCATTGCTCCATTATTAGTGTAAGTTGGATACCTCCTCAACAGGACCATGCCGTCGATGAATTAGTGCGGTGGATCCTAAATGTGGATTTTGAACGTGTTGCCTCAGGACATGATTACATTGAGGAGGTATTGTGGTAGTTTTACATCACATCCACTAATTCTTTGACATACCTCCCATCCAGAGCTGGAATCTGTCCCTTCTCCTGGAATCTGAATTGACATTAGCGGCTCATTGATTAGGTAATTTCTGAGACTAAATCTTCATAGGTGATTTAACCTTAATTGTATTTGTAGGTTCAAATCACCTAGTAAAAGTCTGAGGCCACTGTGCTGTGAGGAAGTCCTGGCCACATGCAGGTGCCTCTTGTAGGTGTTCCAGCCAACAGCCCCAGCTGAAACCCCATGAGTGAAGCTTCCTTCCACTCATCCCAGATAGAATACTTCAGCTTGAGTTACTATAACAAAATATCATAGATTGGAAGACTTCAACCCCAGACATGTATTTCTCACAGTTCTGGAGGCTGGGAAGTGCAAGATTAAGGTGCTGGCTGATTAATTTCCTGGTGAGGGTTCTCTTCCTGGCATGCAAACATCTGCCTTCACACTGTGAGCTGTCCTCAGCATACCCTTTGGATTCCCACCTGTCCAGAGGGGGCCAAGGTGGCAGGGGGCTGGTGGGTCAGCAGTGCCCCAGCCTGTCCACACCTAGCCAGGCTGTGACAGTGCCAGGGCTCAGCCCCAACCATGCTTGGATATCAAAGTGAGCACCAGGAGTGGGGAGAGGCCAGGCAGCAGGAGTAGACATCCCCAAACCTGTGGGGACAGGAGGCACCTTCCCGGGCCCCTGAAGGGACAGAGTGCAGACACGCTCCAGCGTAGAGCCACGGCAGGGCAGCTGCAGCTGCATCCAAGGGGCTCTCACCTCACCAACTTAGAAGGGGTGGGGCTCCTGTTTGTCCCTGGCTCCCGCTGGCTCCATGGAGCATGCAGCTTCAGCTGTGCCTCCTCACAGCCTGGGGTGGGGAATCCAGGTCCTTGCTGGCCCTGGGCTGGTGTCTGGGGCAGGGGCGACATTGCCATGAGCTCCCCTCCATGGCCCTGGTGCTCAGGGCTGGCCTGGGGCTCCACCTTGCCTGGCTCATGGCCCTGCCTTGTGGGGGCACCTCCAGGAGTGAATTGCAGGTTCCAGGACTGGCCATCAGGAGTGTCAGGCTTAGTAGTCACCCTGATGTGGGGTGGAACCTGGGGATGTGGCCCTGGGTGGCCCCAAGCAGAGCCTCTTCCCGAAGTGCAGGAACCTGGTGCCCTCAACAAGTGGGTATGGTGGCCATACTGCTGGCCAGGGCCCCGAAGTGGATGCTGCTCCAACCTCTTGCTCTGGGCTCCTGAAGTGCTGCCAAAGCTCCATGCCCCAGGCCTGGCACCCATGTTCCATGTGCAAGCACTGCACCACCCTGGGCCCAGTTCCACCTTGGGGCCCCCTTCTGCCAGACCTCACTGCTCCTCCGCCAGTGGGCAACTCATCCTGGACCCATTGCAGCAGCTTTCAGGGCTTCCAGGGCTCCCAGGGCTCCCAGGGGCAGGCTCAGGGCCTGTCTACCTCTTGTCCATGCCCTTCTTGCAGTGGCAGGGAGCAAGAGTGGTGATGCGGGGTCAGGGTCTGGAGTGGTGGAGGCTCTGGTCCTGGGGGCAGGTCTTGCCTGGCCACACAAAGCTGGGGTTGGTGCAGTTGGCTGCCTTGGGGATGCAGGGCACAGGGGTCTCCCCACTGCCACTGCTGCTCTCACAGTTGCTTCTGCCACCACCGCTTGCACCTCCCCACTATGGCTGGCAAAGTGGCAGTGGCCACTCCAGATGGCCCACCACTGCCATCAATCCCCCCTCTGAAGACGTACATCTAACTGCTGTAAGGATAGGGATGATGACCACTCTTAACTGCTTCATGCTGACATGGGGTGTTGTTTTGAGGAAAACGGCAGTTGGATCTCTCTCAGAGACCTATCTAAGGATCCCTGGTAAAAAGGGAGCTATTGTGTGAGGCTCCAGTTGCATTACCGCTTGGAGTTTGATGGGCCATCCCTCTTGTCTCTTCTCAGCTGCAGTCATAAATCACTGGTTGGTTCACAAGAATATGCTTTACTCAATTGTCAAAAGCTGCAAATAACTCAAAAGAACAGCTTCTTTGACTCTGAAAAGCAAAACAACGGATTAGCAATGTTCTAAGCAAGAGGTCAAAAATATTACTTCAGTCTTCCATTAGTTCAGTCCACCCAGTCAACTCTTGTTTGCAGTCTCTAAAGTTATCAAAAACCTGCCCTTGAGGACTATAATCCATCTTTTGAAGAGGATCAAAATAAGACAATTGTCTGTGAATGTCAAAATGTCCTAGGGTAGTTACAGTCAAAAACACGATTGACAAAGAAATTTAGTCACCTCTGTGGTCTACAATAACCCAACAAAATAACCCTAATTATGATTAATAACACATACTCAGACATCAGAATTTTAGAAATCCCATACTATTTTAGAACACATATTAACATTATTCACTAAAATATAACCTGAAAATTAAACACCACCTTATTTGGACAATCCTGTGTAACTAAACGTGTCTAATAATCCTGTTTACTTCTCCTTTGGATGCTCCAGGGACCCTCTGTAGCATCCAAATTTAAGGGTTAGAAAAGATGATTTCAAAGCTGAAACTTGATATTGGGAAGCCTACCAAATATGTTGAAAGCTTAAAACACTTAATAGAATTTCAGATTACCATAAGTCATCCATTTAGCTAAAATAGATCATTTAAATTTTGAAAAACAAAAACCTTTACTCATTAAGAGAGAAGACCAAGTTTTCCAAGCAATCTAACTTTTGTCCTTCCCTTCTTTTTTTGGAAGTTTATTCACAAGGCAAACAAAAATCTTCCATTACACTAAAATCTTGTTCAAGCAAGAGAAAGCCAAATTTCACCCTTGCATTAGTCAACTATTAATGTCAACCTCATTTTTTGGTAATGAAACCTTACAGAAAAATCCATCCAATCTGAGTTTGACCATGAAGTGAGATTCTTATAAACCTTTTATAACCCTTTATACCTTCCACAATTTGTTCAAACCTTTAACTTGCCAGGAATTCTTTAACCCTCTAAACTTATGCAGAAATTTACATTCCCATGCCTTCTTATAATCTTTTACCAAAACCACATTTTACTCTCCTTACAAACTTTGCATGTAAATCTATTTTCACTAGTCTCCACTATATATTACAAAGTTAACTCTCAGCCATTTTAATTTTGGTTTAAAACCTGGTAAGTTATTTTAATTATGTATTAGGTGTGGATAAGATCTGACTTTTTCCAGCATAGTTAGTGGTGTGGTTAACTCCATATGTCCCCAGGCCTTACCAACTGTAAAGCAGGCAAGTTGAACAGTTTTCAAAAGCCAAAGAAGCAGTTTATGACCTTAAAGCATTTAGCAAGCCTAATATCTGAATTATTTCAGATATGAACTGCATGTCTACATAATTTGGATCACATGTGTACATTTTGAAGACATTTTCATTTTATGAATAATCTTTAAAACTCTTTTTATTTCTCAAAGATTAAAGTCATGTCAACTAAAAGGCATTACAGCTTCTATTTTTTGTTAAGAATATTTGATATAAGCACTTATTTTCCCTCAGCCAATCAATTAGAGCTCTTTTATATAAACATCACACACATAACACATATATAACTACAAAGACAGACAGAAGGAAATCCAGGAATTGTCAGATTTTTCATGTGCTAATCTCTTAATTGGATTACTGGCCTCAGGGTTGAGCCCTTCAAGAAACAGAACTAGGAAAACATGCAGTTTCTAAGGCCTAATAGACAGGCACAGATTTTGAGAGAGATTCCTGGGGTTCTGTGAGGGTAACAGGTTTTTCCCAAAACAGGGTCAGTGGTGCCTCCTCCATTTTCCCAAGGAGTCCCAGGCCATCCGAAGTTATCCTAGGGCCTCTCATGTGTGCAGTAAGAGTGGCAAGACAAAATGGGGGAAAATAATTCAGTCAACTGAGAAGAAAATCCTTTTTTTCCAGAAAAACAAGATCCACAAAGAGACATCAAGTCCTGTTAAATATACCTATAGCTTGGATATCCATTTTAATTAAGCTGACTTTTAACCATAGCTCTCCTTTTTAAGAAGTCCTTTTAAATCTCTTATTACCTAACCTTAGCCGTGCCAAATGGCCAATACTTCTGGCTTTTGAACTCATAGGGAGGCAGAGAATACAGTCATTTTTCACCATTCTTGCAACCACTTTGTACAGAGACAGAGGGAGAGGCCAGAAATCTGACTGGTAGGAACTTTTACCCTTTGCCTGCATGTCAGGCTTCTGGGTTCCCTTCCCCTGAGCCATGGAGTCCTGTGCAGGGGAACAGACAAAGAACAGTTGTCCCTCCTCAAGAGATTGCCAAGCAGTTTAAGATTTGAGAAAATTAAACTCTCCCCAGGATGCATCTGAGGGGAGTGTCCTGTGGTACAGAGACATGATTAACCATCTGTGAAAAGAGGACAGAGGAAGAAAAGAAAAGTTTTTTTTCCTTTCTCCAGAGTCTGAGGTCCAAAGGAGTTTCCATGATTTAGGATGCACTCATGAGGAGTGCAGTGCAGGCTGAAGATGATTGGTTACTCATCTGGAAAGAGGGGAAAAAGGCATCCCTTTGTTCCTTTTTCTTTCTAACTAACACCCAGGGTACATAAGGGAGGGAAAAGAAGGCATTCCTTTCTTTCTTTTGACCTTATATCCCTGAGTCCCAGTGACCTGTGAAGGTGCCGACCCTGGGGGCAAGAAGACCTTCACCCACGAAATAGGGAAGCATAGCTGGCAGAAATATTCACACTCACCTGGGCGGTGCCGAAGCCTCCCACTGTCAGTAAGCTTTGAGTTTCCTAGATCTTATCTATGTCATGGATGTGAGCATGACCTCCATCCACGGAGTGAGAGGGCCTAATCAACAGCAATAGTCGTGCTCACCTGTGCTGTGCCCCTTGATTCCCACTGTCAGTAACCTTTGGTCTAGTGTTCCATTCCAGGACTTCAAACCAAAGCTTTGGAACAAAAGGTGCCTCAGGAAGGTGTATGGACCCATTAAGTTAGTCCCAGGTGGCCCTCACCAAATTGCAGCTAGGAACTGGAGGGGGCAGCTCCTCTGTTGCTTCCCTATCATAAGCAGGTGGAGCTGTGGGACCAGGTCCTCCTCAAACAAGGGAGAGAAAGGGAGTCCCAAGAATTGGGCACCTGGCCTAATAAGGTTCCTCCCAAAAGGAAAAACAGCTAATCCCTCACATAGAAAAGCTCCATGTATTTACAGGACTATGTTGACTCCGGACATGGTGGAGGAAGGAGACCTGATGCCCCTCATGGTTGTGCCAAGAAAGGAGGGGGTCCTAGATTGGAGAGGAGAACTGAAAGGCCCACTCCAGAGTCCAGGAGGAGGTCCACCCTCTTTCCTTTGACCCCTAGAATCACCTGGGGCTCCTGGGTGGCACTGGCCTTCTGAACTACCAGAGCTGGGGAGAGGAACCCTGGGACCCATCAGTACTACTGCACCATTTGGAATACTGGCCCTGGACCCAGTGACCCACATCTCTGGGGACAGTTCGCTTTCCAATGGTCCTCACTGCAAACTTGACAGGGTCAAAGTGGCTTCCCCCTGCTGTCCTAAAGTGCCCTAGGCTACCATATTTGCAGCAGTCAGCAGGTGCATCTCAGGGACTCTGGAGTCCATGAGCCCACAAGACCGCTCTTAGAACCTCTGCCTTTTTCCTGTAACTCTCCTCTCTTTTCTGGACTTCCTCCCAATTCCTACTGCAAAAGATGGAGGTGGCCACTCCCAGGAGGCCCTCAAAAGTACCATCTGGTCCCGCAGCCCATTTCTGCAGCCCCCTCCTGACTTCAGGGGCCACCTGTGTAATAAATTCATCCCCTGGGACCAGCTGTCCCTCTACTAAATTGGGAGATAGAGAGGTGTATTTTACCAAGCCCCTTCTTAGCCTTCCCATGATGGCAGTGGGATTCTCATCTAATCCCTGGATATCCACCACGGATAGCTTGGTGTAATTGAGAGGCTTAGTCCTAGTCCTTCATAAGCTCTCCAGTATCCACATCTGAAAATGTTTCCTCTTCCACTCTCCTATTTCATCATTGGGGTCCCATTTAGAGTCCTCCAATGATATTGCTATTCTTCCAATCAGATAAGACTCATTCCCTTCCCTGGCCCAATATGAGATAGAAAGCTCATCCCCCAAATTGCCTGCTGCTTGCAGGGTGGCCTGCTTTTCAACGGTAGTCAGGGTTTGATTTAAAAGTAATATGACATCCTTCCAGAAGAGTTCAAATACTTGGAAAGTCTCTATATACCTGTCAGGGCCTTCTGAATACTTGTCAAGATCCCTTTTAATTTGCCCTAAGTCCTGAAAAGAAAAGGGGACCTGGAACTTAATGGGGCCATATTCACCAGGCATGTGTTATGGGGACAGTTGAGATTGGATCTTGCCTAAAACCAAAATTTCTAGGCTAAGTCAAGATTGAGAGACAACCCAGATAGGGAGGAGCAAAGGGAATTGATTCCCCTGTGGGAGGTACCTCTGAGGTTTGCTTTCCTAGTTCCCTGGGATTGACCCTTCCAGCCTCTCCCAAGGTGGCCACTAGGAGAGTTGAATCAATACTACAATGTTGGCCAAGGTCCAGATTATCCTGCAAAGCAAAGAAGGCCTGCATATATGGGACCTCAGAACATTTGTCCCTGTGTTTACAGAAAAGGACCAGCTGTAGGATGGTATTGAAATTAATGCTTCCCTCGTGAGGCCATACTTCTTTTCTGTGTCTCGGGTGCTTGGCACTAAGTTGGCAATGAAGGAAATGACAAGAACATTTCTGCCACAAATTTACGTACAGATACTAAGGCACATTTTGTTTCATCTGTGCTAATCTTAGCCTTCAATTTTATACGTTTGACCACTAAGCCAAATGCTCATTCTACCCAGTAATATTATCTCTGTGGTTTGCAACATGCTTAACATTTAACATTGTACATAAAGAAGAGATACGAACTATGACAATCATGAAAGAAAAAACAATAGAAAAGACTGGACACCTTAACAGGTGGTCAGGGACCAGGTCCATGGGCCTTTGGATAACACAGGTGTAGCCTCGGCCAGATACCCTCAGTTGACCCAGGACCTCCTTCCGGTCCCACCTGAGGGCTAGACCGCCATGAAGGGAAACTGGATTGGAACAAAGCCAACATTCCCAACATCTGAGGATGATGGGGGATTGACAGCATCCTCCCCAGCAAGCCTGTCCTCCGTGTTGTAAGTCTGGCAGCCACACTAGGCACTTTTAACTGACTGAGACCCAGTATTTTTCTTTCATCTTCATTATTGTGGCATTTAGGGACTCCAAGAAAGGATGGAAAGAACAGATCCATTTTTACTCACCCTTCTGCGGATTCCAGACAAGCCCCCCAAATGTTACAAGATCTTGGGGGTGTTGCTATTCTGGCAGGAATCTTTTGTGCCCCTGCTGCAGCAGGGCGGACAGCTCCAGGTGCTGGCATGGGCGCCAGGCTCAAATGGGCACCTTGGCTAGCACCAAGGGGCACCTGCAGACCAGTGGCAAGCTGCCCTCAGCCCTAGTCTCGGCCTTCCCCCCACCAAGTTCGTTGGGGCCCAAAGGCCACAGGGTGCTGAGGTGGTAGGGGACTGGAGTGTCAGTGCTGCCCCAAGCGTGCGAAAACAGTGCCCAGGCTCAGCCCCAACTTTGTGGGCACTGGGATGGGGAGAGGCCAGGCAACGAGGGCAGACACCCCCAAGCCTGTGGAGGAAGGGAGATCTTCCCAGGCCCGGGAGAGGCCAGGCAACGAGGGCAGACACCCCCAAGCCTGTGGAGGAAGGGAGATCTTCCCAGGCCCCCGAGGGTGCGGAGTGAAGAGACTTCTGGCTCAGAAGCCCCGGCAGGTCAGCTGCAGTTGCACGAGATGGGGAGGTGGCTCCCACCCCACCAACTCAGAAGGGACAGGGTTCCTGCTTGTCCCTGGCTTCCACCAGCTCTGTGGATCGTCTAGCCTGGGTCGCGCCTCCTCGCAGCCTGGGCCGGGGCTCCAGGTTCTTGCTGGGCCTGGGCTGGTGTCCAGGGCAGGGGTAATGTCGCCGTGAGCCCCTCCAGTGGCCCCAGTGCTCAGGGATTGCCCGTGGTTCCCCCTTAAGTGGCCCTGCCTGCGGGGACGCCTCTGGGAGTGGATCGCTGGTTCCCAGGCCTGGCCGTTGGGAGTGTCAGGCTTGGCGGTCCCCCTGATGCACAGTTGACCCCAGGGACACTGCCCCTGGTGGCCCCACTTACAGCCTCCTCCCTAGGTTCAGGAACCTAGGGCCCTCGGTGGGGTGGGCGGGGCAGCCGCACTGCTGGCTGAGTCCCCGAAGCCGGCACCACTCCCATTTCCTGCCCTGGGCCCCTGAACCACGACCCCAGCCCTAGGCCCCTGGCCCAGCGCCCAGGCCCCATGTGCAAGCGTGGCACCGCCCCGGTCGCAGCTCCACCTTGGGGCCCCTCTCTGCCCGAGTTCTCTGCTTCCCCTCCAACTCGACTCGGACCCATTGCAGCAGCCCCCAGGGCGACGGGCTCTGGGGAGCTCCAAAGGGTCCGCTCGGGGACTGTCTGCCTCCTCCGCACAGCCTCCCTGCAGTGGCAAAAGGCGAGAAAGGCGACACGGGGCCAGGGTCCGGAGCTGTGTAGGCTCCAGGCCTAGGGTGGGTCTTGCCCAGCCATGCAAGGGTGAGGGCAGTGCAGTCGGCTGCCTTGGGGACGCGGCACAGGAGACATGAGGTACAAGGGTCCCCCTGCTGCCACGGCTGCTCCCGCAGCTGCCCCTGCCACCACTGCTGGCACCTCCCCACTGCAGCCGGTGCAGTAGTAGCAGCAGCAACCGCCCCAGACCGCCTGCCGCTGCCATCAGTCACATGGTGAAGAGAGGATCATCTCTTTCTCTCTCTCCTTCTTATAAAGCCACAATGCCATCATGAGGGACCTAGCCTCATGACCTCATTCTATCCCACCTTCCAAAGGTCCCATCCCCAAATTTCATCACACTGGAGGTCAGGGCTTCAACATATGAATTTGAGGGAAAGGCACTGCCTTAGGCCATCAAGTCACCACAGGTTTCAAGTCCTCCCAGCAGGGGCCCTAGACCTTGGAGCAGAATGAAACCATTTCCACTATTCCCCTTCCATATTCTTTACCCACAGAATTTGTGAACATAAAGAAGTGGTTATTTTAAACTGCCATATTTTAGTGTAACTTGTTGTACAGCACTGTGTGATCAGAATAGGTGGATATATGTGTGTATGTAGGTGTGGATGAGTCTATGTTTTCAGAGCGACTCAAAAGATATTGTTTGGAAGTAAAGACCAGAAAATGAGCAGAAAGGATAAAGTGGTCTAGCTTTGCCTCATCCTGAGAAAGGCGAGTTGGTGATTTCATAGTAGTCATAGCAAACCAGTCTTTGTGAAAGATACAGGTTGAATATTACGATTGCTTTGTCAAAGTCATAGGCAGAAGGAGATTAAAGTTGGGGGTGAGGAGGGAAGGGAGGCAGATTTTATACTGTGGGTAGGGTATAGCTTTCCTTTAAAAGTGATGTGTTTCCATCATCAATCATCCCTGAGCCTGGAGAAGTTAATGAACTCATGGATTGGGTGGTGAGTAAGGAGATGTGATCAAAAATATATTCTCAGTACAGATAAAAATAGCAGGCCATAGGTTAAAAGGAAAGACAGCCAGAGTTAGCAGGAAACCTCCTTCAAGGGGCATGGCACGCAGATAATTAGTATCTAGGAAATCAGATTCTAATCACTCTACGAATTAAATCCTCTCAGTGCCTTTCACAGTGAGAGAGAGCCTGACTAGACAGATATTTTCTCCAGCAACTGGGGTCTCATTAGACAGGGTCCTGGGAACAATCAGGTGAAGTCTCAGCCTTTATCAAGATTTCAATGAGACTGAATGGGCAGAAGGTCTATATATGGAGAGAAAGGCTTTTAGCAAGAAGGAGGAAAGAGGCATTGAGGAATGTTGGAAGGTAGGCTCAATCTTTGCAAAAACTTGCTAGTTTGTGTCTAAATGGGTAGTCAAATTAGGAGGTGTCTCATGCCACCCTTTGTCCCTTTTCTCTGAAAGTTTTTCCCAGTCCAAAGAAATTGGGCCCCTGTAGCCATATTTGTACTCTGTGATAATCAGAGTACATGTGGGCAACTCACATGAGCTGGATCAATCAGATTCATTCTCTCTGGAATTTAGGTAGTGGCACTGAAGCTGGAGGGTGATGAAGCCAGAGGGTGGGAGAAGCCACTTTATGACATTAGTCTCAATACTTACAAGGAAAAAAAAGGATACACATAGTTGAAGGGGAAAAAGAGATAGATACATTGTAATCTGTTCCCACAGAGCTGGATAGAGTGGCTTCCTGGGCTCCTGATGGTTTTTTGTTTGTTTGTTTTTGCTTTTTTTTTTTTTTTTTTTTTTTGGTTTTCTAACAAGTAGCTGGTTATGCCCTTATGAGAGCTGGTTGATTGCCATATTCCTCAATCCTGTGAAATTATCCACGGGTCCTTGAAATAGAATACTTTTTGCTAGTCTGAATAGGTTTATACATCTTGCAACTTAATGAAGCTTATTTAAGACAACATTTATGACAGACGATGGGCCAGGATTTACTCCCAGATCTCACTTGCTTACTTAGAAGTTTCCATTCTTACTAACGACACCTTTATGTGATCCTCACATGATATGCTCACCAATGTATAATCCTAATAAATACTAGGAGCCTATGTAGTCTAGTCTTTGCATAATTTGGCAGTAGTAGAAACTAGAGTTCAAATCCTCAAAACTCAATAATGTTTGCTTAAACAGAAACCAGTGAAGTTTATTTAGACAAAATGGTAATGGTTTGGGGGTTCACACTGATTTTAATTGGAAATCTTCCTTTAAAAATTGGTTAGTTTCCCTCTATATCCAAAGTTTCTCAGTTATGGCATACTCTAAAATGTCTCCAACTCATTGGCCCTACATATCTCTACCCATCATCATTTTCCACTGCTGCTGTCTTCCACTCCACCTCCAAAACAGAAGTCACCTCATGAAGCCACATCAGGTGTTTCTAAGGCAGCACCAAGATCTCCCAGCTGGGTATACCCCTTTCTTCCTTGCTGTCCACAGAGGCATCTATAAAGTATAATTCTTTTTCACATCTCTTAAGGTTGGGAGATTGAGGGGCTATTGACACTGGGAAAATGGGGATGAAATGTGAGGCCTTATCAGCAGATCATCATGCAGTATGAAGAGTGATGGTGAGACCTCTTGCTGCCTACGCAAGCATGCAGCGGACAGAGAAAACTAAACATGAATCCAAGTGTCAGAATGAGCAATCCGCCTCATTTTAAATTCTTGGAAGCTTTCAGTTAAATAAGATTCCCTCAAACACTGATAAATTCAGATTGAGAAAAACAAAGTTTTGTATTTGATTAGCAGATTGCATTTCTCTGCTATGGGCAACAAATATCTGCTGTATTTCAGTGAACTATAGGGGGAGCATATTACAGTATATCTGCCTTCTAGTGTATATTTTGTAAGACGACTGTGTGATGGTTAACTTTATGTGTCAAGTTGACTGGGCCACGGGGATCTCAGACTTTTGGCCAAACATTATTCTCGGTATGTCTGTATTTCTGGATGAGATTAATATTTGAATCAGATTGTATAAAGAATATTGTAGGGACATGGATGAAATTGGAAATCATCATTCTCAGTAAACTATCGCAAGAATAAAAAACCAAACACCACATATTCTCACTCATAGGTGGGAATTGAACAATGAGGACACATGGACACAGGAAGGGGAACATCACACTCTGGGGACTGTTGTGGGGTGGGGGGAGGGGGGAGGGATAGAATTAGGAGATATGCCTCATGCTAAATGACGAGTTAACGGGTGCAGCACACCAGCATGGCACATGTATACATATGTAACTAACCTGCACATTGTGCACATGTACCCTAAAACTTAAAGTATAATAATAATAATTAAAAAAAAGAATATTGCCCTCCCTAATGTGGGGGTGGGGTGCTCATCCAAGCAATTAGAGACCTAGATAGAACAGAAAGGCTGAGTAAAAGGGAAGTCCTCTTGCCTGACTTCTTGAGCTGGAACATTGGTCTTCTGCTGCCCTCAGACCAGGACTTACACCATTGGTTTTTCTGGTTCTCAGGTCTTCAGACTAAGACTGGATATACACATTGGCTTTCCTGGGTCTTCAGCTTCCAAGCTGTAGATCTTGGGAATTCTCAAACTACATAATTGTTTGAGCCAGTCTCTCTCTCTCTCATTCTCTGTGTGTGTGTGTGTGTGTGTGTGTGTGTGTGTGTGTGTGTGTACAGAGGATTCTTGACTTACAATGGTTCAACTTGCAATTTTGTTGATATTATGATACATTTATTGGGATGTAACCCCATCCTATGTTGTGGAGTACATATATGTATATATTGGTTCTATTTCTCTGGAGGACCCTAACAAGTACAGACTGAGAGAGCGGCTTTGTCAAGGTCCAGAAGCCAAGAAAAGCAAATTGATGGAGTGAGTATAGAAATTGAAAGCATAGATGTTGCATGCAGCTCGGCCTGTGTTAGAACCCGGCTCTGTCATTTAATCTCTCTGAGTCTTAATTTACTCCTTTGTAAAATGGAAAAAATAATAGTGCCTGAACCAAAGGGTAATGTTAGGATAGTGCCTGACTCTTGGCAAGTGCTTGATGAATGATCAATATTATTATTACTATTGTTGTTATTATTACTAAGTCTTCCTAAGAAGAGTCATGGGCTCTCAGAGAACCTTTGCTTTCTTCTCCTACTTACTTGAAATTGCTAGGAACATTCATCCTCCATCTCTGGGTTGTAGGTGAAGTCCTCATAGTGCTCACCTCTCTCCATCTCCTGGACCATAGATCTGGTGTCCCAGAAGCCCCAGGAATTGAGGTGCTGGTTGTTCTTTCAACAAAACCACCTCCCCAATCTCTCTCCATGGATTCCCCAACTCACAAGCTGTTGCAAACATACACTTACCTCATCCCTGTCTTTTTTTGTTTTTCCTAAAGACTATTGTCAGGATCTTGGTTTTAAAATTATTTTAATATTTGATTCTAGGAAGAGTAGATAACACCAAAAACATGAGGTATGGGTAGCTGATAACTTTGGCAGTGCTTACTTTGTTCTCACAGCTATGATCTAAGGTCTGTAGATGCCACACACAGGTGAAACAATGTGGTATTTATAATGTGTCTGGGTCAGTGCCTGGCACATGGCAAATGCTTAATAAATGGTGGTTCCCCTCTGACCCTGACAGTTTCAAGGTTTGGAGTGACTTGCGGATGATTCTAATGTCCCAGCCCCACACACAAGTCTTCCTGTATGGAGGTCTTCTCCTAGGGTAAAAGAAAGTACCACTTCTTTTCCTTTCATTTCCTTCTCAAGCTCCAGTTTTATGCTTGACTTTGTCTATCTGTGGGAATATTTATAGGTTTTCCTCTTTACTTCCCTCTCTTCCTTTCTTCCTGTCTTCCATGACTTTTCTTTATCAGTTTCTTTTACTATTTTTATTTTTACAATTTTTTTCTCTCCCTTTCTCCCTCTCTTTCTCCCTCTCTTTCTTTCTTGTGTTCTTTTGCTCTTTCTTCTTTCTCTTTCTCTCTTTATTTCTTTCCTTTCTTCTCTTTATTTTTCTGATTCTCCCTTCAATTATTTTTCTTCTATCTTTTCTCCCCCTTTCATCTCCTCTTTCCTTTCTTCCTCCTTCCCTTGCTTCCTCTCGCCTTCCCTCCCTACTTTATTTCTTTTTCAATTGCTTTCTCTTGCAGTTTTTAACATTTCCCTGACTTACTTTTCTTTCCTCTTTTTCTGTTACCCTCTCCTTTTCACTCTCTCTCATTCCTTCCCTTTCTTATTTCAATATCTAACATAGTAATGTTTTGTGCTAATAACCAGGGCAAGACAAAACTTACATTCATGTTCTTTCATAAAGAATCTCATATCATCATAGTAAGGCCAAGGGCCCAAAGGGAAAAGAAAGAGAAAGAAGAGGGGAATCCAAATGAATGTCTCCTAGACGCCTCACTGCGCACGGGCTTTTCCGGACATCTTCCACTCCTTGTCTCGAAGTTTGGTTCGTTGAATTTTCCCTGTGACAGTCTTGGGCAGGTTCAAGACAAACTCTATCTGTTGAAAAACAAATCAGTCCAGGGTGGGTGATCTGTGATGACAGTGGGTTGCATTTTTCAGAACTGCTGTAGGGTGAGGGGAAGTTCTTCAGGCTGGAGCCACTTCAGGGTAGCCGCCCTGTGCAATAAGAAGCTTCAGAAGGTGCTCTGGGATGAGGACAATAAGAGGATGGCTAGAATTGGGCATAAAGGTATTTGACATATTTTCAGACAGAGGAGGAGCAGCATAACAGACACACATGGCACAACAGTCAGCCAGCTGAGCCTTGACATCAGACTCTCTGGACCCCAGCTCCTCCTCTGCCAATCATCTGGCTTTCGCCAGGTCCTTGGCTTTGCTAAGACTCAGTTTTCCCACTGAGTAAGATGGAGGATAATAGCAACTTCATTGGGTGATTACATGGACCAAAGGAGATTATGCAGGCTAAGTTATTGGTATGGAGTAACCACTGAAAAATAATAGCTGTGGTTATTAATCTGGATTAATCTGAGGTCTTTAGACATGTAAGACATTTAAGAATTAGGATACCTCATTTTGAATTCCACATCAATCATTTCCTATCAATGTACCCTAAGCAAAATTATAATATCTCTCCAATTTCACTATTTGCTCTTGTTAAAAGGAATGTTTGAAGTTGAGGATCCTCTATCTCTAATATTCCCAAATCCAAAGATATGGATGATAAAGACGCCTCATTGAGGCTTCCAGTGATGTGGCTCAGTTGCCATGGCATTGATTTAAGCTTCAGATGGTCTCGAATTTAATAAAAATTAACGCTTTATTAACTTTAATTTAATAATAGGGATACTGAGATGGAGAAAGTATCTTCTTAGTGGCTGATATAAGAATTCTTCTATAAGTCAAGACTGACTTTGTGGAGAAGAGTTTATTCAAAACACAATGAAATGGAGCAGAGGTCAGCAAACTATGGCCCGCAGGCAAAATACAGCCCACTTCCTGTTTCTGTCAATAAAGTTTAATTGAAACAGTCATACCCATGCATTTAGAAACTGTCAACCTTTAGCATTGCCTGGGCAAAGTTGAGTAGTTGCAACATAGACCACATAGCCTACAATATTTACTATTTGGGCCCCAAAGGGTAGATAGAGAGTGGATGAAAGCCACAGGAGGTATCCAGATTTAATGCTAAGAAGGAAGCTACTCTGTTTGTCATGAAGAGAGAAGTAGAAAGGACTGGATGTAGTTGGTGAAAGGAGGGGGAGGGTGCAAATAATCTGCTGCCTTGAGAATTCTAGAGGAGAGACTTGCAGAAAGAGACACATCTATTGAGATATTTGAGTAAGACACTGCACACTGTGTGATAGGACTCCTTGACTCAGCATTCTACAATATTCAGTTATACTTAAACGTTCAGCATTATTCTCATTTTGCAAATAAGGAAACTGAGGAACGCAGAGGTTATCGAGTAAGTGGTGGAGGTGAATGTTGAACCCGACAGTCTGATTCCTGAGACTGTGCTATGCTGCCTCACTCTCAGAGGCTGCAAGTCCATGTGGTGGACTCTGATATGCAGCTAAGATCCTCCTCCAGGGACAAAGAAGTCCCACTCCACCACCAGACCCCTGTGGGGATTGCCTCAGCCAAAGACAGCTGTCTTGTCCAAGGTCACACTCCTTCCCAGGGCAGCCTACATCCATACCTGATCCACCTGTGACCGTAAAGACCCCCTTCCCTTCCTCACCTTGCCTTAGGACAACACTGAAAGGTTATACTAGCTCCAGAACTCCCATGGGATTGGCTGGAGTTCCCATTGAGACTAAGTCACAGTGCAACCTCACCGTCTGCTCAGTTCTGCTCCTTTCTTTCCCTTCCTCTCCCTTCCCCCAGGGGTTGATTCCAAAACACTCCCTAATAAGCCTCTTGCGTGGTAACCTCTTTCCCCATGGCCTGCTTCTCAGAAGACCTATGACAATTAGCCTGTGCTGAGGAAAGGCAGGTGGCATCTGGGCTACATAAGAATCTAAGGGACTCTAAGCTCAGCATAGTTGCTCTCACCTTCTACCCTAGACTCAATTTTTTTTCTTTCTCTGGGACAAGCTCCTATCTGGGACCCAAATCCAATAACTGGGTTCTCCTGCCTTGTCAACCTCTGTGCCTCAGTTCTCTGTCCCAGAATGAAAGAAGCTGAAAACTATGCTTTTGTCTTTTCTCGTAAGAACACTTCCCTTTTCCTGTGGGGAGCCACCCCTCCCTCTCAGTCCATGTCATGGGGTAGGGGAGCTCTCTCCCCCATCCCCCCTGCACTTTCTCTGAGGATGACTTGGCTAATCAGTGTGACATTGGCCTGGCTACAGGGATTCATTTAGCAATGGACACATGGCCCAAGTTGGTCCAGTGAGAGTCAACCCAGAGAATTTTGTTGAGGCCTTTGGAGAAAAACATGCTCATTTTCTACTGGAGTTTTCTAAGCTGCTGAGAATATATGTTTGGAGCTGACAGAGCCACAAAGAAAAAGCATTCCAAGAAATCAAGCCACTACAAAGGAAAGAGAGTCAAAGGGTGAAAGAGAGACACCTGACCACATCCTAGGAATGCCTGGGACTAGCCATAATGAAAGCTTTCTTCACCCCAGGACTTTTCAATTGCATGAGCAATAAATGTCAAGCTAGATTTCTGTCACTTGCAACTGAGCGTTGCACAACCCTGAATACTATAGCAAGAACCCAGTGCAGAGAATGGGAATACAGGTAAGATACTGGCTAGAACTTATTCCCTTGACAGCATTTGGCTTTTGATTCAGAGTGAGTCAAAAGCTGAGGTCATTTTTCAGGCATCAAGATAGTTGCTAGATTGTCTTTCTGGGCTTTCTTGAGCATAGGAAGAGTTGTTTTTTTTTTGTTTTTTTTTTTTGTTTGTTTGTTTGGTTTTTTTTTTGAGACAGGGTCTCACTCTGTCACTTAGGCTGGAGTGCAGTGGCATGATCTCGGCTCACTGTAACCTACACCTCCCAGATTCGAGCGATTCTCATGCCTCAGCCTCCTGAGTAGCTGGGATTACAGGCACATGCCACTACACCAGGCTAATTTTTGCATTTTGGGTAGAGACGGGGTTTCACCATTTTGGCCAGGCTGGTCTTGAACTCCTGCCCTCAGGTGATCCACCCGCCTTGGCCTTCCAAAGTGCTGGGATTGCAGGTGTCAGCCACCATGTCCGGCCCAGGAAGACTTTTTAAAATTAGAAGGCTGTCCTCCTCCTGAAGAAGATAAATATAACAGGAAAACAATCTATTTCTCAAGTTTGAGTGACTTGGGAGCTCAAAGGCCTTACCTTTCTTGGGTACTTGTATGGGGCTGTCACTGACTTCACATGCTGCTGCAGCTCCTTGGTGAGCTGTTCTGGGTCATGGGATAGGAACTGCGAGGCCAGGATCACAAATGCCTTCACCACCTGCAAAATAGATGAAGGCCAAGAGATAAGGGATTAGAGTGTGTAGTCATCTCCTGGAATAATGTGAAATTAGCATTAAGACTTGCATCACCCTTGTATCTACTCATTTGCACCCCCGGTGATCCAGGTCAAGGGAAAGGGAGAAACTGGGGACAAGAATGAGGTTCCAGCTCTCTCTGAAGTCGTTTATTGGAGGAGCAGGTGGACAATAGATTGAGACCAGGCTCACCTCATGCTCCAAGGACAACAGAGACAGATGAGGAGAAAGAAGATACAGGGGGAGAAAAGAGAAAAATAGACTGAAAACCATAACCCTAAACAATGTGTTAACTTCTCCAAACTTCAGTGTTCCCGTCTGCAAAATGGGGATAAAATAGCCAAATTCAACTTATGGTAACTAAAATGAAATCATATACAGCAGGGCTAGCTCAGAGCTGGGCACACAGGGTTTTCTCAGCAGGGGATCACCCTTGGCCTCACTGCTCAGTGGTTCCCATAATTTTCTGTGTGATGTGTTCTGTACGTACCAGAGGTATGATAGTGCCAGGCTTACACCCTGCGGGAATGTGCTAGGACACTGATCCACACATCCCACCTTAATATTTTCCTACACACACATCAAAGTCCACTAGACCCCATCTGAGCCTATTTCTATAACCCTGGCTTTATAGGGGTCTTTCTTTTTCCCTTTATTTTCACTGTGAACTCTGTGGCACAGGGGCTCTATCCTTTGGCTCAAATCCCTCCTCTGTGCTTCTGGTCAGGAATAAGACTCTGATTCAAATATCAAACAGCAGGATAGAATCCTTCCAGCCTCATCAAAATAGACATTATATAGTACTTACTATGTGCTAGGCCTTGTTCCAAGCACTTCACTTTCTTTTTTCCTTTCTTTTTCTTTTTCTTTCTTTTTTTTTTTTTTTTTTTGAGACAGAGTCTCACTCTGTCACCCAGGCTAGAGTGCAGAGGCGCGATCTCGGCTCACTGCAAACTCCGCCCCCCGGGTTCATGTGATTCTCCTGCCGCAGCCTCTTGAGTAGCTGGGATTACAGATGCCTGCCACCGTGCCTGGCCAATTTTTGTATTTTTAGTAGAGATGGGGTTTCACCATCTTGGCCAGGCTGGTCTTGGACTCCTGACCTCGTGATCCATCTGCCTCAGCCTCCCAACCAAGCACTTTACTTTCTAAAAGTTTTTATCATTTCATAATATTTGTACATATGTATTGGGTACAAGTGACATTTTGTTACACGCAAATATGGTAATTATCAAGTTAGGATACTTGGGGTGTCCATCACCTTGAGTATTTATAATTTGTGTGTGTTGAGAACATTTCAAGTCCTCTCTTCTAGCTATTTTGAAATATACAATACATGGTTGTTAACTATAGTCACCCTACTCTGCTATTGAACATTCGAACTTATTGCTGCTAACTGTATGCTTCTACCCATTCACCAACCTCCCTTCATCCCCCACTTCCCCACCCACACACCCTTCCCAGCCTCTGGTATCTATCACTCTACTCTTTATCTCCATGAGATCAGCTATTTTAGCTCTTACTTATGAGTGCAAACACGTGATATTTATTTTCTGTGCCTGGCTTACTTCAGTTAACATAATGACCTCCAGTTCTCTCCATGTTGCTGCAGATGACATGATTTCACTCTTTTTTAATGCCAAATAGTATTCCATTGTGTATATATACCACATATTATTTATCCTTTCATCCATTGGATACTTAGGTTGATCCCATATCTTCGTATTGTGAATAGTGCTGCAATTAACATGGGAGTGTAGACATCTTTTTGATATGCTGATTTCTTTTCCTTTGGATAAATACCCAGTAGTGGGATTGCTGGATCATATGGTAGTTCTGTTTAGTTTTTTGAGAAATCACCATACTTAAGTACTTTACAAATATTAGCACATTTAACCCTCATAACAATCCCTCATCTTACAGATGAAGAAACTGAGAAACAGAGAGGCCAAGTAGCTTACCCAAGGTCACATAGCTAGTAAGTGGCAGGGCCAAGATTGGGTCTCAGAGTGTTCAGCCCCACAGTCCCTGTTCTTAAACCATCATACTACACTGCCCTTGTGTTCATATCTGTTCACCCCCAGGCTACTGCTTCCCCATCACCTCTCCTCGGACGGGGTCTGGGCTGCTGATCACAGCCGTCTCAACCACAGCAGGGTGCTTCATCAGTGCATTCTCTACCTCCGAGGGTCCAATCCGGTACCTGCAGAAGAACCTGTCCTTCAGAGAACACTGGACACCGAACCTCTAGGCCATTCCGGAAGTCTGGAACCAGCCAGAGTAAAGACCCAGATTTCCCTTCCCAACCCAGAAACCAAGCTCACCCGCTGGAGTTAATGATATCATCTGCCCGTCCCATAAACTGGAAATACCCATCTTCATCTTTGATTCCCCGGTCTCCAAGGAGCCAAAAGTCTCCTCGAATGTTGGCTGCTGTCTTGTCGGGATTTTCCTGGTGACCACAGAAAGACAGAGTCATTGTGCCTGCAAAGCCTAAATCCCCTGCCCTGGGGCTGCCATGAACAAATGCTATGAGTCTTATTAAAACTGCAGGTGTGCAGTGTATAACCTGAACATGGCAGACATGCCCTGAACCAGCCAACCCTAGGCCACAGGCAGAACTGGATTTTTCCCATTTATTGAAGTTATTCCACCCAGGGTGTCTCAGCTACTCCTCTAGGTCCAGTCTGATGGATATTATTGATGTATTCATTCATCCATGCTTAGGGCATTTTCCCCAATTGATTCCATCTCTCCTTTCATAGATATCCTAATCTCTGTTCACTCCATAGCACCACTCAAAGCTATCATTTTGATTAGGTACTTTTCTTAGCTTCTTTGTAAATTTGAAAGTTCTAGAGACATTAGCCAGGAAGCCCCCTGGGACCCTGGCTAATGTGCATATTTCTACAATAGCTGGGTCCCTCTATTCAGCTGAGGCACTTGCTTATAAGTAATGAAAAGGCTTGAGCTTTATCCCTTGTCAGTGCATCTTCCTATCTGACTCAGGTATAGGGGCATGGGCTCCAGACTGGAAGTTCAGTTACTGGATTATATATGGTGGCATAAAGAATTCTTAGCCTCACTCCATCATTGGGAATATAGGGATACTGATGATCAGAGACATCAAGAGTTTAGTCTGAAGCTAAACAGCCATTACAGAAGGTAGAACTGAGACCAGAAGCCAGGGTTCTTGGCTACTGGATTGACTTTCTCATGGGCATCATGGAGCCTCTGTGGCCTTAGGAATCTGCCCCACAGACGCTTCTGAGTCTGTTTCCTTTTTTATCAAATGGGGAGAAGCCCATGACATAGTACTTCACTGGCATTTGAGAATATAGTGGGACCTCACAAAGGAAATGCTTGGAGAAGGGGACAGTGTGGCTCTGCCCTGATCGCTGAAGCTCAGTTTTCCTCATCTGTATAATAGGAATAATCATTTGGATCTACAACAATTCTTTTATTTAACACACTCACGACACACAACTTACAGATGAGGAAACTGAGACATGACAGATAGGTAACTTCCCTAAGATCACGCTATACATAGTAGAGCAGGGTTTTGAACTCGAGCAATCTGAGTCCAAAAACTTTATAGGGTGGCTGGGAGGATTAAACGAGTTGAAAGTTTAAATGAGTTTAAAGTTTAAAAATTAAATGTGTTTATACAACAATGCTTGCCTCATGGTATGCATTCAATAAATGGTAGAAACTATTATTATTTGATTTATTATTTATTTAGTTTATTAGTCAATTATCTCAGGGATCAGAAGGCATGCCCTTGGGTTCTTCTCTGTCCACTTTCTAATGGTTGTGAGCTTGAGCAAGTCTTGTAATCTCTGGCTCCACCATCCTCACCTGTCAAGTGAGGTGGCCAGATTCAAGGATTATCTGTCTTTACCTTCCCAAGATCTGAAGATAGGGATTCCTCCAACTAGATGGTGAAGTCTCAACGTAAAGTGCCTGGCATGGCTCTAAAGAAGATCAACGGCATAGATCATGGGGATGATACCTAGGGGAGAGGGAAAGGCAGCCCTTGGGGGAATGGTGCTGTGTATAGTTCAGGGTCAATAATATTTTGGGCATGAAACAGAGAGTTCTTGAGGAGTCTAAGGGCTAACTGAAGAAAAATAAGTCTTCCAATGAGATCACAGTGATAGGCTGAGGATGGCAAGGCTGAATAGCCACTTTTCTTCCACTGGCAAAGCATACATTCTTGAAAACTGGACACTCTTTGTCTCCATATCTAATGCCTCTTGGAAGTTTCAGAACATTTGTCCTCCCTCATCCCGTTTAGTGCTCCCATCCTCACTGGGGAACAGAGGAGGAGAAGCACAGTTTCTCACCACATAGCCAGAGAAGATGCCTATAGGCCTGATGGGTTTGACCCTGATGCCAATGTCTCCTTCTGTGCCGGGGGGCAGGACGTTGCCCTTATCATCTATAACCTGGAGAAAGAAGCATATTGGAAGAATGACGCACACAGCAGGAGATGGCTTCAATGGCAGCAGGAGATTGCTGAGTTGGTCAAATGAAAGACTCTCTTGCTCTAGTGGAGACTGAAAACGACAACCAAAAACCAAGGGAACCCAAGAGTCTTAAACTCAGATCTCTGATCCACCTGCCTGGAATAGTTTAGGTGAATCCTTTTATTGAGACTGGCCCAGATGAGCCTGGGGAGATGCTTTTGGCTCTAGGAGCTCAGATAAAATAATAGCCTCCTCTTACCTTTGAGACCTACCTCACCTGTGGACTTAGAAATCGGGCAGATCAAAACTCAAATTTACTCTGCTACCTTACTAGCTGACTTTGAACTACTTAAACTCTTTGCTTCAGTGCTTTCACCCATAAAACAGAGATACTGACAGCTTATTTCACAGGATTTTTATAGGAATGAAATAAGATACTAAGAAAGGGGCTTAGCAAATGGTTATCATAGTGAATGGCATGGCAAGTAACTGGATATGACACTGAATAGCGTCTAAGTTACACTTTAGATATACAGAACTATACACATAACACAGATACACAAACACAAATTCTAGTTCTCAAAAAACAACAAGAGAAAGCAATAAAACTTTAGCTACTACACATTCATTATAGTGTATTTTTACTAGTGAAAACTGGGACATCATCCCTTGGTCCGATAAAAGGCATAAACAGCAGTGGATACATACTATTTAATACTATATCATCATTAAAAATCATGCTGCAGGTTGGCATTAATTGAACTGAAAAGATCGTTACCTATATTGTTAAATGATAAAAGCTAGTTACAAAATATTATGTCAAGATTCACCCCATTTTTGTTTTTAAAGCATATATACTTGTATACTGTCTAGCTAATTTGCTAGATATTCAAAGTGAGTCCTTCTGGATGGTAAGAATATAAATCATTTCTCCTTTTCCTCCTTCCTTCCCTCACTCTCTCCTTCCCCCTAACCTCCCTCCGTCCCTTTTTTCTGATATTATCTTAATATCAGTACTTTCTATTATTTTTGACTCAATAAACAATGGAAAACATAAATTACTGAAAATCAGTGTTTCCCCTAACTTCCTCCCTCCTCAGTGTCCCGAGCAAACCTGTACATCATAACAGGAAGCAGCCGTTCCCATGTATCCTGGTTTGATTTTCATTGTCTTGGAAACCATGCAAGTTAATCCCTGTGGAAAGAAGCAGACAGATCAGCAAACCTCAGGAGGAGGTACAAGGTCACAGAAAAAGAAAAAATTTCTGCAGAGCGGGTCCTGACACTGTCCTGAACTTGGCCTGCACTTGGTGGCTCCCCCTGCTCCTCATTCCCTGGCTCTCTCCCCATTACTGGAATCACAATCCTAGGGGCCTCACTAAATTGTTTGTTCAGGAAGCAACCCATCTACCACTCCCCAGGAAGAGGACCTAACAATCACATTATAATCTCTTTTAGGGGGAGTCACATTTTAATACGACGCTATGGATACCCAAAGCCCTTGCAAACTATATGGAATCACCAATATGCAATCTGTAAGACCTAAAATATACTTACTTTTATTTTTATTTTGAATTTTTGTGGTGTATCTATTTATGGGATATATGAGATGTTTTGATACAGGCATGCAATATGAAATAATCACATCATGAAGACTGAGGTATCCATTTCCTCAAGCAGTAAAATATACTTTTTAAAGTATCTCCCATGGCAGCACCAGTTCTGCTTGAACCCTGAAATGAACCTTCCCAACAGAATAACAGATGAGTGGTGGATGCCTCACTGACAGAGACACAGATTGTCATTTTCTCAGATCTAGCCTGGACACCAGATGTCACAATGACCCATCTTTTCCCGCCACCCACTGTGCTGGAAAGGGCAAGTTGATTGACCCACCTCAGAAGAGAGGCTGCTGAGTGATTAAGATCATGGGAATCTGAGTGTCCTTGTAAGCATATTCTAAACATGTCCTCCTCTGAATGGTGGGAGGCCCCTGCCAGGGTATGCTTGCCACAACTCCATTGTCCTTATTCATATTTGCAGAGCTCTTCCTGGCTCTTTCATACCACAGAGCTGCCATCAACACTCTGCAAAAGTTCTACCAAGGGTACTCATTAGCTAAAGAAGGATGCAGGGTAAGAGAGTGGAGAGGAAGAGGCAAGAAGTGCTGAGAGTCACAAGTAAGAGGCACTGGAAAAAGGAGAAGAAGAGTTGGGGAAAAGTATTCCCCATGTAGTTTTGATAAGTAAAATAGTATAGAATAGCATAAATCCACATTGTGCACATGAGACCTCAAGAGTTCCAAGAAGATATGTCAGGAGGTGCAGTAAAGCCATGGTGGGTTCTTCTTCCCATTCCTCACTTCAGTCTAAGCAGCTTTGTACAGTGCTTGACATGTTTGATAAACTTTGGTCTCTGCTAAAATGTTTCCCCATCACAGAGGAACTTTCTGACTACCATATGTGATTTACCAACTTCTCACCCCATCTCATCTACTTTACTTTTTCCATCGCATTTCTCACCACCTGCCATGCTAGATATTTCTTAGTTTATTGTCTCTCTCCCCAAATCTCACTGGAATGTAATCTCCCAGAAAACAGGAACTTTGCCTTTTTTGTTCTGTGCTGAATTTTCAATACTCAGTACCTGTCCCTTCACAGAGGCTCAATAAATATTTCTCAAATAAATGAATGATACATGGTGGCTAACATGTTTTATTGTCAAAGAGAATTTTGAAGCCCAAAAAGTGCACACAGCCCATGGTTCCCCTGGGAACAGGTACCGTTTCTGTCTGGCCATAGAATTCTCGGATGTCCAGTCCTGTCTGGGCCCTCCAGTTCTCCAGAGTTTCTGGAAGAAGGGACTCCCCTCCAGCGAGGCAGTTCTGTAGATGGGGGAACTTGTAACTGAAGAAGAGAAATAAATGTTTGCCCTCAGCCTCCCTGGAACCAAAGTCCACTCAGGCCTAGACTTGGTTTCTGGGTGCTTTGATGATGCAAATGGCTTCATGGGGCTCTCTGTGTGCGAGAGATTCAGATAGATAGGCATGAATGTATGTGAGGGAGTCAGGGGGATGGGGCCAGACTCTCTTACCAATCCTCAAAGCCCCATCACCTGGAAAGATCCTGCTGTAGCAACATCCGGTAAACAATAGGGGCACCCATCATACTCTTGATTGGATAACTGGAGAGTGTCTGGAAGACAAGAGCCAGGTGAGACATTGGTCACCAGGTCAAATGCCAACTTATGGCTATGCACAGTGGTTACAATTGTGAGCTATGGAGTTGTAGAGGTCTGGATGAAAACCCTAGCTTGTTTACTATGTCTGATTCAAGTTAAATGAGCCCCACAACTCTCATGCACCCTGAAGGCACAAATAACAGGGAAATGAGTACATATTATTGTAGTGAAAAAGTCTAAGGCTAATTTGAAACATTTTTGTCAAATCCTGGATGTCTGTTCCTGCCAGTTTAAGACTTGCCCTCATTAACACACCCCTAGGAGTATATCACCCCCCAGCAACCAAGGGAAGATCAGCTGCCTGAGTACAGCAGCTGTCTTGGTTGAGTCCCTTAACTTTCTGTAGCCAGCTTTATAATAGATTGTTTCCAGCCTTATTTTCCTGAAAATATTTTTGGGATATATTTTAGATATAAAAGTTCTTTGAAAAGCTAAAGACATCTATAGACATTTCAAAACAAGTGCTACAAAAAGACCTAGTACTGAATACTTGCCATGTCCTGTGTTACCTCATTTAATTTTTCCAATAACCTCATGGAGTGTGCGCTATCATCCTCATGATACAGAGGGGAAACCCATGATGTACAAGGTTAAGTAGCTGCTCCAAGGTCACCTAGTCAGCAAGTAGTGGGATCATTATTTGCAGCATGTATTCCTGTCATATAACACCATCTCCATCCCATGCTTTTCTTTATGCAGAATGTAATAGAGTATTGTCTTAATCTGTTTTCTGTTGTTATAACTGAGTACCCGAGACAGAGTAATTTATGAAGAAAATAAATTTATTTCTTGCAGTTCTAGGGGCTGGAAAGTCCAAGGTCAAGAAGCTGCATCTGGTGAGAACCTTCTTGCTGATGGGGACTCTGCAGAGTCCCAAGGAGGTTCGGGGCATCACATGGCAAAGGGGCTCATGAGGTAGAGCAAAACTGGCTTTTGGTATAACAGACTCACTCTCCAAAACTAACCCACTAACATGATAAACTGTTAATCCATTAATCCCTCATGAGGCCCAATCATCTCTTAAATGCCCCACTGCTTACTACTGTTACACTGGGGATTGAGTTTGTTGATGAAAGGAGCCAAACTCTGTAAAATATTTGAAGAGATTTATTCTGAGCCAAACATGAGTAACCATGGCCATGACAGAGCCCTCAGGAGGTCCTGAGAACACGTGCCCAAGGTGGTCAGGGTGCACTTTGGTTTTATACATTTTAGGGAGACATAAGACATCAATCAAACACATTTAAAAAATACATTGGTTTGGTCCAGAAAGGTGGGGCAACTTGAAGCGGGGGCTTCCAGCTTATAGGTAGATTTAAATTTTTTCTGGTTGACAATTGGTTGAGTTGATCTAAAGACCTGGGATCAATAGAAAGGAATGCCTTAGTTAAGATAAATAATTGTGGAGACCCAAGTTCTTATTTGCACAGGAAGCTTTTAGGTACTGACACTAGGCTTTTTAGACAGAATAGGTTTTAATTTTTTTTTATCAGACTTAAAGTCTATATTGATGTTAATACCAGAAAGGTATAATGAGGCATGTCCCACTCCGACTTCCTGTCATGGCCTGAAACAGTCTCTCAGGTTAAATTTTAAAAGAACCCTGGCTGAGGAGGAAGTCCATTCAGATGGTTGGGAGGATGGGGCCTTAGGATTTTATTTTTGGTTTACAAGTTTCATCATGAGTTTTGGGGGGCACAAATATTCAAACCATGGCAATGGTTTAAGCAAAATGTCTAGAAAAAATGACAAATGTGAGTATCATGCAATAATTTCCTTCAAATGTGCTTGATACACAGATATAAGCTATGAAAATGATCCCATATTCCTTATTGCTTTGACTTACTAGAAGCTCAACTTGCAACTACATACTCATTTGCTATATTTCTCCTTAATTTCCTTAGTCTTTTCCACCCTACACCTCCAACCTATATTTTCCTAATGGGCTTTATAAGTTTATGTCTGTTTTCATTTTTTTAATGGTGGAACTTATTAAAAACCAGTTCAAATCCTTTTGAGAAGGACACAGAGTAAGAATTTGCTTAAAACAGAGAATGACAGTATTATTTGAAGATAATTTCCTATGAAAATCCAGACCACACCTGGCTTTTTGACTTTTGAAGACGTCATCTATGCCTTAGCTTGAACCTTTGCTGCAGCCAAATAGATGTCTGGATGGGCCATTAGAGATCTGGGGGCACAGCAGGGAAATAACCCAACCCCTCTATCATAGAGTCCAACATAGGGTGTATCTTCATAAGCAAAATGAGGTCATTTTCATTGCTTTGTTGCTACAGGATAAAGCATAGCTGCAGTTTGTGGGTCTTATTTAATGGCTGTACCATCAAGTTCTATAGGAAAAAATTCCACTTATTCTTCCGAATTGCTTCTAGAAAATCATCTTAAATTGGAAATAACCCAAAGTTCATTAACAATAGGATGGGGGAACATTTTTACAGATTCACGTAATGGAATACTATGCAGCCAGCTAAAAGAACAAACATCTGATACATGCAACACATGGACTAATCTCACAGAGAATATTTTGAGTAAAAGAAGCCAAATGAAAAAGATTATATATAATGTTGTTCCATTTACATGAAATGCAAGAAGAGATAAAATTAATCTATGGTGATAGATATCAAACGAAGGATTAACTTATGGGGGGCAGATACTGTCAGAGAAGGGGTATGAACACCTTCTGCAGTGGTGGGAATGTTTCATGTCTTTATCTGGTGGTGTTTACAGGGGTGTCTGATATGAATTGGATGTTGTGTCCCCACCTAAATCCCTATATTAAAGCTCTAACCCTCAACTTGATGGTATTTGGAGGTGGGGCTTTTAGGGGTAATTATGAAAGATAATGAAGCAGGTGCCCCAGTGATAGCATGAGTGTCTTTATTTTTAAAAAGGAAGATATACCAGCACTGTCTCTCTCAACCATGTGAGAATATAGCAGTAAGGGAGCCATCAACAAGCCAGGAAGAGAGGGCTTCCCCAGGAATCCAATTATGCTGGCACCCTGATCTCAGACTTACAGCCTCCAGAGCTATGAGAAGTAAATGTCTGTTATTTAAGCCACCTAGACTATGGTATTTTATTATAGTAGCCCAAGCTGACTAAGACAGTATCTAACACAGCTAAATTATTTTCAAACTGTACACATAGGATGGTGGCACTCTGTGCACTTTACCTTCAGTTTGTGTGTTATGCTGCAAATAAAAAAGGAAATGAAATGTGCACTCACAAACACACACACACACTCATGAGAGCGAGATGGCATCCCCTCCAATACTCCAGTTTTCCCTTTTACATGTGGTTCACCAGCATCTATCTGATAGGTGACACCAGTGGAAGAGCCCATTACATTTGTTGAGTGAACAAATGACCTACAATATCTTTCTCCTGAACATACTCCTTTTATCTATATATGTGCCTGTCTCCTACCCCAGAACATGAGCTCTGCGAGGTCAGGGACCATTTCCATCTCGTTTACTGAACACTGTTCTCCACATGGCAGAGGTTTAGCAAAAATTAGATGAATTGAAACAAACTACAAAAAATTGAAGTGTGCAAACCTCGGGCTCACTCTGAATAACTGCTGCAAACTGGATCCTCTCTTACCTTTAGAATAACCAGTGGGTCAAACTTTGGCAAGAGATGAACAAATGTGCATGCTCCTAATGTCCAAGATTCCAAAAGTGAGCCCAAGATGTTCAGTATCCAACCTGTGTCTGATATGGTCCACATTATATCAGAGGCTTGCAGGCCTGTCCAACTGAAAACACAGACAAAACACATGTACATATAGGTGGGTGCATGCTTAGGATGCGTGGGACACTAAGGTGTAGGGGAGGAAAGGGAGGTGTGTGTGCAGAGGTGTGCGTGTATCTGCCTGCAGGTTTATAGGCATATGTTTAAGTATAAGTAGGAAGGGGGAAGAAAAGTTGTTCTGTCCACACATCCTGCATTGATAGGAGATGAATGTTCGGAAGGTGGGACCCCAGTTGACATGACTTAATATATAATTGGGTCTCATTCTCCTCTTAACTCCAAAACTCCGTACAGTTTCTGGCATGCATGTGGTAACCACCCAGGAAAATTTTACTAACACAAGACATCTGCATGGCAAATATTCTAACAGATGCCTTGCCAAGTTCAAGTTTGGCTGAATAGAACTTTGCTTCTCTTTTCTTTAAGTACTGCAAATTGCCCATAAAGCTGATGGTCTTGCACTAAGTGAACTCATCCCTTTTCTCTTTTCAGGGCAGAATAAAAGGTTTAGGACTTTCTTAAAGCAAGAATGATTTAAGCTAGACATGAACAACTTCCTTGTGACGGGAACTGCCATAGTGTATCTTCTTTCCTGAAGATGATTAATACTTTCAGCTCTGTAGGGAAATTAGGTCATAGTACAAGACTTCTCTAAGTCTCACTTTATATCTGCAAAAAATGAGACCACTACCAAATTTTTTGGGGGAAGGGGAATTTAATATCTTAGTTATATTTAAGTAATTTATCCCCATCTTTTAGAAACTGCCTTTTACTGCAGCTCTTCTATTGTATAATTTTTACTAACTTATTTATTTTTCTGTCCCTATGGGCTCATAGATGGAACATTTACATTTTCCATTTTTTGCATTAATGTATCTTCCCATTCTAATAATAAAATTAACATGGAAGGTGGGATCTACTAAAACAATTCTGATGATTTATAGATATCATTGCTTGAATACCTTGGCACAGTGTTTCCTGATTCCACAAATGGGATTAATGTATCAGTGGGAAAAAAATGCTCAACTATGGGGTCTGTGATCCAGAAATCCTGAGATCTTTGTTCACAAATTTATCCAATTATATCTTCCACTTCAGTCAATTTGCAAAGTAATTTGCTGCCGACAAAAACTGCCCTCTTGGAGTGTGGGCGGTATCAAAGCAAATTGCCAGCATCCCAAAGAACAACATAGAGATCAGCCTGGGGAAATGCACGTAAGCCTTTTGCTAATCATTCACCCTGCTAGGCACATGGCTTAACACATGGAAGAAGTTTTGAGACCCTGTGTTATCTAAAATATGTGTCCCATTGAAGGTACTTGATACCCAGCATGTGAAGCCATGTCCTCTTTAGCTTTCCTTCTGAATTTTCTTTCTCAGAACCACAAGGTGGTGACACAGCCCAGGAGCATTGGATTTGAACTCAGAAACGTCTTCATGCCTGGTCATGCAATTCTCTGTAGAGAGAAAGAGCTCAGCTTACCCAGCATCCATCTTGGCCTTGAGGCCCAGGCTCGAGTAGGAATGTTCTGCCATCTTGGGAAGACCACTGGTCCCACTAGTGAAGTAGATGGCAGATGCTTCCTGGCTTCCAGTCTCCACACAGTGATGAGTGGTGGATGCCTCACTGACAAAGACACAGATTGTCATTTTCTCAGATCTAGCCTGGACACCAGATATCAAAGTGACCCATCTTTTCCCACCACCCACTGTGCTGAAAAGGGCAAGTTGATGGACCCACCTCACAAGAGAGGCTGCTGAGTGATTAAGATCATGGGAGCCTGAGTCAATCAGAGTTGGGTTTGAAAACTACTCAAGTTTGGCACTTTGTTATCAATGCAACCTTAAACTACTTATTTAACTTCTCTGTGTCTCACTTTATATCTGCAAAAAAGTGAGATCAAGTCTTATAGAGTTATTGAGAAAGTTAACTCTGCCACCAAAGAAATGAGCAACTTGCTTAGCAAGAGCTCAATAAATGCTAATCTAATTGTTGTGAAGAGCCCTGGCATGACACCAAGTGGACAGGAGGGGTGGAATTAATACGAGTTTTCCAAGTACTTTCTTGGCACTCTCTTCTATTCCCTGGAAGCACCTACATATCTCTTGGACATCTCCAGTGTCTTGATTTTGAACCTTTAAAAGCAGGCATGATGCTATTTATTTCCATGACAGCTACCTTAAAGACCATGGCATTAGGAAGGAAAAGCTGAAGTTTTCCCTTCAAGTTTCCTATCATATGTGCCCCCGCTAGAGGGATTTCAGACATGTTGACAGAGAAAATCATTAATCCAGCCAGTCTTGCTATCGGCTTTTGGAAGGACTATCAAGGTCTTTCCATGCTATCAACACATGGAAAGGCCTCTGACCTTGATCAGCCTCTCTTAGAGATACAAGAGGTGGGAAGAAGAGCCTAGAAACTTGGTATATCAGCCATCTCTTGGGTTTTCCCTCATGACCTTGGCCTCACCCCTGATTTGAGTCATAGTTCCAGTAAATTGTTCTGGGTGGGTTTCAACCCACTTGGTGTTAACACCATGTTGTTTCCAGTGTGCATCACGAGTGATTCACTTTGTGCCCCATAGTTTCTCTGTTTTACCATAGCATGGAACTCTGACCCACTCTTCACGCATGAGTGCGCAGCCCAGAAGTGTGGAGGCAATAACACCCCCAGGACAACCCTGAACCTGTGAGGACCAGATGCTAATGATTCAGTGCTTTTCAATCCTTTAGAGGACAATCCTGGGAGGCATTCTATGTGCTGCTCAGAAGGTCCAGGCAGATCAAGCCCCACTTAGTCCTTGCAATGACTTGAAAAAAAAAACCCTTGTATTAGCTTTTATTTCTTCCCAGCTTCACTCTTCCTAGTCCCATGCTGTTCTTCCTGCAACTCCTCAATAAAGCACCTGCACCTAAGTGCTTGGCTCTGTTTCCAGTTTTAGTTAAAACCCAGGATGAGACATGTAGATACTCACTTTAGTAGTTTCTTGAAGTTCAGCCACCCATCGCAGCTTTTCTCAGACACCAGTAGCTTAATTCTCAGAGAAGGACATTCAGATGCCACTGTGTCCACTTCTTGGATGACTTCATCCCCAGCAACAATAGCCTTGGCCTTAGACATCTGCAACCTATACAGTATGTCAGTGGATTTCATCTGGATGGTTCCAGGCATAAAGATGAGACCTAAAGAAGCCAACAATTTAGAGAATTGGAAAGGATGGTTTTCTTTGTCCCTAGAGAAGCCTGAGATAAACATCAAGCAGGGAGCAAGTGGGGAAGGAGAGGATGGGGAAGTAATGACCAATGGAGAACGTCAATAAAAAAGGGGACTAAGGACTAGGGAGTGAATGAAACCTAGGATTCCCTGGGTTGTCAGAGTCTTAAGGGCCCTACTGAGACAAAGAAAAGAAATTGAATTGCTAATGTCACACTGTTGACAGTCTAAGACACATACAATTCTCCTCACCCACTCTCACCCCTCAAAAAAAATTTTCTACAGGAGTTCGCTGTATTCAAAACTCTCATATGATAATTAAAGAATCATGAGGAAAGGCACTTGGAACTGTCCATGGTCTTGAAACACCAATAGCTCTAGGTCCTGGCAATTTATTTCAACCCTGGGACATTAAATGCATTTTTCTTAGATGAGAGTGCCTTCAGTTTTACATATCTATGTACACACAAAGTATAGTTGTATATATTTATTGGGTACAAAGCGGTATTATAATTTTTGAAGACAATGTGAGATGATTAAATTAAGCTAATTCACATATCCATCACCTCAAGTATTTAACATTTTTTTTGTGATGAGAACATTAGAAAGTTTTGCTCTTAATGATACTGAAATTTACAGTACTGAATTATTAGCTGTGTTTAGCATGCTGTACAATTTATCTTAAAAAATTAGACTTATTCCTTGCACAGATATATCCCATGATTATCACTTTCCTAAATTCTTGTTCTTCTTTACTATTTTAATGAGACTCCTTTGATTTTTAAAATCTTCTGTAGAATAACTAGACTTAGGGCCAGGCATGGTGGCTCATGCCTGTAATCCTGGCACTTTTGGAGGCCAAGGAGGGCAGACTATTAGAGGTCAAGAGTTCAAGACCAGCCTGGCCAACATGGCGAAACCCCAGCTTTACTAAAAATACAAAAATTATCTGGGCTTGGTGGCACACGCCTGTAATCCCAGCTACTCAGGAGGCTGACGCAGGAGGATTGCTTGAACCTGGGAGGCAAAGGTTGCAGTGAGCCAAAATCGCACCACTGCACTCCAGCCTGGACTACAGAGGGAGACTCCATCTCAAAAAAATAAAAGAAAAAGAAAAGAACAGAATAACTACACAGGTTTCATTATTTGTGAAGCTTAAACCACATGCCCGTCCTGTTAAATAGCTTTTAACCTTAGCTCACTTTCTTCCCACTCTCAACACTTTGGGATTCTCACTGCACACCTGTAAATATCCTCAAATGTTTCTCTACCATGGTGGTCAATTGAGACAGACACAGAACAGTAGACACATCTCTTCCTCTGGGTTCTCCTTTCCTTCTGGCTATAATTTCAGTATGTCACCTTTCTCTCTGGCTTGTTCTCTCTTTCCACAGGCTTCCAAGTTCCTGCAATTGGTTTGGTTGCCTCTGATAGTTTCTAATTCCTGGCTGCATTCATGTCTTTCTCTTTACCCACTCTCATGCTCAGCCCATTGTCCCCAGAATATGCGGCGGGTGGGAGCTTTTAGTTGGGATTAGGCTGTGTGCAAGCAGAGGTGGAAACGGCAGTTTGTGAAAGAGGTTGCTGGAGTTTCTTGGGGTTCTTTTTGATACCACTGTACTTCTCATCCTTTTAATATAAAAGTTGATGATTCTCAAATTTCTGTCTCCATCTCAAATTTTAGAGCCTTAAATCCAACTTGTTATCACTTCTTGAACATCACATGGACATCCTGGACTCAACATGCCCAAATTGAACTTGTCATATTTTCCTAACATACCCATACCTCTTTCTATATCTGTGCTCTTCACTCCAGTGAAAGACAGCACCCACTTGCTGAAATGTCTGACTTCTCTCTCTCTCCCTCGCATCTTCTTTGAATAACCCTGTTATTAGTTCCCCCCCAATTGCCTGTTAAATCCACTTATCTCCATCTCTACTACCTCAACCAAACTGAAGCCATCACTAACCGTTCACCTCTTATCTGAGATTTCCAACTCCACTATTGCCTTCCTCATCCCATTCCCTATTGAGCATCCAATATGACCATCCAAACAGAGGATGATCATGTAACTCAATGTATCAATGGTTTGAGTGTCACTCAATCCATCAATCATTTCCCATTCACCACTGGATAAATGTCCACAACTCTTACCATGGACCACAAGGCACTGCCAATATAGCACCTGGCCACCTCTACATGTTCATTCTATTGCCACTACTTTCTTTTATGGCCTGGACTTCAGGCACACAGATATCCTTTTAGGTTCTTTTATAATTTTCAAGCTTCCCTCCCCTGTGGCTTTGAAACTGCCTTTGGAAAAATTATGACACTGAGGGAAATCTGACATAGCTGACTTCATCTTGTTTCCAACCTCACAAGCTATCTATCTTTGCTCATCCCTGGACATAGTCCAAGCTAACTATGGCAGAAATCTAACTTATAGTCTAACTTTAAAACAAAAATGATAATAGCTCCCTCCTGAAACTAACTGTGTCCGTGCTTGGAGATTGAAACTGCCTTTGGAAAAATAACAAATTTGTCACAAGGCTAGAATTATAGTTCAGGAGTCATGGAGCCAGAGGTCACAAGATTTGTAACCTCCCCAATTTCTCCGATAGATTACATCATTATGGTAAACCCTAAGACTGGTATTTGAGGTGTTCTTCAGACCTTGCATTCTGATGGACCAGCTTGCACTACCCAGATCAGTAACTGATACCAAGAAACTAACTCAACCAGTTCTGTGATCTCTGAGGAGTTGACTCAACACAAGAAGACAGCTTCAACCCATGTTTTCATCCCCAGCCAAACCAATCAGCATTTCCTATTCCCTAGCCCCCTGCATGCCAAAGCATCCTTGAAAAACTCTAGTCTCTGATTTCCTGGGGAGGTGGATTTAAGAAACATCCTCCATCCTTCAACTTGGCTGTCTATGCAATTATTAAACTCTTCTCTACCACAACTCCTACTGTTTTCAGTGTTTGGCTTTTCTGGGAAGTGGACAAGAAGAAATCATCAGATAATTACATCTTCACATATGCTGTTCCCTTTGCTTGGCACAAGCCTCTCTATCTCTTGGCAAAATCCTACTCATCCTGCAGATCTCAGCTCAAATATCACTTCCATTGAGACTTAGTTGCTCCTCATATTGGTTAATTCAAGTCTCTTTTTAGAAAAGCATTGGCAAACTTTTTCTGCAAAGAGCCAAATAGTAAATATTTTAGGTTTTGTGGATAAGACACTCTCTCGTTCCAACTACTCAAGTTGCCACTGCAGTGCAAATGCAGCCACATATAATATGGAAACAAGTGGGCATAGCTGTGTTATAATAAAACTTTATTTACAAAAACAAGCTGTGGGCAGGATTTGGCCTGCAGGTCACAGTCTACCAAATTTATTTGTATAGATTTTAATAGAATTCTCATACCACTTATCATAATTCTGATTAAATACTTACATGTGCAATTAATAGTTTAAGAGCTTTCTCCAAAGTTCTGTAAGTCCCATGAATATGTAAACTATGTCATTGTTGTTGTTCACCCTGCATAAGTGCTTGGCACATAGTTTGCTTAAATAAGTGGAAGCAGGGAGAAGTCTTTCTTCATATGAGAGAGGACAGCATGCTCCAAGGCAGAGACTTCTTTTGAGAGAGGTGGCTGCATTTCTCTGCTATCAGTTTTCTTCACAAGGAAGACAGTTCTCTGTCCAGGTAGTCAGTTACCAACCTGCTCGAATGCAGCCCAGGATCACCAGCCACCACTCAGGCACTCGGGGCAGCATCACTGCCACACGATCCCCACGCTGCAGGCCACAGGCTCCCGAGAGGATGTTGGCTGCCTGCTGGCTGTTTTCACTCAGTTCTCTGAAATTCCACATTAATTCCTTCCCCTTCCCATTCACCCACCACAGGGCTGGGCTTGGGAGTCGCTTGCCAGCCTGAGGAAAGAGAAACCCTGTTGATTAGGGGGCATTGGTACACAAGCAGGTAGGATAAATTCCAAGTCTTGGGATTGCCAAGCTGGTGCTTAGTAAGGTTTTTTATCTCAGCACCTCCATACAATCATAAAAAGTATTGAAAACCCTAAAGAGTTGTTATTTATATGAGTTATATCTATCAATATCTACCATAGTAGATATTAAAACAGAATTTTTGTAAATGTATGCTTTTAGAAATAACTGTAATAAACCCATTATATATTAGCATGCATAATTTTTTTATAATGATAAAGTGTACTTTTCAAAATGAAAAAATAATGAGGAAAGTGGCATTATTTTATTTATTGCATCTATTTATTCTGCAATTCCCTTTAATGTCTTAGTAGAATAACATTGGATCCTCTCATCTGATTCTGCATTCACTCTGTTGTGAGTACCAACATGTATCTTCTGGAAAATGCTATTGTATACTCTTGAAAGAATTAGAATAAAAAGGCAAATATCACTTTAGATTTATTTATATATTTATCTCTATCTACTTACTTTTTTTAATTTTGTGGTAAAAATACACATAACATTTCCAGTTTTAACTATTTTTGAGTGTACAGTTCAGTGGCATTAAGTACATTCTCATTGTTATGCAACAATCACCACCATCCATCTCCCGAAGTTTTTCATCATCCAAAACGAAAACTCTGTCCCCGTTACACAATCACCTGTCATCCCCTCTCCCATTAGGCCCTGATAAACACCATTCTACTTTCCTACTCTATGAATTTGACTATTCTAGATACATGATATTGTCTGAATATTTGTCCTCTCCAAGTCTCATGTTGAAATGCAATCCCCAATGTCAGAGGTGGGGCTTGGTAGGAGGTGATTGGATCATGGGGGTGGGACCCTCATGAATGGCTTAGCACCATCCCCTTGGTGATAAATGAGATCATAAGATCTGGTTGTTTAAAAGTGAGTGGCACCTTCTCACTCTCTGTTTTGCTCCTCATCTTGCCCTTTGTTGTGCCTGCTCTTTCTTCATCTTCCAACATTATTGTAAATTTCTTGAGGCCCCCATCAGAAGCAGATGCCAGCACACTTCCTGTACACTGTGCAGAACTTTGGGCCAATTAAATCTCTTTTCTTTGTAAGTTACCTAATCTCAGGTATTCCTTTACAGCAACACAAGAACAGTCCGATACAGAAAATTGGTACCAGAAGTGGGATATTGCTATAAAGATACCTGAAAATGTAGAACTAACTCTGGAACTTGGTCATGGGAAGAAATTGAAGAGTTTGGAAGGCTTAGAAGAGATAGAAAGATGAGGAAAAGTTTGGAACGTCTTAGGCACTGGTTAAATAGTTGTGAACAAAATGCTGATAGAATTATGGACAATGAAATGCAGGCTGACCAGATTTCAAATGGAAATAAGGAACTTTTCGGGAACTGAAGCAAAGGTCCTCCTTCCTATATTTTAGCAAAGAACTTGGCTGCATTGTGTTCATAGCCTAGTGATCTGTGGAAGTTTTAACGTAAGAGTAATGACTTAGGGAATCTGACAGAAGAAATTTTTAAGCAACAGAGCATTCAAGATTTGACCTGAATGTTTGACGAATAGATAATGTTGCATATACATAACAATGGAATATTATTTCAGCCTTAAAAAGGAAGGAAATTCTGACATATGTTACATGCATAAACCTTGAAGACATGCTAAGTGAAATTAGCCAGACACAAAAAACCAAATACTGTGTGATTTCATTTATATAAGGTACTATATTAGGCTGCTCTTGCATTGTTATAAAGGAATATCTGACACTGGGTAATTTATAAAGAAAAAAGTTTAATTGGCTCACAGTTATGCAGGGTGTACAGGAAGCATGGTGCTGGCATCTGCTTCTGGTGAGGGCCTCAGGAAGATTACAGCCATGGAAGAAGGTGAGGGGGGAGCAGGTGCATCACATGGCAAAAGCAGGAACAAGAGAGAGAGCGTGGGGAAGTGCCATGTATGTTAAAACAACAAGATCTCTCATGAACTCACTCATAACGAAGGGGATGGTGCTAAGTCATTCGTGTGGGACCTGCCCGTATGATCCAAATGTCTTCCACCAGGCCCTACCTCCAACTCTGTGGATTACATTTCAACATGAGATTTGGAGAAAACAAATATCCAAACTATGTCACTTTGCTCCTGCCCTTCCAATTCTCATGTCCTTCTCACATTGAAAAATACAATAATCTCTTTTTTTTTTGGTTGGATTTGCCTGATATTTCTTTTTTTATTACTATACTTTAAGTTTCAGGGTACATGTGCACAACGTGCACGTTTGTCACATATGTATACATGTGCCATGTTGGTGTGCTGCACCGCTTAACTCATCATTTAACATTAGGTATATCGCCTAATGTTATCCCTCCCCCCTCCCCCCACCCCATAACAGGCCCAGTGTGTGATGTTCCCCTTCCTGTGTCCATGTGTTCTCATTGTTCAATTCCCACCTATGAGTGAGAACATGCAGTGTTTGGTTTTTTTGTCCTTGCCATGGTTTGCTGAGAATGATGGTTTATTTTTTGTCTATTTGTTGACAGATATTTGGGCTGTTTGACCTTCCAACTACTGTGAATAAAGTTACTGTGAACATGAGTGTACACATATTTCTCAGAGACCCTGATTTTAAGTTTTTTTTGGTGTATACCCAGAGTTGGAATTGCTGAATGGCAATTCTATTTTTTAATTTTTTGAGAAAATGTTATATTGCTTTCCATAATAGCTGTAACATTTTACATACCCATCATGATGCACAAGGGTTCTAATTTCTCTGTTTTATTGTAAAATAGACCCTTCGCATATCCCCTGAAAGAGTCTCATGTATCCTCAGGGGTTCTCAGATCATAGTTTGAGAGTAATGATGCAAAATCAAAGACAAAACATGTTAGCAATTTTATTAGCTATTTCAAAATTTGCCTCCATCAGAGTTATACTACTTTTTGGTAACACATGAGAGTGTCTGTTTCCTCACAGCCTTGCTAATAGAGTTGTTAAAACTTTGTATTTTGTTCTTGCTCATTCGTGGACATAGACCAAGCTAACTATAGGAGGAATTTAGTTTATAATTTAACTTTAAAGCAAGGATGACAACAGTCTCTTCCTGAAACCAACTCCCTTCTTTTTCAGGGACCTAAACCCTTTTGTGAAATTAATGCAATTCCACAGCATTAGAATTATGGTAGATGGTAGGGGCCTCAATTCTGCTAAGCTATAAGCATAGTTAAGCAATAACCAGCCATTGTTCCCTAGCTTGCTTACTGCTTAGGAGTCATGTAACCAGAAGTCACACTTTGTAACTTCACCAGTTGCTTCTGTAGTTAACATCACTATTGTAAAATCTAAGACTGACCTTTGAGATATTTTCCAGACATTTGCATTCTGGAAAACTTACTGACACTACCTAGACCTATGATTCTACAGCAAGGAACTGACTTTACCTGTCCTGTGTCTGCCTCACCCAGAAACAAACTCAGCACTTGAAGACATTTCTCACATCTCTATAATTCCATTCCCAACCAATCAGTAGCACCCATTCCTTAGCCCCCTGCCCTCCAAATTATCTTTGAAAACCCTAGTCTCTGAGCTTTCAAGGGGGCAGATTTGAGAAATATCTCCCATCCTTCCACTAAGATGTCTTGTGATAATTAAACTAATTTTTCTGAAAGAAAAAAACAACCTTTTGTATTTGACTAACAAGATAGGTGCAAAAAAGTTATTTCAGTAAAATTCTCACTTGCATTACTCTTATTATGAGGGAGGGTGAGAATTTTTTATATTTAATGGCCATTTGAGTTCACTTTTTTGTGAACTATCTGTTCATATACTTTGCCTGGTTTTATAATGAATTGCACCTTTTTATTCTTGGTTTCTACAAGCTCACTTTATATTATTAACGTTTTTGCTGTTATATGAGTTGAATATTTTCTCCATGGTTTTCATTAGTCATTTATTTTGCTAATGGTGTTATTTGTGAATTGAGAGATTTTTTGATGTTTATATAGCAAATTTACTTTTATGGATTCAGAATGGTGAGTCATGGTAGTAAGGGCCTTCCTGAATATTTAAAGGGCCTTCCTCAATATTTAAAGGAAGTATAACTTTAAAAAAATCCAGAAATCTAAATTTCTGTTTGAAAATTTTCAATTTTAAAATGTTGAACCTTATTTTTTTTAAGAGTACCCACACCTAGGGCCGTCTTCAGCCTAGAGGCAAGGCATTTGCAATCTCCACACTAAGACTGTTTCATAGTGTAGGGAACTTAGGACATCATGTCATAATCGTGACTCTTTTTGAGCACCAATGTATTAAGTTCATGCTGGTAGCTCCACCCCTTCCCCTACCCCTAGCCAGAATGAATCCTTCCATCCTACAGAAAGAGTCATAGGACTTCAGGTGAAGGCAATTGATGGATCAGCAGTGAATGGATTAAAATTCTAGACGCTCAGGGCTGGGAAGGAAACTCAGAAATTTCTTCATCTTTTTCTTTCTTGGATGTCTCATATTGAAGCCCTTTTGATAACTGTCACCTCGTAGCTATCTTACTTGCACACCTCTATTGACAGGGACACGTGACCTAACTTTCTGGGAAGACTCAGTCTTTGTTCAGTGCTGATTTGCCCCCCACTTTTTTGAGAGAGAATCTCACTCTGTGGAGTGCGGTGGTGTGATCACAGTTCACTGCAGCCTCCAACTCCTGGGCTCAAGCAATCTTGCCACCTCAATCTCCTGAGTAGCTAGGACTGCAGGTATGTGCCACCATGCCTGGCTAATTTTGTTTTAAACATTTTTGGTAGAGACAGAGTCTCGCTGTGTTGCCCAGGCTTGATTTGCTATTATTAGATTCAAACCCGCCTCTTCTACGACCCCAGACCAAAAGTCCTCATTTCACCCTGGGAGGTCACAACAGAGCATGTGCAGTCTACATACAGTGTAAACAAACTGTGTGTTGGCTGCCTGGGAGTTACCAGGTTGCCACACTCCTGTGCCTTTCTTCCTTCCAAGCTCATGCTGTCTCTTTCCCATACCATACTGCCTTCATGGAAGATGAGTGTCTTGTCCATAGCTTATTACAGTGCCTTACATGTAATAAGTACTTAACAAATATTTACTGAATTAATGGATGAATTTTAAAAGTCAACAAAATTGTCTCACTCTGTGCCTCTTTTCCATCCCATTACCTTCTCCATGTCAGCCCAGTGATCCAACACATCACTAGCAAAGTTAAACTTGGCCGGCACTTCCTGGTGGCCCCACTGCAGGGACACCAGTTGCCTACTATTAATGTAGAGAGTGCGGCTGGACATCTGAGTACCCCACAGGGTGCAAAGTCCCTGAACTTTTCGCAGCCAATGCATGTTCAGGCCTGTAAAAGAAAGAAGAGACACAGGTAAGAGCTTCTTTAACAGATTGCTCTACTGATCATCAGCGGCTTCAGGAGATTCATCCCAACCTTATAGGATTCTTCCCAGGAATTAATTTGCTGTAGTTATGAGTAAATTGGCACTCTGCATCTGTTTCAGTCTCCTTGTGGGGTGCTGTTTTCTAAAGGCATAAGAGGATACAGACCCAGTCCTAGATCCTACATATTCAACACTTCTGACAGTTTTGTTAACACCCATTTCCATATAATAAATCCCCTTGTGCTTAAAATACAGTGGGTCATAGATGGGATAGTTGTTCCCAGCAATTCACTCCCTTTCCGTTCTAGGATTATAAATCCCCATTCATTTTTAAGTGACTACCCAGTGCATTTAGGAGGAAGAATATGTATCCACCTCTCATTGACTTTGGCTTGCTCAAGAGATATGCTTTGGTCAATGAGATGTGAGTGTCTGGGATTCTACGGTTCATCAGAAACTCTCACATTTCTCCCCTCTGCATGAGACTTGCATAACCCAGATCATGCTGTACCTTCAGACTGGGACCCAGAACATCAAGAAATGTGGAGTTGAGCTGAGCCTAGCATGGCCACTAGCAACACACAGACCCATAGGGGGAAAATATGCATGACTAAAAGCTACTAAGATGTATAGGGTGTTTGTTACTGTAGCAAATGTTAACTAATACAAGTAGCATCCTTTTCTTTAAATTGAATCTGGACTGATACATCCTAAATCGCAGGTCCTATCCATCTAGTGCACAGGACCTAACACAATCACTTTAGAAATTACAGCTGTCATAATTGTTGTTTCTATATAAGTTCTTTATTGGTGATTTGTGACATTGTTGTGCACCCATCACTCGAGGAGTATACACTTAACACTTACAGTATACACTTAACAGTACACACTTAACCCACTTTGTACCCTTTTATTCCTCACCTCCTTCCCGTCATTTCCCCCAACTCCTCAAAGTTCATTGTGTCATACTCATGACTTTGCAACAATGTATAACTTAGCTCCCACTTATGGCTGAGAACATATGATGTTTGGTTTTCCATTCCTGAATTACTTCACTTTGAGCGATGGTCTCCAATCCCATCCAGGTTGCTGCGAATGCCATTAAGTCATTGCTTTTTATGGCTGAGTAGTATTTCATTATATATACATATATGCATACTATATATGATACTATAAATAATATATATACTATGTATGTATTATATAGTATATATCGAAAAAATATAAAAATTCTATTTTTATATATATTTTTGTTTATATAATATATATATATGTAATAAACGTCACACTCCTGTGCCTTTCTTCCTTCCAAGCTCATGCTCTCTCTCTCCCATACCATACTGCCTTCATGGAAGATTATATATATATATATATATATATATATATATATATATAGACAGATATATAGATATATAAATATATATCCATCAGCTTGGAATGAAGAAAGGCACAGGAGCATGGCTAAAAATATATATCTATATAAAATATATATACTACATTATATGTGGATATATTATATATCATATATGGGTATTATACATTTATATTGTATATAACATATTATATAATATATAATGTAATATTATATATTATATAATAATACATATACTATATCTATATATTATATTACAAATATGTTATATATACTATATAACTATATACTATATATAGTATATAAGGAGATATGTTATCTATAAATATATAATATGTATATATCTACATATAGTATATATACTATATATAGTATATATATACTATACTATATATATGTATATATAGTATATACATATAGTATATACTATATATAGTATATATATAGTATATATAGTATATACTATATATAGTATATACTATATATACTATATATAGTATATATAGATATATAGATACAATATTTTGAAATATATAATATATAATTTTTATACATTTTTATATCTTTTATATATATACTATATATAGACACACTATATACTATAGTATATCTCTATATATAATATATGATACACATTATATATAATAGTATAGTTATATATATCTGTACATACCATACTATTATATATCATATATATTATATATTATATATTATATACTGTTATATATTATATATATCTGTGTATACACCATATTGTTATATCTATAAATTCACTCAGAGTCAGAACAAGACATGAATGCTCACTCTTACCACTTAGATCTAGATATATATAATATCATAATATATATAATAGTATAGTATATATAGATATAGATATAATATATAGTATAATAAGATTATATATTATATATAATACTATTATAACATATTATACTATTATATTATATATTATACTATATACTATATATAATATATAGTGTAATATATAATATATAATATATAGTATAATATATAATATGTAGCATAATATATAATGTATAGTACAATATATAATATGTAATATACAGTATAATATTATATATAAATATATTATATATTATATATTATATAATATATAGTATAATATTACATATACAATATATTATATAATATATAATATAGTATATTAATATATAATATATAGTATATTATTATATAACATATAATAATAGTATAACAGTATATATAAATAATATATAAAATATATAAATAATATATAAATTATATAAATAGTATATAATATATAAATATAAATTATATAAATTATATATAAAAATATATAAATAATAATATAAGATATATAATATATAATATATAGTATATTATATCTATATCTATATATACTATGCTATTATATATATACTATACTATTATATATATCTAGACCTAAGTGGTGAGAGTAAGCATTCATGTCTTGTTCTGGTTCTCAGAGTGAATTTATATATATAATAGTATAGTGTATATACAGATATATATAATATATAATATATATGATATATAATAGTATGGTATGTATAGATATATAAAACTATACTATTATATAATATATTTTATATATTATATATAGATATATACTATACTATTATATAGTGTGGCTATATATAGTATATATTAAATATATAAAAATATATAGAAATTTATATATTTGTACATATTTAAAAATATTTTATATATAAAATATTCACGTATTTTTACATATATTTATATTTTACATAATATGTATTGCTACACTCCTGTGCCTTTCTTCCTTCCAAGCTCATGGTGTCTCTCTCCCATACTATACTGCCTTCACAGAAGATGATATATATATACATATTATATATATGTTATACGTTCATGAGCTTGGAAGGAGGAAAGGCACAGGAGTGTGGCAAAATATATTATATATATTATATAAAATATAAATATATGTAAAAAATGTATTTTATATGTTTTATATATACTATATATAGCCACACTATAGAACATATAGTATATATAGATATATATAAAATATATACATACTATTATATATTATATACAATTATATAATGTATATAATATATCATATATCATATATATCACATATTATATATTTATATAAACTATACTACTATATATAAATATTTATATATTTATAAAAATATATAAATATTTTATAAATGAATACAAGTTTCTTTACTTGATGATTGACAGGCATTTGGGCTGGTTCCATATTCCTGTAATTGCAAATTGTGCTGCTATAAACATGCATGTGCAGTGACTTCTTTCGTATAATGACTTATTTTTCTCTTGGTAGATACCCAGTAGTGGGATTGCTGGATCAAATGGTAGTTCTACTTTTCGTTCTTTGATGAATTTCCAGTTTTCCACAGTGGCTGTACTAGCTTACATTCCCACCGGCAGTGTAGAAGTGTTCCCTTTTCACCACATCCACACCAACATCTATAATTTTTTTTGTTTTTTTATAATGACCATTCTTGCAAGAGTAAGGTGGTATAGCATTGTGGTTTTGATTTGCATTTCCCTGATCATTAGTGATGTTGAGCATTTTTTCATATGTATGCTGGATCTTCTTTTGAGAATTGTCTATTCGTATCCTTAGCCCACGTTTTTTATGGGATTTTTTGGGCTTTTTTTACTTGCTAATTTGTTTGAGTTCCTTCTAGATTCTGAATATTAGTCCTTTGTCAGATGTATAGATTGTGAAGATTTTCTCTCACTCCATGGGTTGTCTGTTTACTTTGCTGACTGTTCCTTTCGCCATACAAAAGCTCTTTAGTTTACTTAAGTCCCATCTATTTATCTTCATTTTTGTTGCATTTGCTTTTGGGTTCTTGGTCATAAAATCTTTGCCTAAACCAATGTCTACAAGGGTTTTTCTGATGTTATCTTCTAGAATTTTTATAGTTTCAGGTCTTAGATTTAAGTCCTTGATCCATCTTGAGGTGGTTTTTGTATAAGGTGATATATGAAGATCCAGTTTCATTCTCCTACATGTGGCTTGCCAATTATCCCAGAACCATTTGTTGAATAGAGTGTCCTTTCCCCACTTTGTGTTTTTGTTTGCTTTGTCGAAGATAAGTTGACTGTAAATATTTGGGTTTATTTCTGGGTTCTCTATTCTGTTCCTTCTGTTCCATGGTTCTACGTGCCTATTTTTATACCAGACCATGCTGTTTTGCTGACTATGGCCTTATAGTACATTTTGAAATCAGGTAATGTGATGCCTCCAGATTTGTTCTTTTTGGATAGTCTTGCTTTGGCTATGATGACTCTTTTTTTGGTTCCATATGAATTTTAGGATTTTTTTCTCTAGTTCTGTGAAGAATGATGGTGGTATTTTGATGGGAATTGCACTGAATTTGTATATTGCTTTTGGCAATATAGTCATTTTTACAATATTTATTCTACCCATCCATGAGCATAGGATGTGTTCCCATTTGTTTGTGTCATCTATGATTTCTTTCAGCAGGGTTTTGTAGTTTTCCTTGAATAGGTCTTTGGTTAGGTATATTCCTAAGTATTTTTTTTGCAGCTATTATAAAAGGGGTTGAGTTCTTGATTTAATTCTCAGCTTGGTTGCTATTAAAGTATAGCAGAGCTACTGGTTTTTGTACATTAATTTTGTGTCCTGAAACTTTGCTGAATTCATTTATTAGTTGTAGGAGTTCTTTGGAGGAGTCTTTAAGGTCTTCTAGGTATACAATCATATTAACAGCAAACAGCAACTGTATGACTTCCTCTTTACCAATTTGGAGGACATTTATTTCTTTCTCTTGTCTGATTGATCTGGCTAGGACTTCCAGTACTATACTGGATACAAGTGGTGAGAGTAAGCATTCATGTCTTGTTCTAGTTCTCAGAGGGAATGCTTTCAACTTTTCCCCATTCACTATTATGTTGCCTGTGGGTTTGTCATAGATGGCTTTTATTACATTAAGGTATATCCATGGTATGCTGATTTTGCTGAGGGTTTTAATCATAAGAGGATGCTGGATTTTTGTCAAATGCTTTTTCTACATCTATTGAGATAATAATGTGATTTTTGTTTTTAATTCTGTTTATGTGGTGTATCACATTTATTGACTTGTGTATGTTAAACCATTCCTGCATCCCTGGTATGAAACCCACTTCATCATGGTGGATTATCTTTTTGATATGCTGTTGGATTCAGTTAGCTAGCAGCTAATTAAGAATTTTTGCATCTATGTTCATCAAGGATATTGGTCTGCAGTTTTCTTTTTTTGTTACATCCTTTTCTGGTTTGGGTATGAGGGTAATACTGGCTTCATAGAATGATTTAGGGAGGATTCCCTCTTTATCTTGTGGAATAGCGTCGATAGGATTGGTACCAATTCTTCTTTGAATGTCTGGTAGAATTCAGCTGTGAATTCATCTGGTCATGGCTTTTTTGTTGTCGTTGTTGTTGTTGTTGATAATTTTTGTATTACCATTTTAATCTCGCTGCTTGTTATTGGTCTGTTCAGGCTTTCTAATTCTTCCTGATTTAAGCTAGGAGGGTTGTATCTTCCCAAGAATTTATCCATCTCCTCTAAGTTTTTTAGTTTATGTGCATAAAGCTGTTTGTAGTGCCTTGGATGATCTTTTGTATTTCTGTGGTATCAGTTGTAATATCTCCCATTTCCTTTCTAATTGAGCTTATTTGGATTTTCTCTCTTCTTTTTTTTGGTTAATCTTCCTAATGGTCTATCAATCTTATTTGTCTTTTCAAAGAACCAGATTTTGTTTCATTTATCTTTTGTATTTTTTTATCTCAATTTCATTTAGTTCTGCTCTGATCTTGGTTATTTCCTTTCTTATGCTGGGTTTGGGTTTGATTTGTTCTTGTTTGTCTAGTTCCTTGAGGTGTGGCCTTAGATTGTCTATTTGTGCTCTTTCAGACTTTTTGATGAAGGCATTTAAGGCTATGAACTTTCCTCTTAGTACCATCTTTGCTGTATCCTAGAAGTTTTGATAGCTTGTGTCACTATTGTCCTTCAGTGTGAGAAATTTTTAAATTTCCATCTTGATTTCATTGTTGATCCAATGATCATTCAGGAACAGGTTATTTAATTTCCATGTATTCATGTGATTTTGAAGATTCCTTTTGGAGTTGATTTCCAATTTTATTCCAAGGTGGTCTGAGAGAGTACTTGATATAATTTCACTTTTCTCAGATTTATTGAGACTTGTTTTGTGGCCTATCATATGGTCTATCTTGGAGAAAGTTCCATGCACTGATGAATAAAATGTGTATTCCATGGTTGTTGGGTAGAATGTTCTGTAAATATCTGTTAAATTCATCTGTTTTACGGTACAGTTTAAATCAATTGTTTCTTTGTTGACTTTATGTCTTGATGACCTGTTTAGTTCTGTCAGTGGAGTATTGAAGTCCCCCACTATTATTGTGTTGCTGTTTATATTATTTCTTAGGTCTAGTAGTAACTGTTTCATAAATTTGGGAGCTCCAGTATTAGGTGCATATATATTTAGAATTGTGATGTCTTCCTGTTGGACAAGACCTTTTATCATTACATAATGTCCCTCTTTGTCTTTTCTAACTGCTGTGGCTTTAAAGTTTGTTTTGTCTGTTATAAATATAGCTACTCCTGCTTGTTTTTGGTGTCCATTTGCATGGAATGTCTTTTTCCACCCCCTTACCTTAAGTTTATGTGAGTTCTTGTGTTAGATGAGTCTCTTGAAAGCAGTAGATACTTGGTTGGCATATTCTTATCAATAATGCAATTCTGTATCTTTTAAATGGAGTACTTAGGCCATTTACATTCAACATTAGTATTGAGATGTCAGGTACTATTCCATTCATTGTGCTATTTGTTGCCTGTGTAGCTTGGGTTTTTTTCTTTATTGTATTTTTGTTTTATAGGTCATGTGAGGTTTATGCTTTAAAAAGGTTCTATTTTGATGTGTTTCCAGGATTTGTTTCAAGATTTAAAGCTCCTTTTAGCAGTTCTTGTAGTGCTGGCTTTCTAGTAGTGAATTCTCTCAGTATTTCTCTGTCTGAAAAAGACTGCATCTTTCCTTCATTTATGAAGCTTAGTTTCACTGGATACAAAATTCTTGGCTGATAATTTGTTTTTAAGGAGTGTGAAGATAGGGCCCCAATCCCTTCTAGCTTGTAGGATTTCTGCTGAGAAATCTGCTGTTAATCTGACAGGTTTTCCTTTATAGATTACCTGGTGCTTTTGTCTCACAGCTCTTAAGATTCTTTCCTTCATCTTGGCTTTAGATAACCTGATGACAATGTGCCTAGGCAATGATCTTTTTGCAATGAATTTCCCAGGTGTTCTTTGAGCTTCTTATATTTGGATGTCTAGGTCTTTAGCAAGGCTGGGAAAGTTTTCCTTGATTATTTCCTTGAATACATTTCCCAAACTTTTAGATGTCTCTTCTATCTCAAGGATGCCAATTATTCTTAGGTTTGATCATTTAACACAATCCCAAACTTCTTGGAGGCTTTGTTCATTGAAAAATTTTTTTTTCTTTGTCTTTGTTGGATTTGGCTAAGTCAAAAATCTTGTCTTCAAGCTCTGAAGTTATTTCTTCTGCTTGTTCAATTCTATTGTTGAGGCTTTTCAGTGCGTTTTTCTCTGTGTTCTTTATTTCCTAAAGTTATGATTGTTTTTATGTATGCTATCTATTTCACTGAAGATTTCTCCCCTCATAACTTGTATTTTTTTTTTTTTCCTTAAATTGGACTTCACCTTTTCTGGTGCCTCTTTGATTAGCTTAATAATTGCCCTTCTGAATACTTTCTCAGGTAAATTAGGAGTTTCTTCTTGGTTTGGATCCATTGCTGGTGAGCTAGTGTGATTTTTGGGGGGAGGTGTTAAACAGCCTTGTTTTATCATATTCCCAGAATCGTTTTCCTGGTTCCTTCTCATTTGGGTAGGCTATGTTAGAGGGAAGATCTGGGGCTCAAGGCTACTGTTCAGATTCTTTTTTCCCATGGGATGTTCCCCTGATGTAGTACTCTTTCCCTTTTCCTAGGGATGTGGCTTTCTGAGAGCCAAACTGTACTGATTGTTATTTCTCATTATCTTGCTTGGCAACTGCCTCAGGGGAGGCCATCACTATTGCCTCAGGCAGCACAGAGTTTACCTCCTCAGACAAAGGTGGAAAGGCTGATGGCAGCATGGGTTAGGGAGAGAATGCTGTCACTACTGGGTGGGGAGGAAGTTGTTTCTTCTGGCAAAAAAAGTTCATTGGAGTTTACAAAGTCAGTGTCCCCAGCTTCACCAGTGTCCTCCCATACCTCCCCATTCCAAGTTGCAGGGTCTCATTCTTTTCCAATCTATCAGGGGAACCAGCCCACAATATTTGAACATAGGTTCTTTCTATTTTTCCTAAGTGTCGGCCGGTCTGAGAAATAAAGAGAACGAGTACAAAGACAGAAATTTTACAGCTGGGCCTCTGGGGCTGTCATCACATAGTGGTAGGACTATGATGGTGACCCCGAGCAGCAAAACCAGCAAGTTTTTATTAGGGATTTTAAAAGAGGAGAGGGTGTACGAACAGGGAGTAGGTCACAAGGATCACATGCTTCAAAGGGCAGTAAAGATCACAAGGCAAAGGCAAAATTAGAATTACTGATGAGGGTCTATGTCCTGCTGTGCACACATTGTCTTGATAAACATCTTCACAGGAAACAGGGTTTGAGAACAGAGAACCACTCTGACTAGAATTTACCCGGCTGGAATTTCCCAATCCTAGTAAGCCTGAGGGTACTGCAGGACACCAGGGCGTATTTCAATCCTTATCTCAACCGCATAAGACAAACACTCCCAGAGCGGCCATCTATAGACCTACCCCCAGGAATGCATTCCTTCCCCAGGGTTCTTCCATGCTGGGAAAAGAATTCAGCAATATTTCTCCTACTTGCACATCCTTCTATAGGCTTTCTGCAAGAAGAAAAATATGGCTCTATTCTGCCCGACCCCGCAGGCAGTCAGACCTTATAGTTATCTTCCATTGTTCCCTGAAAATCACTGATATTCTGTTCTTTTTCCGGGTATACTGATTTCATATTGTTCAAACACACATGTTTTACAATCCATTTGTGCAATAGTAGTCCTGAGGTGAATTACATTCTGAGCTTATGAAGATAACAGGATTAAGAGATTAAAGTAAAGATAGGCATAAGAAACTATAAGAGTGTTAATTGGGAACGTGATAAATGTCCATGAAATCTTCACAATTTATGTTCAGAGATTGCAGTAAAGACAGGCATAAGAAATTATAAAAGTATTAATTTTGGGAAGTGATAAATATCCATGAAATCTTCACAATTTATGTTCTTCTGCCTCAGCTCTGGCCGATCCCTCCATTCAGGGTCCCTGACTTCCTGCAAAACAATCAATGCCCTCACTTTAACAGTAGATACTTGGCGAGGCTGTGCATGGTGAGGCTGTGCATGCACCTTTCATTGCAGGTCAGCCACTAACATGATAAGAGCTTATGTCTATTTTTCCACAATTTCAGTTCTTTCTCTACAGGAGATTAGACTCTCACTCAGGGCAATCTTGGCAGATTTGAGGCTCAGTATCTGCTTCTGAAGCTGGGAGATAGAATCCCCGAGTTCATCATTTTCTTTCATCACTTTATCCACTGAACTTAGGAGCAACCAACCAGCTTCATTATGTTCCTTAGTTCTCCACATATGGTCAAAGGTATGATGTATAGGGTCACTAAACTCCTTGCCTCTCATGAGCAATGAATCAGGAGTGTCAAATGCATTTATTTTGTATAACTCTTTAAACAGTTCACACCAAGGGCTATCAGTCTTCTCCATACTATTAGAATTAGAGTCCTTAGTATTTTGGGGTCTAATCATATTAAGGCACCAACTCCAGAAACCCCAAAACCAACAAAAGAACTCCATCCTTAATATTCTTTTCCTCTAGAACCACTTCTGGTACCAAAATCTGTATTAGTCAGGGTTCTCTAGAGAAACAGAACTAATGGAATATATATATTTTATAAACTCATATGTATAAGTAATACATATAAACTCATATATATAAGTATATATATGAGTTTACTAAGTATTAACATATGTATGTGTGTATATATATATACACAACTGTATATATATATACAGTTTATTCAGTATTAACTCACATGATCACAAGGTCCCACAATAGGCCATCTGCAGGCTGAGGTGCAAGGAGAGCCAGTTTGAGTTCCAAAACTGAAGAACCTGGAGTCTGATGTTCAAGGGCAGGAAGCATCCAGTACGGAAGAAAGATCTAGGCTGGGAAGCTAGGCCAGTCTCTCTTTTCATATTTTTCTGCCTCCTTATATTCTAGTCATGCTGGATTAGGTGGTGCCTACCCAGATTAAGGGTGGGTCTGCCTCTCCCAGCCCACCGACTCAAATGTTAATCTCTTTTGACAACACCCTCACAGACACACCCAGGATCAACACTTTGTATCCTTCAATTCAATCAATTGACACTCAGTATTAACCATCACAGTGTCTGACATTTCTGTCTCCTTTTTTTCTATGGAATAAGAATTGAAGATTACTGTACCAGCTCCTGAGCAGAACTACACATTGCCTTTGTACCTGCTGGTCCCTCTCTTTTTCCATAATAAGCTCTTCTTCATTCTTCTGGTCTCACCTCCTCTGGGATTCATCCTTCTCTGACCACCACCCAACTACCAGCCCCCTGTTACCACCTTTTTCCAGCTGCCCTCGTCTCTCCCTGTTGCTGCCATAAACGTGCCTTTTCCTCTGCCCAGTGTTTCCTCCTAAGACTTGGCAGGTACTGTCTTTCATGGTCCCTAGGAATTTCTGCTTTTCTGTGAGGATTTTTGCTCTTCTCACCAGCTGTGACTCTAAAAGATTGGTGAGGTTATCATGGATTATGACCCCATCAGCCCATTCCTTGAAACAGTGCTCACCTGCCAAGTCCTCTCAGGATGTCTTTCTGGAGAGAGCTTCGTCCACCCTCCTCTCCAGCCAGCAGCTCCAGAACTCCTACAGCCTTGGAAGAGAGCACAGTAACTCAAGCAGACAGCTTCAGAATCCCTGCACTGTCGGAAAGAGAGCTCAGCTAATCATTGACAGTGGATAACTTTGGAGTCTTACAAAGGGTAACAGCAGTCCTCCTAGCCAAGTTTATGGACATTACAACATTAGAGCATTTGAGGTCAACTGGACTTGCACTTTCAATCCAAGGGGCATGAAGCAGGTTTATGCCCAGGACTGACAGAAAATTATTGCTTCAACCCAAGAGAGAGAAATGGAGCTCACATAGGCTTGATGAACACTCCTTTAATTCTTTGTTTTGCTTGGTTCCAGCATACCACTTTTGCCTGGTTTTCCTCTTGCTTTCCTTCTCTTTTGCTGATTCCTCCTCATCTTTATCCACGTTCACTCTGTACATTATCTCATCAAATGTCATAGCTTGGATACCATGTGGCTTGCCAATGGCCCCCACACGTGTGTATCCAACCTGGTTTTCTCTCCTGCATCCTCATCTTCCTGACTTCTCCACCTGGATATCTAACAGGCATCTCAAACATACTTTGTCCAAAGCTAAGAGGTTGATCACATCCTTCCCTGGCCACTCTCATTCCAGGTATGGTTTTATCCATCTCAGCAAATGTCACCCCTATTCCTCTAGTTCTTCCAACATCAAATCTTAGAGACTGCCCTGACTCTTTTCTTTCTCACATGGATGTGAAAAAGCCATCAGATCCACCTGCAGGCTACACTCAGAGTCTGACCCATTCTCTTCCCTGTTCCAACCCAACCCAACACTGTCCAAGTAAGCCCAAAACTCAACAGGGAAAAAAACTCTTTATATCTCTTCATATTTATTTTATTTTGAAATAGTGTCTCACTTTGTTGCCCAGGCTGGAGTGCAGTAGTCTGATCACAGCTTATTGCAACCTCAATCTATCGTGCTCAAGCAACCATCCCACCTCAGCCTCCTGAGCAGCTGGGATTACAGGCACATGCCATTATGCCCAGCTAATTTTTTAACGTTTTATAGAGACGTGGTCTCACTATGTTCTCCAGGCTGGTCTTGAACTCCTGAACTTAAGTGATCCTCCCATCATGGCCTCCCAAAGATTACAGGCATGAGCCACCATGCATGGCCAACATTGTCTTATAGCTGGTATCAGCCCATGCTTCAGCTCTCTCAGGCTAGAGTTGCAAATTGGTGATCCTACAGTTCTGTGTCTTGGGGGTGGCCCCACTCCCATGGCTTCATGAGGCATTTCCCTAGAGGGAATTCTTTGTAGAGGATCTTACCACCAAGCATCTATGGCCCCTACATTCTGGGTGCCTGCAGAATTAATACCATTCTGTCTTTGTTAGTCTTCTGGGCCTGTGATGGGAGGAGCAGCCCCAAAGATTTCTGAAATGCCTTTGGAACCTTCTTCCTATTATCCTATTAGCACCAGGCCCCCTTTTGGTCATGCTTTAGCAGAGTTGTTCTGACACTTTCTTGGACTCCTCTCCTGAAAATTCTCTTTTCTTCTCTACCACTATGTGCAGGCTGATAATTATCCAAATTTTAATGCTCTTCTTCCCCTTTAATTATAAACACAGGCTTTAGGTCATTCCTTTGCTGTCACAATTTAACATAAGCTGTTAAAAGTAACCACATCACTTCTTGAGCACTTTGCTGCTTAGATATCTCTTGCATCTGACACCGTAGGTCATCACTCTTAGTTCAGCCTTCCACAAAGCCTTAGGGCATGGACACAGTGCACCCAAGTTCTTTGCTACAGAGTAACATGGGTGAATTTTGCTCCAGCTTCCAATGAGTTTCTCATTTCTATCTGAGATTTTTTGGCATGGCCTGTACTGTCTATATTTCTATCAGCATTGTAAAAAATTTAAATTTAGGACCTTCCAAATTTATCATGCAAAAGGGAAAACTTAAGGCCTGAAAGCTGACTGAGGTAACACAACTTCCCCTGATTCTGGTGCATGACCGTTGCTTTCTGACCTTTGTGTTGAGATGTTATACATTAACCAGACTCTTCTTTATTCAAAACTGCGCTAAACAAAGTGAAGATAGAGACCCTTGTGACTGTCTCCTTTTAATAGAATGTAAAACTATCCCTTTAGCGTGTAATCAAAAGTAGCCAATGAAATCTTATATCTGTATGTTAACCTTTTTTATGGAAAATGTTGTAATTTTGTTCAGCAACTTCATTTTGCTGGTATAAGCAATCCTCATTTTCCCCTACACCAGGAGCACAACACTGCTCACCATTCTTTGGAATAGCTGTGCTCCCTGGATGGCCGCACTCATACTTTGTGCTTGAATGAGCTCTTTTAACTAGATGCTGACTCTTTTGACTATTTTACGTTGACAGCATTTTGGTCACAACCATTTAACCAATCTCTAAGAAGTTTCAAACTTTCCCTCAACTCTTTGTCTTCTTCTGAGCCATCCAAACTCTTCCAACCTTTTCCATTGCCCAGTTCCAAAGCTGCTGTCATATTTTCAGGTATCTTTATAGCAATACCCTACTCCCTGGCAACAATTTCCTGTTGTAGTCCATTTTTCATTGCTATAAAGAAATATCTGAGGCTGGGTAATTTATTTCAGAAATGTTTATTAGGCCCATGATTCTGATAGCTGGAAATTTCAAGATTGGGCATCTGCAGCTGGCAAGGGCCTCGGGATGCTTCTATTCATGGTAGAAGGTGAAAGGGAGCTGGCGTGTGCATGGATGACATGGTGAGAGAGGAAGCAAGAGAGATAGTGGGGAGATGCCAGGCTCTTTGCAACAACCAGCTCTTGTGGGGAATAATAGGATTAGGACTCACTCACTCCCTAGGGAGGGCATTAATTTATTCATGAGGGATTCTCCCTCATGACTCAAATACCTCCTGTAAGGTTCCATCTCAAATTTCAATATGAGTTTTATTGAGAGCAAACATCCAAACTGGAGCACCTCAGAACACTTTTCTCCTTGGAAATGTCTGTCCTTATCAAGTAGTCAACAAATATTGACTGAGTGTTACTCTCAGGTAGACACAGAGGTGACCATGACAGATTCATTCCTGTTCAGAAGTGACACAGATAATAACATGTAAAGTAATGAAGTTCATTTTATATACTGTAAAGGATAAGTCAGAGGTCAGATCATGTCACACCTCTGCTCACAACCTACCGGTGAATCTCAGTTTCATGCAAAATTAACTTCAGAGTTTTTACCTCATTATTCAAGGTCTGGTAAGATTTTCACACACTCTCTTCATCTCTGGTTTGATGTCCTGTTCCTTTACCCCCTTATTCACTGCATGTCAACTACAAGGGCTTTCTTCCTGTTCCTTGAAGTCACACTCTGCCTTTAGGGTATCTGCACTTGCTGTTTCCTCTTCTCAGACTGATTTTTCATAGATATCTACATGGATAACTCCCTCTCCTACTTTATTTCCTTGCTAAATATTTTTGTCAACTTCTCAATGAAGCTTACCTTGACCACCTTCTCAAAACGGCAACCCACCTCCAAGTTGGTTCTTCCTCCTCCTCATTACTAGGCACTATTGTCTCTAATACTCACTACCTGCTAACATACTTACTTACTATTTTTGCCTCTCTCTCCTTCCATTAGAATCTAAGCTTCATGAGGGCAGATATTTTTGCTCATTTTGTTCAATGATTTAGCTCAAGGACTTTTAACGGTAGCTAGCACACAGTAAACATTCAGTAAATAGCTGAGAGAATGAATAAGGGCTGTAAAGAAAAGAAAACATGTTGTTATAATGTGTGTGCCTGTGTGAAGTACATAGCTGTGTATGTGAGATAGCCTAAGTGCATGCATGTATGTTTTTGTGTGTGCACATGTGACTGTGGGATGTATGTATAGCTGTTATGTGTGTGCGGTTCTGTGTGTAAAGACATGTGTGTAAGGTTGTGCATGTTTGTGCCCATGTGTGCCTATGTGTCAGTACATGGATGTATGTGAGACTGTGTATGTGTACATGTGTGCAAGTGTGTGTAGAGCTGTATGCGCAGGTGTACAGGTGTTTATGTATACTTACATGCATGCATGTGTGTTGGTAGATGTGGATGTGTGTGAATGTATGTGTGAGACTGTGTATGTAACTATGTGTGTGACTGTCATGTATATGTAGCTCTGTAGTTAAGTGTATGTCTATGTATCTGTTTATGAGTTTGGCATGTGCATAAGATTGTAAGTGTAACTGTGTGTATTCATGTGTGTGAGTGTCTAGAAGTGTGACTAGATATTTGTGTGTGCTTGCATGTGTGAGTGTCTATGTGTGGCAGTGAAACTGCAGATGTGTGTGGCTGTATCTATATTTGTGTGTGTGTGCATGTGTCTGAGTGTGTGTAAGTCCTAAATAGCACTCACACTATTTACAGTGGTCTGAAAACACCTCTCTGGGTGCTCCTTTGCACCTGGCCACTGGGGACACTGCCAAGTCATGATGCTGGACTTTGCTGACTTTCTTTTCCATTCTTTCTGTTTTTCAAATGTTGACCTTTAGACACATTTCAGGACAGCACATTCCTGTGGGAAATCTGTGAGGTGGAAAATCAAAATTCTCCTGATGACTGTTTATAAAGAATAACGGCTAGCTCATGTCTTCAGTGTTTTATAGAAGTGCTCACATGTAATCTAAACAAGAACTCTACAAGAGAGGTATCCAGAGCCACATTTTATAGATAAGGAAATTGAGGCTCAGAGAGGACTAGAAATTTGGCTAAGCTCCTGCAGCTGGTAAGTGCTACAACAGGACTCAAATCTAACTTCAAAGTCCAGTGTCCTTCTCATAGGGAACACCGTGTTTCGGCAAAGAGCCATTTTAAAAGAAAATGGTTTGAAATGGTCACTGTTGGAGGCTGTGCACAATCAGCTGGCCACCTTTGTGTCCCTAGAATCTGACCCACAGTGGGGATTCAATGTTGGGGGAAAATAGAAAAAGTGCTGGAGTTGCTGGGGAAATGCTGGGAGCAGAACTCCGTGGTGGGGGCTCAGAATTTCCCAGGGCAGGGGGTTTTCAGTCAGGAATCATCGCGGGAAAAACAGATTTTCTTTATCACATTCCACCTCTGATTGTCTCAGGAAGTCTTTGGTGGTCTGGCTGGATGGAGCCAAGGTTTTGGAGGCAGCCTGGAGCAAGAGACAATGCCTGAGAATTGCCATCAGAGGACCCATTTTAAATCTCGGCTGTACCACTTACCAAAAGAACACACACACTGACCCACTGTGCCTCAGTTTCCTCCTGTACAAAATGGAGATAAAAATAGCATCTATCTGGTAGGGTCATGGTAAAGCCTGAGTAAGACAATTCTGGAGGCTTCTCAGTTGTCCGGCTGCCAGAGGGGTGGGATGCTGCTCCCCTAAGACTCTTAGATGTGGAGAACAATGCAAAGTGCTAGACTTCTGCAAAGCCTTATGTTTGATCTGAAAAACCTGCTCAAAAGTATCCATGTGCTTCAGGAGATAACTTTGTCTCTGCTTCTCACTTTCAGAGTTGGGGGCTGCATCTGACAAGTGGCCGTGGTTTCAAGTCTCTGGAGTCCCATTTTTTTCTCTTCCATGGAGTTTGTTTGCTGCAGTTTGAGGAGCCGAGGCATATGATAAATACCAGGTACATAATTAGTGCTTTGGAAAGAAACTGCTATTTCAATGGTTATTAGGAGCTTTCACGAGGCAACTCACCCAGAGACCCCTTGCATGAAGGTGGGAAACTCACCAGTCTTCTGGGGTGCAGAATCTTAATGTCCCCTCCAGAAAATGGGGCTGTAGACTGAGTAATAGTAACTAGGAATAACATTTATTGGTTGGGCGCAGTGACTCACACCTGTAATCCCAGCACTTTGGGAGGCCAAGGTGAGTGAATCATCTGAGGTCAGGAGTTCGAGACCAGCCTGGCCAACATAGTGAAACCCCTTCTCTACTAAAAAAAATTTAAAAATTAACTGGGTGTGGTGGTGGGCACCTGTAATCCCAGCTACTCAGGAACCTGAGGCAGGAGAATCGCTTGAACCTGGGAGGTGGAGGTTGCAGTGAGCTGAGACAGCGCCATTGCACTCCAGCCTGGGGGACAAGAGGGAAACTCAATCTCAAAAAAAAAAAACAAACAACAAAAAAAACAAACAACAACAAAAACACATTTATTGAGAGAGCATTTAGTGTGCCACAAACTGTGCAGGTGTTTCGTTCAACCACCTCTATAACCCTAGCAGTTATCTATTATTATCCCCAATTCAGCATGTGGAAACTGAGGCTCAGACAGTTCAAGTCAGCCACCCAAGGAGGTAAGTGGCACCACAAAACCTGAACCCAGGTCTGGTTCACATCACGTCTAGCTCTTAAGCACTCTGCCGATGCCCCAACACCTACATCCTCAGTGTCTGAATTGAAAAATATGAGAAAATGAGAAACAAATGCAGGTTTTGGTGGTATCGGGCCTGGCATTCGAATCCCAGCTCTGCCACTTACAGCTGTGCAAGTTTGGATGAGTGACTCCATCTTTCTGAGCCTCAGATCTCTCTTCTGTAAAATGGGGATCACCAGGCGATTGTTTCTGTCTCAGGGCCTTTGAACCTGCTCTTCTGTCTCTGGGACAGTGTCCTCCCCGACCCCCACATCTGCACAGCTCGCTCCCTCACCTTTCGGTTTGCTCAAACGTGGTCCTCGCAAACCCCTTCCTGGCTACCCTATTTAAAATCCTGCACCACCATTCCGTAGTCCCTATTCACTACTTGTACTTTATTTTCCTCCTTAGCACTGACACTGTCCGACATACTCTAATTTTTAAAATTAGATTTGTGCAAAAGTAATTGCGGTTTTTACCATCAAAAGGAATGGCAAAAACCGCAATTGCTTTTGTACCAACCTAATAGTTCTTTGTTTGTTATCCCTCTTTTCACAAGGTTGCCATTTCCAGAAGTCAGGGGTTTCTGTCTCTTTCATTCACTGCTGTATCCTCAGTGCCTAGAACTGTGCTGGGTACAGAGTAGGAATAGAATCATTTTTTGCTAAATGAAGGGATGAATGAAAGATACCTACTTTATTGCTTTTTGCGGGGCTTAAATGAGATAATGTCTAGTAAGCCCACACTGAAGTTCAACAGTTAAGAAAGAGCTCAACCAGTGGTAGTGGTTTACTATCATCATCATCACCACCACCACCCTCATAATCCTCTTCATTACTGGAAGTGTATAAGGTGAGCTGTGGATTCTCAGGCAGAAACCCTGAAATGAAAGGATCAGTGTTCCCATCTTGGCATATCTTGGACTTCCTTGATTCTCTCCTTACCTTAAAGATGTTGCTTGTGAGGCTGGACACGGTGGCTCACGCCTGTAATCCCAGCACTTTGGGAAGCCTAGGTGGGTGGATCACTTGAGATCAGGAGTTTGAGACCAGTCTGGCCAACATGGTGAAACCCCATCTCTACTAAAAATAAAAAAATTAGCTGGGCATGGTGGCGCATGCCTGTAGTCCCAGCTACTCGGGAGGCTGAGGCAGGAGAATCACTTGAACCCGGGAGGAGGAGGTTGCAGTGAGCCGAGACCATGTCACTTCACTCCAACCTGAGTGACAGAGTGAGACTCCCTCTAAAAAGAAAAAAACCAAAAGTTGTTGCTGTGATTTACCACATTGCACAATAGGAGGTTGGGCCCTTTCTAGCTAAGGATTATTTATCAAAACCAAGATAAAAACTGAAACAAGAAAAATAAAATAAAATTAATAGCTAACATACAAGCGTCATTACCCAATAAAAGCTGACACCACCTCAAATTCTGATGGACATAGTGGATTGGAAGAAGTATGAACTTTGAGAGAAAATCTTTCCAAACATGATGGCAGAATGATAGAAAGGAGTCCACAGCAATGGAAAGGCTGGGGAAAGTAGGTCTAGTATTACACTCCAGCCCCCAATATAGAGATGTGGAAAAAGAGGCCTAGAGAGGGAAAGTCACCTGCCTGTGTACAAGATAGAACTGTTAGGTTTCTATTAAGAATTTTTCAGCACTCAAGAAAATAAACAGATATATTCATTTGGAAAGAAAAAAGAGGTGAACGGTCTTCAGGTGTAATTCTTGCTTGACGCCTCTTCAGCTGCTTATTCCCCTCAATTAGTATCTTATTTTTCATTCATTCATTCATTCATTCATTCATTCAATGACTATTTACTGATACCTACTAGGCAGCAGGTCCTGATATTGGCACTGGGAAGACGGACAAGACTATCATCTAGCCTATGATCTAGAAGAGTCCACAATCTACTAGGAAAGACAGGCAAAACAAACCTAAAATAATAAGCAATAGCAATGAGCTATGACACCCATGAAAGAGAATGTTAAATGGGACTTCCTCTGTTGTCTCAGAATCTTGGCTGAAGCTCCAAGTGGAGACCAGGGTAACAGATAACCACCGTTTAATGAGAGGGTGTTACATGACATGCTCAGAAGTAATCCCAACTTGACTTTGGAGCTTCACTCACCTCCAGCCTGTGTATGACAAAAGGCTGCTGATAAAGCCAGCAGGTGGGCTTGATGGAAGGGAATTGTAACTGCTCAGTGGGTTCGCCTTGCCCACTGCCTAGACAGAGCCGATTTATGAAGTCTCATTCTGTCACCTAGGCTGGAGTGCAGTGGCGTGATCTCAGCTCACTGCAATCTCTGCCTCCCGGGTTCAAGCAATTCTCTTGCCTCAGCCTCCCGAGCAGCTGGAATTACAGGTGCACACCACCACACCCGGCTAATTTTTGTATTTTTAGTAGAGACGAGGTTTCACCATGTTGGCCAGGCAGGTCTCGAACTCCTGACCTCTGGTGATCCACCCGCCTCAGCCTCCCAAAGTGCTGGGATTACAGACATCAGCCACTGCACCTAGTCCAGGGACTTTCTTATAGAAGCCTCCCTGATACCCTCAGTCCCCTGAGTCTTGATTAGTCCCCCCAGTCTATGTCTTAAATGTATCCTTTTCTTCATGGCATTACAATTGTACATTTATTTGCATTATTCTGTGATAAATAATAATGACCTTCCTACTAGACTAAACTCCACAAGGATTTGGGCTGAAATGTGTTTCCCCAAATTCTTATGTTGAAGTCCTAACCCCAGATACCCCAGTTCCTCCCAGTACCTCAGATTGTGACTGTCTTTGGAGACAAGGTTTTTAAAGAGGTGATTAAGTTAAAGTGAGGTCATGAGGGTGGGCCCTAATCCAATCTGACATGATAGGTGTCCTTAGAAGAAGAGGAGATTGGGCCCCAGACACACATGCACAGAAGAAAGACCATGTGAAGACAGAGGGAGAAGTCAGAGATCTACAAACCAAGGAAACATCCTCAGAATGAAACCAACCTTGCCAATCCCTGATCCTAGACCTCCAGCCTCCACAACGGTGAGGACATTAATTTCTGTTGTTTAAATGGCCCAGTCTGTTGTACTGTGTTATGGCAGCCCCAGAAAACTCACATAGGTAGGGACTAGGCTGGCTTTGGTGTATCACTGCAGTCTCAGAGCTCAGTACTGAGTAGGTGCTCACTGAATTTTCCCTGGAGGGTGTGGAGGTGCTGGGGGTGGGGTCAGCAGCACTGGGATTGCTTCAGTTTCCATCTGCTGCTTTTCCTCCAGGGTTGCTCCCAGAACCACCCTTTCCTGTTTGCAGGCCTGAGCTGTGGCTGCACGTCTTTATGCCCCTCCTGGATAAGACATTGTGACGGTTAATGTTAGGTGTCAACTTGACTGGGTTAAGAGTCCCCAGATAGCTGTGAACATTACTTCTGGGTGTCTCTGGGAGGTGTTTCCAGGTGATATTAGAGATAGAGCCATAGACTAAGAAAATCTGCCCTCACCCACGTGGGCAGGCATCATCCAATCCATTAGGGCATGAAGAGGAGAAAAAGGAGAAAAGAGGAATTTGCTCCTTCCTTTTGGGCTAGAACATCTGTGTTTTCTTGTCCTCAGGCGGTGAAGCTCCTGGTTCTCGATACTTTGCACTCGGACAGGGAGTTATAACATTGGCTCTTCTGGTTTTCAGGCCTTTGGACTCAGATGGAATTATACCACGGGGTTTCCTGGATCTCCAGCATGCAGATGGTAGATTGTGGAACTTCTCAGCCTCCAAAATCGAGTGAGCCAATTCCCATCATAAATCCCCTCTCCTATGTCTATATATGTCCTATTGCTTCTCCTTCTCTGGAGAATGCTGACTAATACAGACATAATACAGCAGTCTTTGGGGTTGATGTATGAGTATGTGGAGGAAGAACTAGACATGAAGCAGAGTATGCTTTCTTTAACATAACTTTTTCATTAAAATAGTTATATGTGCTTAGTACAAAAACTTGGAAAATACAGAAATGTAGTGAAAAAGGAAGAAGAAAAACTACCATGCATTATTTTCTCTCCCTCCCTCCTCAATCTCCAGGAAAATTACAATTAACTACAGTTTTCCCTTTATTTTTCAGAGTTGGGATTCTCCAGTATGCAAATATTTTTATTCTGATTTTTAAAATTAATATAGCTTACACTTTTCCCAAGACATACTAAACTGCTCTCAAATATTTTAGTGGCCACATCATATGTTATTGAGTTAATCTACTACAATTTTGTTAATCATTTCCTTGTTGTTTGGATGTTAATTGTTAATTTTTTTTTTTTTTTTAGTTTTAATGCTGTGTGATCATCTTAGTGCACCACACATTTTCTGCATTTTGATTTTTTCTTTTGTGGTGACTCCCAAAGGTAGAATTTCTGAGCTAAAGGATATTTTATTTTACGTTCCTGCATATTTTTACCAAATGGTTGCATACAAAGGATGAAAGCTTTACATTCCCACTGGCAGAGAATGAGTACCCACAAGTGCCCCAAGTCTATGGTAACCTGTCCTGTGGAGGGAAATCTGAAAGCTCTTAGTGAGACCAGTGGGCAGATGCTGAGCCTGCCCCCAGACAGAGGGAGAAGTCGAACCACCAAGCATTTGCTAGGCGGCGCAGCATCTATGTGGTCAGGGCCAGTGATATTCTTTTGCTCTTTCCGGCATTGCCCAGTGATCCTGGGGATGCCATTTGGAAGCTGCACACCTTTGACATCTTTAGGGTTGAAGAGATGATGCTCCCCATGGGGGCTGACCAGTGATCCATTAGTTTCTCGTGGACTCTTAGGAGGTCTACGGGGCCTTCCTGGGGTTGCACCTCATTTCCCCCACTCCTGACTTCGCAATTTACTCCTTTGGATCTTTCCAGAAACCGTCTTTGGCAGTTCTGAAACAAAGGCCACCTAGTGACCAAACACAAAACAAAAAACACTTGGAAATCATCATTTCTCAAAAAGACTTTTGTTTTGAAAGAGACAATACTGTCTGCCTGTCCTTGGAAAGCGTCCCTGATTCAGGGTTTCCCCCTAAATGGCCAGAAGCAAAACAGCTGGAGCCTGGAGCACAGGATCATTTTGACAGCATTTGAGCACTACCTCTTGTATCTGATTTGTGGTAGGGATCAGGCTGTTCTTAGAGCAGGAACAAAATGTGCTTTGAGGAGAACCCAAGTGAAGAAATACAGAAAAAAGCTGAAGCAGCAGCCAGGGTTACAAGTTTCTCCATATCCCCAGTGCCTGGCACAGGGCCTGGCTCTGAGTGGGAGCCCAGGCAGAGCGTGCCCATCTGATTGCCAGATCACTGTGCCCTGGAAACCCTGATGTTTACCTTCCTGGGGTATTTGTATGGAGCAGTCACCCTTTTCACATGCTCCTGGAGTTCCCGCATTAGTGCCTCTGGGTCATGAGAGGAGTAGGCTGGAGTAAGGACTATAAATGCCTTTACCACCTGCAGGAAAACAAAATACCCAGAAAAGATCAGGCCTCGTATAACAACTCTTTTCTCCTTAAGTGAGCCTTGAATAAGTGCCTACATTTACCTTTGCACCATGAAAGTTCTACTAGTTTTTTTTGGGCACAGCCAGTGACACAAACAACATCAATTTTTCTTTTGCTGGCCCTTCCAGGTGTGACTATTAGGAGGATTGACCTTTCTGGGATGATTTCAAACTCCTACCTATTTCTCAAATTACTCCCCATACTTGGAATGACACCATTTGAAGCCAACATCGCTTCTCTTAAGAAGCAAATATTTTGGAGAAAAGAGGTTCATAAATTCCTAGGGCCATTTTCTTCCAGATTTTCCTAATGAGAAAGGTAGGTAGGCATGAGTTTGAACAGGTGGGATTGAGGAAAATGCAGGCACTTGCAAGGGGAACTAGGTCTTTGGGGGTCTGCGTGGATGAACATTTGCAATCAGCAGACCCTGAACTGCACCACTTCTGTTCCAGACATCCCGAGGGACACTCTGCACCTTGGGTCTCTCTGCCCACAACTTTCCTGCAGGCTGTCTTATGCCAGGCAGGAGGAAGTGTCCCAGACTCAAGCACAACAAACATAGTTTCTGTTAGGAATGGAAGGTCACTTGGATGCTTATTAATTCCAGCATTCCTATCTGTTAACAGTATTCTATTAAAGGGGTAGCTCACTGTCCTTGCATACTTCCCACAGGGAGGAAGGCCACTATCATTTCATGTTCAGACAGATATGCTTTTAGAAAGAGCTTCCTCTTACTCTTACTACTGTAACTACGAAACATTTGTTGGACACTTTTTTTTTTTTTTTGAGACAGAGTCTCACCCTGTCGCCCAGGCTGGAGCTCAGTGAGGTGATCTCGGCTTACTGCAAGCTCTGCCTCCTGGGTTCACGCCATTCTCCTGCCTCAGCCTCCTGAGTAGCTGGGACTATAGGCGCCCACCGCCACGCCAGGCTAATTTTTAGTATTTTTAGTAGAGATGGGGTTTCACCGTGTTAGCCAGGATGGCCTCGATCTCCTGACCTCGTGATCCACCCGCCTCGGCCTCCCAAAGTGCTGGGATTACAGACGTGAGCCACCGTGTCCGGCTTATGTGTTGGGCACTTTCTACACACCAGACTCAGTTCTAAGCACTATACATGGATTAAGTTTGAGCACACAGCCATTTGTCACAGTCCCAGTTAACTCACGGCATGCAGAACTAGGCATACGTTTGAGGTAGATTTCTTCAGCACATCAATGGGACTCCACACCTCCCTTATTATACATTAATGGCTTTGGATTTTAGAGGGGAATCACTTGGCCAAGAATGGCTGGCTAAAATGCAGATTCTCTGGGCTGCATTCCCAGTCATCATGATTTGGTAAGTCTGACTTTAGGTCTACAAATCTATATTTTAAACAAGAATCTCTCAGATGATACAGTTGCAAGCAGCCCACGAACCAGACTTTGAGAATCTCTCCTGCGGTCCTGGTGCTTCTGAGAATGCAGGCTGATGTTGCACTAACTTTCAAAAGGTAACCGTTGTGCTTTAGGATTATGTTGGATGTAAGCCAGTGAAAAGTACCTAAGTCTGCCTGGAACCTGATCTTTCCCATAATATGCATTCTTCTGGGACCCACAGAAAGACCTCCTGGCCGGGCACGGTGACTCACACCTGTAATCCCAGCACTTTGGGAGGCCGGGGTGGGTGGATCACCTGAGGTCAGGAGTTTAAGACCTCCAGCCTGGCCAACAAGGCAAAACCCTGTCTCTACTAAAAATACAAAAATTAGCCAGGTGTGGTGACATGTGCCTGTAATCCCAGCTACTGGTGGGGGGGGCGCTGAGGCAGGAAGATCAGAAGATCACTTGAACCTGGGAGGCGGAGGTTGCAGTGAGCCAAGATCATGCCACTGCACTTCAGCCTGGACAACACAGCAAGACTCCATCTCAAAAAAAAAAAAGGATTTCTCCTATGAAAGCCCAGCTTATTAAATTTGGCCCATCTTTCTGGTATATGTAGGTCATTTTGGATACATATTCTATCCCTCTTAGGTTACAGCCATCAGCAACTATTACTGGTGTGCTTGCTATGTCCTCATCTGCAAATAGAAAAGACTTTTTATTAGACAGGATGGATAACAGAGCCTGCACCTCCCCCTAAGATCTCCTGCCCCATAGCCAGCCTCTCTGGGATGTAGTTGTGTCCATTTAAAAGCAAAGTGTTGGTGTTTTCCCATTATGTCCCTTTAGAGAGTAATCGTATCTCTAAAGACATGAAGGCAACGTGTGTCTGATGGTGGCATTTCAACTTTGTGGCACATGGATGGAGGTGAAATACAGGACAATCTGAGCCTTCCTGCTTGTTCTGCTGGGTGCTAATAGGTACAGAAGCAGGAGGCCATGTTCTTGGGTGCACTGGTTACCTCTCCCCTGATGGGGTCTGGGCTGCTGACCACAGCCGACTCCAGGACAGCAGGATGCTCTGCCAGGGCACTTTCTACTTCAACAGGCCCGATCTGGTAGCTGGAAGGGAAAAACAAACTCTTCCAAGTGGGCTTCCGTCAACCCCCATGAAACTTCAAAGGGAGGAGGAAAGTGCAGACAGCTTGACCTTGAAGAATTGATCACATCGTCGTTTCTTCCCATGAACCAAAAGTAGCCTTCCTTGTCCATGCGAGCTCGCTCCCCTGTGATATAAAAGCCCCCTTGTTCTGATGCAGCTGTCTTCTCAGGATTGTCCTGAAAGACAAAGACAACCCGTGAAGGACCCTCTGGGAACAACCGCTAAGGCCAGTTACTGCCCCAGTAGCCCCCTGTAGGAAGCTGGAGACCACTCAACAGAAAGTTCAGCAGTTCCTAAAGTCCCAGCTGCCCAGAGTTCCCCAATGGACAGGGAGCTATGGCCCTGTTTAGTTGTGGGATTTCCCTCTTTTGATTGGAATCAAGCTGCCAGCCAATGGTTAAGGGCAGCCACCCACCACCATCCTTAGAAGGGGGTCTAGAAAGCATAGTTGAAAGCAGGAGGGTGGGCACAGGGCCACTGGCTGTGGTTTTTAGGACAAGAGAACACATGAATACTCTTTGTGCTCAGGAATCACTGAGGGTAGAAAGTGAAGGGCTAGGCCGGGTGTGGTGGCTCATGCCTGTAATCCCAGCACTGTGGGAGGCTGAGGTGGGTGGATCACTTGAGGTTTGGAATTTGAGACCAGCTGGCCAATATAGTGAAACCCTGTCTCTATTAAAGATAAACAAATTAGCTGGGTGTGGTGGTGCATGCCTGTAATCCCAGCTACTTGGGAGGCTGAGGCAAGAGAATTGCTTAAACCTGAGAGAAAGCTGTGAAGAAAAGAAAGCCCGACATAAACACCAGCCAAGATGAATACAAAAGGAAGCAGTTACTGAATTATCCCAGAAACTTGGACTGAAATCCCAGGTTTGTGCCCTGCTAGCAAACCACAAAAAGAATCCTGAAGACAGCTCTGACACAATAGTGCAGTTTGACTTTTATGTATTTATTTATTTTATTATTATTATTATTATTATTATTATTATTATTATTATTATTATTATTTGAGACAGAGTCTCCTTCTCTTGCCCAGGCTGGAGTGCGGTGGCATGATCTTGGCTCACTGCAACCTCCTCCTCCCCGGTTCAAGCGATTCTCCTGCCTCAGCTTCCCAAGTAGCTGGGAATAGAGGCGTGTGCCACCATGCCTGGCTGATTTTTGTATTTTTGGTAGAAACGGGGTTTCACTATGCTGACCAGGCTGGTGTTGAACTCCTGACCTCAGGTGATCCACCTTCCTCGGCCTCCCAAAGTGCTGGGATTACAGGTGTGAGCCACCGCAACCGGCTGCAGTTTGACCTTCAGAAGCTCCTTTCCTTTACTGCGCCTCGATTTTCTCCTCATTAAAACAACGGTGCTGCCCTCATGTCATATGTTTACGCTTTCAGACACACCCACGTTTAAATCCCATGTCCTGCCTGTACTAGTTGCATGATGCTGGATAAGTCACTTCCCCTTTGTAGTAGCTTCCTTATTAATAATAGTCTTCCTTATCAATAACAGAACTTTATTAATAATAGTAGCAACCTACCTCATGCAGTCATTGTAAGGATTAAACAAATAGATACTTACAAAGTGTGGTGCACAATGCTTAGCACACAGTCACCGTCATGAGAACAGCTGTTCCCCGTCTCTTACCAAATAGCAATTGAAGAAACAGAAGGGCCGGGTGGTTCTGATACGACGGCAACATTCCCCTCTTCTCCAGGAGGCAGGACATTGCCCTCATCATCCACAATCTGGTAAGGAGATCATCACAGAGGTGCATACATGAGTGTCTACACCCTGGGCCCCTCCAGCAGCCCAGCAGCCCAGCAGCCCGTGCCAGCCAGGCCTGTGTGTCTTTCTCCTCTCCACGCCAGGCCTTGCCAGAAGTTGGGGGAGTCTGCTACCTGCACATTGTAGGGTGGGGACACCTTCCCCATGGATCCAGACTTGATTTTCATGCCTTTTGGATTGGCACAGATGACAACCTGGGGAGAACTCAGTACAGATAAAGAAGAGCCTTTCCACTTAGCTTCTTTCCTGGGCCATGCCTTTCTCTCACCCTGCCTGATAACTCTTTCTCTCATCCTCTTTTTTCTCCTCCCTCACTTTCTTCTTTCTTTCCCTTCTCCTCTCTCCATTTCTCTCCATTCTTCCTCCCTTCTTTCTTTTCTTTTTTCTTCCTTGCTCACTCCTTCCTTTCCTCTTTCTTTCCTTTCTTTCCCCTTTCCTGTTTTCTTCCTTCCCTCCTTCATTTTCTTTCCTCCTTCTTTTTTCATTCCTTAACCCGTTATTTCATTCTCCATTTTCCTCTCTCCTCCCTTCTTCTTTGTTCCCTATTTCCTTCCTTCCTTTCATCTTTTTCCTCTTCCTTCCTTCTTTTCCTTTCTCTTTCCTTTATTTCCTCTTTCCCTTCCTTCTTCATTTTCTTCCCTCTTTCTTGCCTGTCTTTCTTCTTTTCTTTCCATAGTTAGCAAACAACTATGGGGCACTCCAGTGGGCACTCAAACATAAAGAACTTAACCCATCTCTAAGCCAAAAGACTCAGTTGATCCCCAGATCTCTTCCTAGATGACTATAGAGGACGCTGCTTAGAATCTTGGACTCTGAACAGTGGCAGATGTAGACTGTCTTGGTGGAGACAAACAATGCCTTCAGCAGTGAGGGCTGGTTTGCTGGTCATGGTATAATTGTAAAAGTACTTTAAATTACCTTTTTTTAATTTATAAGTAGTGTGTGTGTGTGTGTGTGTGTGTGTGTGTGTGTGTATTTCAATAGCTTTTTGGGTACGAGCGTTTTATGTAACATGGATGAATTCTATACTGGTGAATCCTGAGATATTAGTGCATCTGTCACCTGAGTAGTGTACATTATACCCAATATGTAGTTTTTTTACCCTCACGCCCCTCCTCCCACCTTCCTCCTTCTGAGTCTCCAAAGTCTTTTATACCACTCTGTATGTCTTTGCATCCTCATAGCTTAGCTCCCACTTATAAGTGAGAACATATGGAAATCAAAAGGGAAGGAAAGCTGATGGAATTTTGTTATCGGCTTCTCCCCTGGGGGAAGGGTGGTCCCTGAGAAGCTTCAGAGAGGTGACAGCTGGAGAGGCAGGAAGCTCTCAAGCGGACCTGGGGGGTGGGGACCTGGGGGGTAGGGACCTGGCCCCTCCAGCACTCACCGTTTCAGACTGGCCATAGCCTTCGTACAGCTCCACACCGGTCTGGCGTTTCCACTTCTCCCTCACGTCAGGGTTGAGGGCCTCTCCTCCGGTCAGACAGTGCCTCAGGCTCTGAAACTGGTACCTTCCTCAGGCAGGAAAACAAGGCCACCTATGTCAGGATCTTCATACCACCCCGCCCTCTGGTGCCACTGCCCAGATGCAAACACCACAGGCACTAGAGGTAGATGCCCCTGCTTTTTAATCTTCTCTAAGTGAGTCCACCCACTGGCTTTGCAACCATGCTCCTCATGGACAGATAATTTTTAAAAGATCCATCCCATCTGAGTTTGAGATAAAATCAGAAGCTCATATAATAGGTTTTGGCATAATATGGTGAGTTCCAGGTAACTTGGCCAAAATAATTTAGTTGGAAAAAAACTGATAATAAATTGGTTAGGACAGTAATCTGATTGAAAAGGATAGATCAATTAGAAATTGAAAAGATAGGCCAGGCACCATGGCTCACACCTGTAGTCCCAGCACTTTGGGAGGCCTAGGTGGGCAGATTGCATGATCTCAGGAGTTGAAGACCAGCCTGGTCAACGTGGTAAAACCCCGTCTCTACCAAAAAGTACTAAAACTTAGCCAGGTATGGTGGCACATGCCTGTAGTCCCAGCTACTTGGAAGGTTGAGGTGGGAGGAAAGCTGGAACCTGGGAGGCGGATGTTGCAGTAAGCCGAGATCATGCCACTGCACTCCAGCCTGGGCAACAGAGCAAGACTCTGTCTCTAAAATAAATAAATAAATAAAAATAAAAGAAAAAGGAAAAGAAAGGAAAGAAAAGAAAATTGAAAAGATAAAAATTAGACCCCTAAGAATCCCAAAAATTCCTACAGATATTAATTATGTTGCAAAATGCCCTCTCTGTTCAACAAATCATCCAAACTATTAAAAAAAAATCAGTGATTGTAAGTACATTTTTAATCTTGGAGGAGAGGGGAGATCAAATTGGCTTGATTAAGTTACTTATTATTACCAAAGAGCATTCAACGACATTGTTCTTAACGAGGTACTTGGAGCTTGCTTTCAGCCAAAATCATCATGTGGAGATGCACACATCAGATCAATGAATGGGATGATTTTCTTACATTGGAGAAGAATTCACTTTTAGAAACATGTAAGAACTCCCTCTTTTGGACACTTGGTGGGTAGATTCATGTGATTAGGAAAGAAGAAAGGACGACTCCTCATGACTTGGGGGAGGACAAAAGAGGGAGAACAGATCAGGGTTGGTGGATACTGAAGGATGGTGGGCCTCTCTCCATATACCCCAGCAACTAGCCCTGTTCTGCTAGAAGATGTTGCTTTGGCTTCACCCAGGATGGAGCCATCATCAGTGCCTTGTCCCTTTCTCTTGGGTGTCCAATGACATGTGCTCAGAGAACAGTTGGCTGGGGTTACTCTGAGGCTGAGAGTTGGGGCATCTACTGTGGTGCGGGCTTGTTAGTTTCACCACACCTGAGGGCCCTGGCCACAAACCGCACTCCATAGGTGGCTAACAATTGTCCAATCATTTCTCTTCCCTCACAGAAGTAGCAGACACACTGCTGACAGAATAGCCCATGGGTGTATGGTGTGAGGAGAAGCCTATCTCAGGTGCTAAAATTTCAGTCTGCCTTAAATCTATTTAGTTCCATCTGGATGCAAATTTTGGGGGGCCAGAAGCTTGTTCTTGAGGGGCATCTGTGAGATTTACAGGTATGTTGACTTGTCAATGTGTATGTGTATAAATGTGTGTGGGAGAGAGAGACAAAGAGAGAGGCAGAAAAATATATAGAGGGGGAGACAGAGAAAGAAAGAGAGTTGGAATGAGAGGGTAGTTGTGTGTGTGGATACCCATGCTATATATTCACATACTTAGGCCCTCAAAGCACGAAATAGATGGGCTGTACCTGGTCAGATCCTCCTGCACAAGCAGCCGAAAGATGGTTGGAACACAGCAGAGGGTGGTTATTGGGAATGTGGAGAGAGTCTAAACAAAAACAAAGGGTGAAAGATGTCCTTAGAATCACTGGGGTGGGGCCATGAAGATGGAGCCAAATGCATCTTTATAGTCTCAGTACCAAAGCAGAGAAGCTGAAAACTATGTGTGGAATCCAGCAGCCAACATGGTGTCCAGTGACCCCTACTTCCTGGCATGTTCAACTTTGGAGGATCCCCTCTCACCTCATACCAAAGTGGGTCTGTGACAGCAGTGGTATACTGCCAAGGTGATGAATACCACTTTCAAGATTTGGTTATACAAAGACTATGGCTTCTGTTTTGGATGTTCTTTCTCTCTCCCTTTCTTGGATCCCCTGTTCTGGCGGAAGCAAGCCACCATGTTTTGAGTATGCTCAAGCCATCCTACGGACAGGTGCACACAGTGAGAAACTGGAGACTAGCAAACACCCAGTGAGAAATTGAAGTCTACTAAAAACCACCAGTGAGGTTTTTGTTTTGTTTTTTGTTTGGTTTTTTGAGATGGAGTCTCACTCTGTCACCCAGGCTGGAGTGCAGTGGCAAGATCTCAGCTCACTGCAAACTCTGCCTCCCGGGTTCAAGCAATTCTCTGCCTCAGACCCCTGAGTAGCTGGGATTACAGGTGCCCACCACCAGGCCCAGCTAATTTTTGTATTTTTAGTAGAAACGGGGTTTCACCATCCTGGCCAGGCTGGTCTTTAACTCCTGACCTCATGATTCACCCGCCTTGGCCTCCCAAAGTGCTGGGATTACAGGTATGAACCACTGTGCCTGGCCACCAGTGAACTTTTAAGCAATTTTCCAGCTTCAGTCAATCCTTAAGATGATTGCAGTCCTAGCAAATATCTTCTTTAAAATTATTGTGGCAAAATACACACAACATAGGATTTGCCCATTGGAACGGTTTTTAAGTGTATAGTCCAGTGGGATTAAACATTTCCAGAGTGTTGTGCAACCATCGCTACCATCCACCTCCAGAACTATTTTTATCTTCTCAAACTTAAACTCTGTACCCATTACACAATAATTTCCCATTAATCTCTCCCCTAACTCCTGGTAAACACCACTGTACTTTCTGTCTCTATAAATTTGACTACTCTTGGTATCTCATGTAAGCGGAATCATACAGTATTTGTTCTTGTATGACTGGCATGTTTCACTTAGCATAATGTCCTCAAGGGTTATCCACGTTATATCATACAACAAGATGTCCTTCCTTTTTAAGGCTAGGTAATATTCCATTGTACATATACACCACATTTTGTTTATTCATTCATCTGTGGATGGACACTTGTGTTGCTTTCACCTTTTAGTTATTGTTAATGCTGCTATGAACATGAGCATACCTTGCTGACCTCTTGATTGCAACCTCATGAGAGACCCTGCTCCCAAAACCCCTCATTAAGCTACCTCCAGCTTCCTGACCATCAGAAAGTGTGAGATAAATGCTTGTGTTTTATAGTGCTAAGTTTCAGTATAATTTATTACATAGCAATAGATAATGAAAACACTATATCAGAGCTGGGGACAGTGCAAGGAGAAGGTCCATACATTGGCTGATCAAGCACTACATGGATAAAGATGGTGATGAGTTTGATCATGATGATAATAATCAATATGGGTTAAGAATCTACTATATTTGGTCCACCATGCGATACCAGCTTACTCCTGCAAGAATGGCCATAATCAAAATATCAAAAAATAATAGATGTTGGCATGGATGCAGTGAACAAGCAACACTTCTACATTGCTGGTAGGAATGTAAACTAGTACAACCACTGTGGAAAACAGTGTGGAGATTCCTTAAAGAACTAAAAGTAGAACTACCATTTGATCCAGCAATCCCACTACTGAGTATCTACCCAGAAGAAAAGAAGTCATATGAAAAAGACACTTGCACATACATGTTTATAGCAGCACAGTTTGCAATTGCAAAAATGTGGAACCAACCCAAATGCCCATAAATCAACAAGTGGACAAAGAAAGTGTGGTATATAAATATATATAATGCAATGCAACTCGGCCATAAAAAGGAATGAATTAATGGCATTCGCAGGGACCTGGATGAGATTGTAGACTATTATTCTAAGTAAAGCAACTCAGAAATGGAAAACCAAACATTTTATGTTCTCCCTCATAAGTGGGAGCTAAGCTATGAGGATGCAAAGGTGTAAGAATGACACAATGGACTTTGGGGACTTGGGGGAAATTGTGGGAAGGGGTGAGGGATAAAAGACCTCAAGTTGGGTGCAGTGTATACTGCTCAGGTGATGAGTGCACCAAAATCTTACAAATCACCACTAAAGAACTTACTCATGTAATCAAACACCACCTGTTCCCCAATAACCTATGAAAATAATTTTTTTAAAAAAAGAATCTACTATGTTTTGAAGCAACCTAAGTGTCCATCAACAGATGAATGGATAAAGAAAATGTACATATACACAATGGATCCATAAAAAAAAATGAGGTCTTGTTTTTTGCAATAACATGGGTGGAACTGGATATCATCATGTTAAGTGAAATAAGCCAGGCACAGAAAGACTAACTTCACATATTCTCACTTATTTGTGAGATTTAAAAGTCAAAACAATTGTACTCATGGAAATAGAGATTAGAAGGATGATTACCAGAGGCTGGGAAGGGTAGTCGGGGGCTGGGAGAAAGGTGGGGATGGTTAGTTGGTACCAAAATAATAGAATGAATGAATAAGACCTGTTATTTTAAAGCACATCAGGGTGACTATAGTCAATAAAAACTTAATTGTACATTTTAAAATAACTGAAAGAGTGTAGATTGTAACACAAAAGATAAATGCTTTGAGGGGATGGATACCCTATTCTCTATGATGTGATTTTCACGCATTGCATGCCTACATCAAAACACCACATGTACCCCATAAATATATACACCTACTATGTATCCACAAAAGTTAAAAATTATTTCAAAAAATAACCTATGATGTGCTGGCCCCTTTGCCTTGTATCATTTCATTCACTCAGCAACTCTATAGAGATATGTTATCCCTTTCTTACAGATGAGGCTGAAACTGCAGCTCAGGAGATTAGGCAACTTCCCCAAGGCCACACAGCTAGCGAATCAAAGGTGTAGGTTCAGAGTCCAGGTCTGACTCTTTGACTGATGGCACAGCCTGTGCAGTTAGCTACCATGTGATACAGCTTATCTCAGTACAAATAATAAGAGCAGAAGGAACCTCTGATGTTTTAAGGAATGACAGTTAGGATGTGGGGGGCAGAAGAAAGGTGACCTGTGTCTTGACTGGGGCCACCAATCTCCTCCCTCCCCATGAGAAGACCCTGGGAGGCTGAGCAGGAGTCACCAGGACTCTCTAGTTGGGCCAGCTACTCAGGTTAAGCACCATGGACAGTAGCACTTGGAGTTGAGGCGTAGACTGATTTTGCCTAAGGGTTTGACAAATACCTAGGGTTTTGGCAGGAGCATTGGGAAGAAAGTGGTGGAGACAAGGGCACCCCATGCAGGAGAAATAGCAACGAAATAGTCTTACATCTAAGAATCTAGCTAGAGCATAGGCAATGATTGAAGGGAACCAAGTGGTCACGAACCAGATTACGGAAGGCCAGGGAGCCACACCAAAGAAGCCTTAAATTCACTGATTTATATGTTTTCTCCTGCAGCCTGAAATTCTATATCCCACTCATCTCATTTGTACCCAACACATATGGGGTATTACTGGTTTTTCCTCTTACATTCAGGATAAATTTGGCATCAACTCGGGACAGCTCATGCACAAAAATGCAAGATCCATTAGGCCAGGCAGAGAAGACAGTCCAGGCTGCCTTCACCCAGCCAGTGTCTGTCGTGTTCCAGAAGACGTCCGATTCGGTCAAGGCCAACCACCATCTGCCAAAAATTAGAGAATGTCAGTACCCTTGGCAATGACTCTACCTTTAAAAAGGATTGTATTATCTATATCACCACATTTGGAGCCCTGCTCAGTGGGTACTCACTTATACTTGTGAAACCTGAACAAGAACCTTCAAGTCAACTATTGTCTCAACCAGCATTTATTGAGCATCTTCCATGTACCTATGCCCTAGGCTAAGAATACAGAAGCAAAAAGAGTTTCCAGAAAGTTCACAGTCCAGTGGATGTGATATATAAGGGAAAAAAATTAACCTCAATACTCTGTGCTAAGGTCACTTTATTTAGCCAACATTTATTTAGCATTTAGTCTGGACTTAGCACTAGGGATCTAGAAATGAACGATTAGTCTTACTTTGAGGGCCTTATAGTTTAGGAAGTATAAATATCTAGGAAGCCCCTGGAGAGCATGTTTTAATAGAGCTAAACACAAAGCCTTGTGCAATTGTAGAGAATAGGCACCTAACCCAGAGCAATGATGGACATGGGTTTCTGAGAAATGCTGTGGTGGAGGAGGTGACACTTGAGTTAGACATAAACAATATATAGGGATTATATAGGTGAGGTAGAGAAGCAGGAGCATCCCAGGAATGGGAAACTGTGTCTGCAAACATGGAAGACAGAAAAGCGGTCATGCACTTGAATCCTGGGACACACGCACTACTCATTCTCCCCCTTTCATTGGCTGTTCCCTTCTCAGTCTCCTCTGCTGAGTCCTCCTGGTCTTCCCCTTCAGTGCAGAAATGCCTCAGGCACTTGGTCCTGAGACCCATTGTCTTTTCAGTTTATATTGCACTTTGCTGATCTCATCCCATCTCATGGTATTAAATACCATCTTTACACTGATAAGTTCAGCATGAATCTTTCTCATTAACTTCAGACATGTGTATCCAAATGCCCACTCAACATCTCCACTTTTAACAAGGGGATGGAGATGTCTAAGAAGACTCTTGAATTAACAACTCCATAAACAAACTCTGTTTTCCTCCCACCAGACAGCTCATCCCACAGTTCTTCCCCAATCATTTAGTGCTTCCAGTTGTTCAGGCCATTCCTCTTAGAGCTCTCCTTGACTCCTCCTTCTCATTCCACACTGATTCTGTCAGCAAGTCTTATTGGGTCTAGGTTGAAAATACATTCAGAATCTCATCTCTTCCCTCACTACAGCTCCCGGGGCAAGCTACCATGCTTGCCTCTTAATGCACTGGTCATCTTTTTTACCTGTTTCCCCTACAGTTTCATTGTCAACCCAACATCCTGAGTGAGCCTTTAAAAAACATATTAGATTATGTCACTCCTCTGCTCAAAATATCCAACACTTCTCAAAAATAATTAAACATAGAATTACCATATGATCCAGCAATTTCATTTCTGCGTGTATACCCAAAAGAAGTGAAAGCAGAGACTCTAACAGATACTCACATGCCATTGTTTATAGCAACATTATTGACAATAGCCAAAATGTGGAAGCTACCCAAGTGTCTATCAACAGGTGAATGGATTATTTAAAATGTGGTCACGGCCAGGTGCAGTGGCTCATGCCTGTAATTCCAGCACTTTGAGAGGCTGAGGCGGGAGGATCACGAGGTCAGGAGTTCAAGACCAGCCTGGCCAACATGGTGAAACCCGATCTCTACTGAAAATACAAAAATTAGCCAGGTGTGGTGGCGGGCACCTGTAATCCCAGCTATCTGGGAGGCTAAGGCAAGAGAATCGCTTGAAACCAGAAGGCAGAGGTTGCAGTGAGCGGAGATCGCACCACTGCACACCAGCCTGGGTAAAAGAGCAAAACTCTGTCTCAAAAAAATAAAAATAAAAATAAAAATAAAATAAATAAAATGTGGTCTATCCATACAATGGAATATTTTTCAGTCTTAAAAGGGAAGGAAATTTTGACACATGCTATGACATGGATGAACCTTGAGGACATTATGCTAAGTGAAAGAAGCCAAATTGCAAAACAGAAGGACAGACTGCATGATGCCAATCACACGAAATACCTATAGTATCAAATTCACAGTGATTGAAAGTAAAATAGAGGTTACCAGGGGTGAGGGGAGAGGGTAATGGGGTGTTATTGGGTAATGGGGGCATAGTTCTCATTTGGAAAGATAAAGTAAATTCTGGAAATGGATGGTGATCATGGTTGCACAACAATGTGAATGTATTTAATGACATTAAACTGTACACTTAAAATGGTTAAAAGGGTACATTTATGATATATGTATATATATGTTTATGTGTATGTATATATATGTATACATACACATATTTATATGTGTATGTGTATATATGTGTGTGTGTGTGTGTGTGTGTGTATATATATATATATATATATATATATATAGCACGATTTAACAAGAAACCTCCCGTGGCTTTTCACCTCGCTCAGAGTAAAATCCAGAACCATCAAGATCCTTCCTAAGCTGCTCCTATTGGCTTCTCAGTAATTCTGCTGGCTCTCTGACCTCAGTTCCTGACACCTTTCCCCTCACACCACCCCCTCCAGACCACTCCCCACTTTCTGTTCTTGGATGCTCTAGACAAGCTGCTCTGGTACCTTCCGCTGGCCACAAAACCCAGTCCGTAGCTGCTCTGGGAGTGCTCGACCATCTCGGGGTCCCCGGTGGTTCCGCTGGTGAAGTAGATAGCCAGTGGGTCTTGACACTTTGTCCTCACGCAGTTGTGCTCTGTAGATGCCTCCCTGTAAAACGTAAAAACACTAGGTGGCACTACCACGGTAAAAACAGTTAGTAGCACCAATAATATGTATAACAACAATATGACTACCGTTTCATAAATACCACATGCGAGGTGCTGTGCTGAAAGCTCTGGCTTGGGTAATCTGCAACCACCTCAAGGGGCAGGTACTATCATTATAACCCTTTTGCAGACCAGGAGACTGAGGCTCAAAATGGTTACATAACTCACTCAAAAGAGCCCATGCTTTCTTACCAAGGTATGAGGACTTTCTGGTAGAACACACACACGTCCATGTCTATAATTCTGCACATTTAGGCACAGCTTCCACCCCCATCCCAATTTCTAATAATTTAGAACTCTTTTCTAAAGGTTTCCCCCAATATGGGGTTTTGAGATCTAGGTAATTCCCAAAGTTCTGTGATCTGGATGATCAGCTAATCCACGGGCTCTCATCCCTGGCTGCACTGTGAAGTCCCCTGGTAAATTTTTGGAAGAAACTTGTCTGTATCCACCCTGAACAAAATAAAATCAGAATCTTTGATGTTTTCTTAAATGCTTCTCAGTAATTCTAGTAACAGCCAAAATTGAGAACCACTGATCTAGGCCCACCTGACAGCTCTCAAAATCATATGAGCTGATTTTTTTTTTTCTTTTGAGATGGTGTTTCGCTCTTGTTGCCCAGGCTGGAGTGCAATGGCGTGATCTTGGTTCACTGCAACCTCTGCCTCCCGGGTTCAAGTGATTCTCCTGCCTCGGCCTCCCAAATAGCTGGGATTATAGGCATGTGCCACTACATCCAGCTAATTTTGTATTTTTAGTAGAGACGGGGTTTCTCCATGTTGGTCAGGCTGGTCTCAAACTCCTGACCTCGGGTGATCTGCCTGCCTCAGCCTCCAAAAGTGCTGGGATTACAGGCGTGAGCCATGGCGCCTGGCCCTATGGGCTGATTTTTTAAAAAAGATCCCCAGGGCTCTTGCTCAGCTATGTCTGGTTAAGTAGGTCAGATATGAGGCCTTGTCATCTGTATTCAAAACAGCACCCAGGTGAATCTGATGCAGCTGGTCTGTGGGGTGAGCATGCATGACTCAATGGTTCAGGCCCCTGAGAGGCTCCTTTTGGGTTCTGGCTTCCAATCAGGACAAAGTCTCAAATTCTGAGATGGGTTTCCACCAGGCCCTTGCTCCAAGGCAAATATGCTTTCGGCTCTGCCCACTCCTGACTTGACTACTTTTTAGCACCTTGGGCAAGTCACTTTAGTTTTCCAAGTCTCAGTTTCCTCATCTGTAAAACTGAGTTAAAGGGCCCATCACAATGTCCTTTTCAGGGATTAAATAAGATGATGTTTGATCCATTATGGTGTTCTGAACACCAAACACAATGCTTGTCGTGAAATAGATGTTCATTAAATCTTCGCTGCATGAATGAATGAAGGTGAAGGCTTACATAGCACAGTATCTAGCGATACACTAAGTACCCAATACATGGCCACTAGTTTATTATTAACTGACCACCTGCTATGTGCTAAATGCACCATATTGGTTATTTCATGTACTCTGAATGGTAGCTCTAATAACTACCACCGCATTATAGAAGCAAATGAAGCACAGAAAAGCTGCTGACAAATCCAGCACTGACTGAATGAGGGACCTTGAACATTAAGGTAGGGACCAGGATTATGCTCAAGTCAGCCTGGCTGCCAATGGGAGTGTTCCTCTCTGATTCGCTCTCTATGTGTGGAATCAGCAATGCATTTCATCTCTTGTTGCTTAAAGGGGAAATGACTTCATTTTTCTGCTGTTCTCCTGGAGAGCCCCAATTCACCGGAGGAGTTCCCTGAAGTTCAACCAGCCTGGCCGACTGCTGTCTGACACCAGCAGCTTGGTCTTGAGGGAGGGGCATTCGGCGCTGATGGTGTCCACCCTTGGAGCTAGGGAGTCACTGGTGATAATGGACTTGGCCCTGGACGCGTGCAGCCGGTACTTGAGGTCCTTCTGCGTCAGCTGAGTGACACCTGGAATCATCACAGTCCCTGGCATAAAACAGAAGGGGATGTTGAGTGGATAGTAGGGAAGACTTTGGGTATAGAGGTAAGAGATGAAGGCAGGAAGGGGCTGGGGAGGGTTGGAATGCATGAGCTGGAAGAGGTAACAATAATAATAATAACAGCCTAAAAACCCTAGCCTTCTGAATAAGTGCGTGATCACTTACTCACTCAGCATCACTTAGTAGTCATCTTATGATTAGACAGAAATTTCTTTAAATGCCTGAAACCAATAAATCTCCCAGTCTTTGGGTGGGTGTTGGGGCACACCTTTAGCACTCAGCCAGGCAATTAACAATCCTGCCTTAGTCTTAATTTCCTGCATGCTCCAACTCTCAGTCTGCCAGAAGTGGGAGCCTAGAGTTTCCTCAGATCTTTCCTAAGCATGTGCAATGCCCTGGGAAAGCACACAGCCTTACTTACGTGTGTTGATTTCTAGATTTCCAGGAATACAATAGAATTTTTTAAAGCTCCCATAGACATTGGATTCTCCAGCTTTTCTTTTTTCACTCTTTGGTGAATCTATTGTTTGTCCCACTGTTATCCATCACCTTAGGCAACAATGAAGCTAAAACATTTGTCTGTAATTGTTTTGGACAAAAACCCCCAGGGAAAAGGCTTTTCTCATTGGTTGAGCTTCAAGTTGATTCAAATACAGTTTTACAAGTAGGGTCTTCCAAAGGACCAATGGGCAGCTCAAATAATAACAGTTCTTCATAAGTGAAGCTTTGAAAAAACTCCAACTCCATTCTGGCCCATCTAATGGTTGCTGTGATGCACCAGAAATGGGGGCTGTTATTTTTCAAGGCTACCACATAGCTGGACAGTCCTTATTCTACCATTTTTTTTCCTGACCTAATCCTGCTTGCTTGTTTTTATCATTAGGAGAAGTCTTCTAAGGATGCCCCTAGTATTGCAAAAAGAACTTCGATTTTTGTAGGCCATCAGTAATGGAGCATCCTGGCTTCATCTCTTACATGCAATTCTCATTTAATTCTCACTATTACTCTAAGTAGCATATGGTCTGACTACCATTTTACAGATGAGAAAGTTGAGATCTAAAGAACTTAGGGCACTTGTCCAAGGTCACACTTCATGTACATGGATGAACAATGTCTATCTGACTGCAAATCCTGCTTTTAAGTCTCAGTCATCCTCATACCACCTTCATAAGTTTCACCACATCTGCTGACAGTTAATTTTATTGTATCTACTAACAACGCCATTTACTTCATACTTTTTCTTTAAACAATCTCTTCTTATAATTAACATGAATACAATTCTTTGAATTAAATTTTATGTTTCCAGTTTTGTATTCTCCAGCTTTTCTTTTTTCACTTTTTGGTGAGTCTATTGTTTGTCCCTACTGTTATCCATCACCTTAGGCAACAATGAAGTTAAACATTTGTCTGTAATTGTTTTGGACAAAAAGCCCCTAGGGAAAAGGCTTTTCTCATTGGTTAAGCTTCACATTGGTTGAAATACAGTTTTACAAGTATGTCTTCCTCTTATAAATGAAAAGTTAGTATCATGTAACACAAATAAAAGGTAACCATGAAATAGAGAGACCCAACAGACACAGATATAAGAGAAAATAAAGAAGAAAGCAGATGCACAGAGACACACAAAGAAATCAGGGTTATCTTATTCAATTCTATGTATCTGTTATGATCTGCAAAAAGCTTTGAGCCTGAGCCCTATTCTTTCCTTATTTTATATTGTTTTGTTGTATTTTATTTTATTTTTTGAGGTGGAGTCTCACTCTGTTGTCTAGGCTGGAGTGCAGTGGCATGATCTTGGCTCACTGCAACCTCTGCCTCCTGAGTTCAAGCAATTCTCATGCTTCAGCCTCCAAAGTAGCTGGGACTACAGGTGTGCACCACCATGCCTGGGTAATTTTTTTTTTTTTTTTTTTTTGTATTTTTAGTAGAGATGGAGTTTCACCATGTTGGCGAGGCTGGTCTCGAACTCCTGACCTCAGGTGATCTGCCCTTCTCGGTGTCCCAAAGTGCTGGGATTATGGGCATGAGCCACCGCGCCCGGCCTTCTTTCCTTATTTAGAAGAGAAGGGCATGACAGTGAGAGAGAGACATCAAAGATAGAGTAGCAGCAAAACAAAACTTCCTCCTTCAGTTGATGAACAACTGGAAGGGAATCGGAAGGGACATAACTGTCTCACTGTGTGATTTGGGCTCAAGAACGCAGGACACTTCAGAGAAGGAACAAGCATGTCTAAGGCTCACAACACTGACTCAGAATTTTTTTCCTAAGTGTCAAATGCCAACAGTTTACATTTTAGAACTAGCAAAATTCCCAGGTCCAAATTTCCTCATCAACATGTCTTGGAGCCTTGAGTCTCATTGTGGTACATGAGGGCAGCCTCAGATGCCCCAGATGGACTCTAGGACAGAACAGGCTTCATCTCTTCCAGCCGACTCCACACATCCAGCACATCATGGGCAAAGTTGAAGTATTCAGGCACCGGCTGCCTTCCCAGGCTGATGGCTTCCCAGGTGGCCACGATCTTCTGAGGAACAGGTAGAGGTGCTGGCTGCCCACAAGACCCACAGAATGCCCTGGAGTTCCTCAGTGCCTGGAGGACTAGGTGTCTCAGCCATGGTCTCATGCGGTCGCCTCCTGTCTGTCACCAAAGAGAGGAAAGAGAGCATTGTCATAAATTCTGGGCTTTGGGGACAACACAGAGGTTAGGAGAAACCTGTGGTCAGTGCTGATGGTGACTGTGGTCCCTACTGACTTGTAGAACAAACTCTCCACATTTCTGAGCAGAAAGTCTCAGTTCTGCTGTGTGATGGTCATTTCTCTCCTCTGACCCCGAGGTCCGTCCTTTTGACCTCTCACTGACTTGTGGGTCTCTGGGTCTGAGGTCAGAACTCAGAGCCCACTTCTCCAGGCTCAATACTTCAAAGGCAATCCCTCAAAAAGCCTTTGGCCAATCCTGAACTGACCTTGCAAAGCTGAAGACAGCTCTGGGGCAGCACCGTCCAAAAGAAATAGAATGTGAGCCACCTGTGCAATTTACAATGTTCTAGTACCATTGCCAATAGTTTGCCAATCCTCTCCCTTGGAAAGAGATATGCGACTTGTTCTTCCCATTTGGTCTTTGTCCTGAAAACAACAAAACCCAGAAAGCAGCACCTCTGCAAGATTTCCCTGTGTATCCTTGCATTTTTGCAACTACATGGCCAATTGACAGGGA